>NC_000011.10:46726666-47029696 GCF_000001405.40 Homo sapiens | reverse complement strand
TTGGCCTCCACAGAATATATAAGACCAAAGATCCAAAACATCTTGGGAAAAATTATGAAATTATGATTTTTTTTTTTTTTTGAGATAGAGTCTCACTCTGTCGCCCAGGCTGGAGCGCAGTGGCACAATCTTGTATCTTGGCTCACTGCAACTTCCACCTCTCAGGTTCAAGAGATTCTGCTGCCTCAGCTTCTTAAGTAGCTGGGACTACAGGTGCCCACCACCATGCCCGGCTAATTTTTTTGTATTTTTAGTAGAGACGGGGTTTCACCATGTTGGCTAGACTGGTCTCAAACTCCTGACCTCAGGTGATCTGCCCACCTCAGCCTCCCAAAGTGCTGGGATTACAGGAGTGAGCCACCATGCCTGGCCAAAATTATGATTTAAAGTAACCTTGTGTTGCTTCTATAAACAGAAGGAAAAAATATATTCTGAGTTGGAAAGGGGCAAGCTGGGAGGAGAAGACTTTTGGGGCATATTTTCCACTAACAGGTTGGCTAACTGCAGTTTTGTTTTGCACAAAGTCACCAGGCTCTAAAGATATATTTCTGTGGCTGGGTGCAGTGGCTCACACTTGTAATCCCAGCATTTTGGGAGCCCGAGGCAGATGAATTGCTTGTGCCTAGGAGTTTGAGATCAGCTTGGGCAACATAGTGAAATCCCGTCTCTACCAAAAAAAAAAAATATGAAAATTAGCTGGGCATGGTGGCCTGCGCCTGTAGTCCCAGCTACTTGGGAGGCTGAGATGGGAAGACGGCTTGAGCCCGGGAGGGAGAGGTTACAGTGAGCCAAGATTACATCACTGCACTCCAGCCTGGATGACACAGCCAGACCTTGTCTCAAAAAAAAAGAAGAAAAAAAAAGATATATATTCCTATGGCATGATTTTGTCTCCTGACCTAACAATCCCTGGATTTGTTCTTTGTTTCCTTGTGAAATTCAGAGGAAGCCTAAAGCCCTGAAATGTTTTCTTCCCATTGCCTATCAGCTATAGAATTTGGCAATGCTAACTTGATAAGAGAAATCAGTGAGGCAAGTCAGCTAGTCTATGTTACAGAACCCCAAAGCAGTTTAGACAACATATTTGCACAGAAGTTGCCTTACACACCAGCTTCTTTCTTATATAGTGATACAAAAAAGTTTCTTTACAAAAGTTGAATGCAGTATTTCTAAGAACTACAGTTCTTAGAACTACAGTATTTCTAATTACTACAGTTCTTAGAACTACAGTATTTCTAATTCTCTAGTAGGCTGTTGTTATCTATTATTCTATTGTTCAAAATTACAACATGCTGACTACAGGAAAAAGTAAGTGAACAATATGATCCTGAATCCAAGGATAAATTTAACATATGATGTATTCGGAATGAGCTTCTCCCCACGGATATGCATCATGAATTGATAGGTTCATTGAGTGCAACTTTTCTGTTGGCTACAAAGAAATAATTGTAAATGCTATAGAAAATAGAGATGTGGCCGGGCGTGATGGCTCACGCCTGTAATCCCAGCACTTTGGGAGGCCGAGGCGGGCGGATCACAAGGTCGGGAGATCGAGACCATCATGGCTAACATGGTGAAACCCCGTCTCTACTAAAAATACAAAAAATTAGCCAGGCATGGTGGCGGGCGCCTGTAGTCCCAGCTACTTGGGAGGCTGAGGCAGGAGAATGGCGTGAACCCAGGAGGTGGAGCTTGCAGTGAGCCGAGATCGTGCCACTGCACTCCAGCCTGGGCAACAGAGCAAGACTCCGTCTCAAAAAAAAAAAAAAGAAAAAAAAAAGAAAATAGAGATGTGCCACACTGCAAGTGAGCACTAACAATCTTCTTCATCTTCTTCTTGTCAGCAGTGGCTCCATTAGAATTAGAATCCAAGATCTTTGGCTTCTTTAAAAAACAATTTAGGAAGAAATCCAACAGGGACTATCAATCTTAAGTTACTGTCTAAGGATAGGTGAACCCATCTGTGAGAACTGAGCTGCCATTGTAGTGGATAGGATTTATAATTTCTGCAACAGCAAAAAAGCCCCAAATCAGCTTATCAGTTCACTCTAAGGACTTAAACATTGGTGTTTCATAACAAGATTTTTTTTCTGCCTAAGTAATCCTCAGTAGCAGAGTTAGTTTCTTTCCTTGATCACTTCACCAAGTGCTTTTCTGTTACCCAAATCCATAAAGAACTTTCTTAAAATAGCCGTGAAATAGAGCACTGGTCCTACCCTGGGGGCTGCTGCTAAGGAAGAAAGACGGTTCTTTCCAGGAAGGCTACGCAAAGGACCTGGTTTTCAGTTGCTGCTTCTCTGAAGTAAACTCTTCCCCCCATTGGATCTTTGCATATAATTCAGGTAAAACCCTGTCAGGGTTTTAAAATGTTTCAAACTCCCCTTTGAAGCCCTCAAACTTCAAAACTCATTCCTGAAGGCCTGGCATGCTATGGTAAACTCGCAGGTGCCATCCCTAACACATCAGCTTCTTACCGGCTGATATAAGATGATTAATTCACATCTGCTTACCCCTTGCAGCTTTAAGTATGAAGGAATATCTTTTTTTATAAGGCTGGTTACTCCAGGCCAGTAGAAACAGGGAAATACAGGATGGAAAATCAATGCGCCGAGCACTGGGAAAAGGTTACTGCACACATACATACTCTTTATAGCATGTTAGAAATTTAAATTATAAAAACATGATTCATATGTTATATTTAAGGAGGATCCTGAGGAAGGTACTGAGAATAAAAGAAGAAACAAACAAACAAAAAAGGAAACAAAATTGTGTGTACATGATAATTTTAGCTACTTCATTTATTTATGTTTTGTTTTTTTGAGACAGGGTCTTCCTCTGTCATCCAGGCTGGAGTGTGGTGCTGCGATCTCAACTTATTGCAACCTCTGCCTCCTGAGTTCAAGTGATTCTCATGCCTCAGCCACCCGAGTAGCTGGGACTACAGGCATATGCTACTATGGCCAGCTAATTTTTGTATTTTTAGTAGAGATGGGGTTTCGCCAGGTTGGCCAGGCTGGTCTTGAACTCCTGGCCTCAAGTGATCCACCCACCTCGGCCTCCCAAAGAGCTGGGATTACAGGCATGAGCCACCGTGCCCAGCCAATTTTAGCTACTTTAAAGTAGGTCTGAATAAGGAAAGTGATTAAAAATTTAAAAGATATGAATTGTATTTATTCACTGGATTAGGGTTTTGGCTTATTATTGATTTCTTCCTGTCTTCCAAATATTGTGTAATGTTATGTCAATTAAAAAAAAATAACAACAATTACCGTAAATCTCTAATTTGTCTTGTTCCTACAAGATCCTTCAGTTCTTTCAACAAGGCCTCTAAGCAGAGCTCTTTATAACAGAGCTTCCAGGAGCTTGCCTAATTTCACTTGAAATCCAGAATAATTGTGTTTTCATGGTTTCTCTGGGGAAATATCCCCTAGCCTTATCCCCTAGGAAGAGTTTCTGGACAGACTGTTTCTCTTTACAGTATTTCTGTTACATCTCACCTTCTGCTACATATTACATCTCACATTCTTTATGTGGTTTCTAAACCTGTCATCTGTTATTTCTTTCTCTTCAGCTCTATGTTCCAACCTCTGTATCTCTTTTGTCAACTGGTTCACCCTGTCTGTACTATTTTCTTCTGCTACTGAAGCTGAGTTTAGTCACAGGTGAGGCCTCCCTCAGTCATCTGCAGATCCTGCCATTCCTTCCCCTCCTCTCTATCTCCAGACCTTAAAACAGCTTTTGTCTGTTTTACTGCCAGATCACATACCATAGTTTCATCTAATTTCTTGTCTGTTTTCTTTTATAACTTTTTAAACTCAATTCTAATTTCTTACAAGATTTTGCTCATCCACTGTATATCTATGCTTGGCATTGCACTAGACAACATTTTAAGGTAAATTTTATTCTATTTTCTGCCTGCAGCTATAGCCTTTAGGTTCTTTTTTGTTGTCTTTTTGTTCTCACTAGGATCCCTTTAAAAATGTTCCCATTTTAGCATCACCTGTAGATTTCACTGAAAACTAAACACTATTTTTATGGGCCCCCTTAGATGTTACAAACCCCTTCCTCAGTACCACCTCATCTAAGAAGTGGAAGTATTAAATATATCAACTCTGTTGGTTCAAAGTCCAGCAAGTATAATAATTCTCAAACCATAATCCTTTGTTCTTATTCAAGATGATATGAATTTGGTTGAAAAAAATACTTCATACAAAGTTGTTAATAATAGGCCAAGTCTCCTTGGACTTGATTATAATTCAAAATAATAAAATTGAAGGGGGTTTAGGATGCAGGGTTTGTTCTTTTAGAGCCATCCACATGAAACTTGCAGATAATGATTCGATTCTCCTCTTCATGGTTATCATCTCAACATGTCCTATATAACTTTACTACCGTTATTTCCAGAGTCGCCTTCTGTTCATTCTTTTATTTGTTTTATCTCCAAAGTTGGTCTCACTTTTTAGAAAATAATTGTAGTTTATTTCAGTAGTCATGTATATTTACCTTCTAAAGCTACTGGTAAATCCATGTATATTTTTTAAGCACTCATATTCCCAACTTTAGTTAAAAGCTATTTTGTATTGTTTTACCTTTCCAAGTTCAAGTCCATTGTAGTAACTAGGAACTCCTAAAATAAGGGCACTATAGGCACAAATGATTAAAGTTACTATCTTAATGATTCAGTATTATACCACAGGAAAAAAATCAGTTTCTTCCTGATACCTTTTTAAAACTCCCTTCAAATGTTCTGTTAACTCATTAGGTTTCAATATCAGTTTATTTCTTTTCCTATTTCCAATAGAGAATTTCATTTCTAAAGATACATAAGGAAAGACCTCTAGGTAGCAGGCAGAATCTTGCACCAAACTCTTATAAACAAACGAGAATTTAATGTATTATTAAAGACCACAGAGAAAGAGGTACCACAAAATTTTTGAAGATCCTGGGATAGTTGTTCCAGAAAATCTTTAAAGGAGAGCATAAATTTAACAAGGGGTTCACCTGTTCCTTGACTACCTGTTTGTCAGGTGAGGTCTTAAATTCATTTATATAAAACTTTCTCTGTGATATAAACCTTCTTAGTATTGGTTTATTTCAGAACATGAGCACTCTCTCTCTAATTCTCTACTTGGTGCCATTTAACCAATTACCAACCTTCTAAGGATCAAAGGACATTTCTCAATATTCTTTTGTGATTGATTGAAAATTACAAAGTAGCTACAGACAATAGACTTTAATGAAAATCTGTACTGAAAACTCACTCTTCCTGCCAAACCTTTAAAGATTTACTTTATGTAAGGAATGTTTAAAAAAAAAAAAAGAGAGAGAGAAGATTGGGTGAAGTGGCTCACACTTGTAATCCCAGCACTTTGGGAGGCTATAAGGCAAGAGGATTGCTTGAGCCCAGGAGTTTGAGACCAGCCTGGGTAACATGGTGAGGTCCCGTCTCTATGAAAAATATCTTTAAACATTTGCCAGGTGTGATGGCACACACCTGTGGTCTCAGCTACTTGGGAGACTGAGGCAAGAGGATCTCTTGAGCCCAAGAGGTCAAGGCCAGTGAGCTATGTTCATGCCACTGCATTCCAGCACTCCAGCCTGGGTAACAAAGTGAGACCCTGTCTCACTTAGAAAAAAAAAAAAGGAACACAATAACTTAAACATAAACTGGTTTCTTAGAAAGTAAGATATTGGTGGAATTACCATATAATTCAGTAATTCCACTTCTGGGTATATAGTCAAAAGAAATGAAAGCAGGGACTTGGACAAATATATGATATATACACCCATGTTCACAGCAATATTACTCACAACAGTCAAAAGGTGGAAGCCACCCTAGTGTCTAATGACAGATAAGCAAAATGTGATACATACATACAACGGACTATTATTCAGTCTTAAGAAGGAAGGAAATCTGATACATGGTACAACATGAATGAACTTTGAAGACCTTACTCTAAATGAAATAAACCAATCAAAAAAGACAAATATTGTATGAGTTCACTTACTTGAGGTACCTAGAGTAGTCAAATTCCTAGATACAGAAAGTAGCATGGTGATTGCCAGGAGCTAGGGGGTCAGAAGGAATGGGAAGTTGGCAAGTCAGTATTTAGTGAGTACAGAGTTTTAGTTTAGGAAGATAGAAAAGTTATGGAGGTGGATGACAGTGATGGTTGCAGAACAATGTGAATGTATTTAATGCCACAGAACTGTACACTTAAAAATAGTTAAAATAGTCAATTTTAACCAGGTCCCCTATGGGCCCTGATCATCTCCACTCTTCCAGTCCCCAGGATACTCACCATGTAGAACCTGAGGTACCACTGAAGTAGGTCACACAGTTCAGGAGGTCCAGCTTCTGCAGGGCCAATAGGAGGCAAAATATCTTAAATATTTTCTAACATTTAAGATATTTTGTGGGTTAAGTGCTATGTTTTATCATATTTTTTAAAAAGTAAGATATAGGTGTGAAATATCCACTATGTATATTCATAGAATTGCCTGATGGAATGAAAAACTGGAAGTTATAACCAAAAACTTTTTGAGTAGTTCTCAAGAAAAAATGACTATGGCTTTGCTACTGAAAATGTGAACCAAGGACAGCAGCACTAGCATCACTTAGAAGCCTGTTAAAAATCAGAATCTGAGGCCCCAACCCAGACCTACAAAATCTGATTCTGCATTTTAACAAGATCCCTAGGTGATTCACACAAACATGAAAAAGTTCAAGAAGCACTAGTCTGGGACAAATCTTCCTGGCTGTATGACTTTGTATTGCAATTATTTTTCTCTGTAAACTAGTGATTACAGGAATGCTTATTACATAAGGTTGCCAAAGGTTAAATGTGTTAATAATGCATTCTGTAAAATGCTTGGCACATTCGGGGACTATCTTATTATTATTACTCTGCTGTGCAGAAAATCTGTGAAAGTTGATTTTAGGAACTTTTCTAAAAATATTAGTCTTAGAAAATCAATATTTTCCAGAGGATATGGATAGTGTATGGCTTTAAGAGATAACTGTAGTGGCTGGGTGCAGTGGCTCACATCTATAATCCCAGCACTTTGGGAGGCCAAGGCAGGCGGATCACCTGAGGTCAGGAGTTTGAGACCAGCCTGGCCAACATGGTGAAACCCTGCCTCTACTAAAAATCCAAAAATTAGCCAGGTGTGGTGGCGCACGCCTGTAGTCCCAGCTACTTGGGAGGCTGAGGCAGGAGAATCTCCTGAACCCAGGAGGCAGAGGTTGCAGTGAACCGAGATCACACCACTGTACTCCAGTCTGGGTGACAGGGCAAGACTCTGTCTCCAAAAAAAAAAAAAAAAAAAAAAAAAAAAGGACATATGAAAGATATGAAAGAAAATAGTATGAAGAAATGGAAATGACTTTCTTCAGAAGATACAATGTAGAATAGAGTGGAGACATCAAATTCATTTACAATGGGACTTTTTTTTTGTTAAAGTATGGGAGGACCAGACTAATATTATTTACAAAACATAAATGGAATGAAAGTGGCTTTTAATAAGATGATGTCATGTTTAAGATATTTTGGGGGCTAAGTGGTATGCTTTCCACATGTCTGAAATCCCTTCATGGGATATTACCTTTCAGCTGAAATGTCATAAACATATATGACTTACGTGATAAAAAAAAAAAAAAACCATATATGTGGCTGAGAGACCAAGGTAGAACAGAGTGAAATATTGACAAGGTAGGGAGACAAAAAGGACAACTGCACAGGCGCCCATAAGCTGCCAGCACCTGGGCCACAACTCTCAGAAGATGTCATTGGGTTTCTAACCTAATTCTCTGGCAGGGGATCTCTCCTTGTCCCAGAAAAGACTTTTAGAGACAGAGGGGATTAAAAAATAATAATATTGTTAAGAAGTGAGGTTGCTGGGCTTGCATTTTACTAGCCGGAATCACTTTATCTTTCTTGAGAGCCCCCCAGATCTCTTTTATTCTAGGTCAGTAATTTAACACTCTCAGCTCCCAATTCAAAGCCTGTAATGACCTTGCTGTGCTGAATTATTAGCACAGGATATAGAAAGAGAGAGAGAAGGAGGGGGAAAAACCCTAAAAAACAACAGAGGCCTTTTGATCAGAGCACCAAACTGCAGCTAGCTGTAACTCAAGCTGCCCATTCTTATATGGCAGGAATTAAGGACTCCCCCTGCCAGGCAGGACCCTATTAAAAGACAATAGCTGTTTGAAAAGGGTAAGCAAGTTGATATGGATATAATAGGCCACATATGGGGGCCCCTTTCTACTCTGAAATAAAGCTCCTTCTTAGAGTTGTGAGCTGGGAAATTCAGCATTCAGTAAGGCAGGAGGAGGAGGTATAATAGAAGAGAGTGAGTAGCCATGCAGAAATGCTTAAAGGTGCTTCAGGAAAAATGGGAGGCAAGCTTGAGAGAGCCTGCAGGAGCCTGCAGAGATGAGCATCAATCACTGGGGATGGAAGCTTTCAGAATGACCAGGTGCTCTTTGGTCCCCAAAAGAATGTAAGGCCAATGATGACAAGGATTTGGCTAAAACCAATGTAGTGGTTAGTTTCTCTGATGGGTTAACAACAACCACAACAATGACCGCAATAAGCAAAGTAGTAAGCTCTTGCCAGAAATGATGCAGCTGGCAAAAAGTAATCCTTTCTGTCTTATTTTAAATGGCCTAACATGGTAACATCCTAAACTCCTGATGAATAATACCATCTACTGCCACTACATGGTTTCGTTATCTCTGGGATTAAAAATAAATAAATAACTTGCAAAACAGAGACAGTGGACTCTCCAAAGAAATCTCTTGCCTGAAAACTATATATCTCCTCCTATGCAGAGAGGCAACCACAGGACACAGATGTTTGTTTACCCATCACCCCAAACACTGTGCCTATTAGTGAATTATGCTTCTGGAGGATCTTCAATCCACAACAGAATTTTTCAACCACTGTTTTAGTTATCTCTAAGATCTTGTATGTTACAAAACAAGGAATGATTTAGAACTGATTCAAAGTATTTAAACACATTAATCTAGTTGTTTATGACTAAATTCTGAATCCCCAAATTCCTAAGCAAAAATATTGGAAAGATAGTTTTCTTCCCTCCACCACCCTTTGCCTATTATTGCCGAATGAACAGCTCTCCAGCTCCTATCCACTGCAATAAATGGGTTAGCTTGGTAGAATTTGCAACTAAAAAAAAAACCACAAGAGATCTTCAACACTTGCTTGTTCCATTAGGTGGTCAACAGGGCACAAAACTTATCTTTAGCAAATTAAAGGGTTTAAATATTAAAGAGAGGATTTGGATTCCTAAGAAAAAACCAAATAGGCTTTTAATTACATCACTAAGCTTAAGACTCAAATAAATACATTATTTTATAAAAAATTATTAGATATAACTGTTTTCATAAAATATTGATTTATAAACTATTCTCCAGTATGTAGACTTTATTTCATTTCAAATGCAGCCATCATGTGGATAGGGACAGATGAGCAAAGGAGATGAAAGGCATCAAACTCCATACTCATTCCCCAGTTAATGCCTTCATGCCTTGGCATATGGTGACCATACTTTCAGAAGTCCAAATTGGGACACATAATCTAAAAATGTTTTATTTGGTGTGGGGGGCACTTTCAGGTGTGAGAAACAGCTGAACAACTTTGCTTATATGATTGGCTATGTTTAAATGTCATATTATTTAATAATCTTAAAATATATATAGCCTATGTATTCAGAAAAAAATTCATTATACAGAATAGCATGTGTAGTGCACCATTTACAGGCATACCTTGTTTTATTATGCTTCATTTTATTGTACTTTGTAGATATTGCATTTTTTGAAAATTGAAGGATTTTGGTAATTCTGTGTCAAGCAAGTCTATGGGTGCCAACAGCATGTGCTCACTTCATATCTCTGCTTCACATTTTGGTAATTCTCACAATATTTCAAACTTTTTCATTATTTGTATATCTGTTATCATGGTCTGTGATCACTGATCTTTGATGTTATTATTGTAATTATTTTGGGGTGCCACAAACCACATCCATATAGGAGGGTGAACTTAATCAATAAATGTCGTTATGTTCTGACTCCTCCACCGACCAGCCATTCCTCTTTCTCCCTCTCTTTCCTTGGTGCTCTCTATTCCCTGAGCTACAATGGTATTGAAATTAGGTCAACTAATAACCCTACAATGGCCTCTAAGTGTTCAAGTGAAAGGAAGAGTCTCTTACTTTAAATTAAAAGCTAGAAATTATTAAGCTTAGTGAAGAGAGCATGTCAAAAGCCAAGATAGGCCGAAAGCTAGGCCTCTTACACAAAACAGTTAGCCAAGTTGTGAATGCAAAGAAAAAGTTCTTGAAAGAAATTTAAAGGACATTCCAGGCCAGGTGCGGTGGCTCATGTCTATAATCCTAGCACTTTGGTAAGGCCGAGGCGAGCAGATTACATGAGGCCAGGAGTTTGAAACCAGCCTGGCCAACATGGTGAAACCCCGTCTCTACTAAAAATACAAAAAAATTAGGCAGGCATGATGGCTCACGCCTGTAATCCCAGCTACTAGGGAGGCTGAGGAACAAGAATTGCTTGAACCTGGGAGGCAGAGGTTGTAGTGAGCTGAGATTGCACCATTGCATTCCAGCTTGGGCAACAAGAGCAAAACTCCGTCTCAAAAAAAAAAAATAAACTTTTGCTCTGTATATAACACTGAGAAGAGAATGAAAATACAAGCTAAATGCTAGTAGAAAATATTTGCAGATTACAAAGGACTTGTATCCAGAATATATAAACAACTCTCAAAACTCAATAGTAGGAAAACAAACAACCCAATTTAAAAATGGGCAAAAGTTTGAACAGACACTTCACCAAAGAGGATATGTGAATGGCAAATAAGAAGTTTTTCAACATCATTAGCCACTTGAGAAATGCAAATCAAGACCACAATGAGATACCTATTAGAATAGTTAAAATTAAAAATACTGACAGTGCCAAGTGCTGACAAGGATATAGAACAACCCAATCATTCATATATTGCTGGTAGAAATACTAACTGGTACAGCCACTCTGGACAACACTGTGGCATTTTCTTAAAAAGCTAAACATGGCTGGGCGTAGTGGCTCATGCCTGTAATCCCAGCACTTTGGGAGGCAGAGGCAGGTGGATCACGAGGTCAGGAGTTCAAGACCAGCCTGGCCAAGATGGTGAAACCCCGTAACTACTAAAACTACAAAAATTAGCCAGGCGCAGTGGCAGGTGCCTGTAATCCCAGGTACTCAGGAGGCTGATGCAGGAGAATCACTTGAACCCAGGCAGCAGAGGTTGCAGTGAGCCAACATTGCACCACTGCATTCCAGCCTGGGTGACAGAGTAAGACTCCATCTCAAAAAAAAAAAAAAAAAAAAAAAAAGCTAAACATACCATGTGATTGAGTGAGCAATCTTATTCTTGGGTACACAATTCAGAGAAAAGAAAATGTATGTTCACACAGAAATGAGTACATGAGTATTTATAGCAACTCTATTCATAATTGCCAATTGGGGGAAACCCAAATATCCTTCCAAGGGTGAATGGATAAACAAATTGTGGTACATATATACAATACAATACTACTCAGCAATAAAAAGAAGCAAAGTACTGACACATGCCACAACCTGGAGGAATCTCAAAGCTCTCAAAGCATTATGCAGAGTGAAAAAAGCTAATCTCAAAACGTTATATACTGTATAAAGCTGGGCACAGTGGCTCACGCCTGTAATACCAACACTTTGGGAGGCCAAGGTGGGCAGATCACTTGAGGCCA
Organism: Homo sapiens; assembly: GCF_000001405.40. Taxonomy (NCBI): domain Eukaryota; kingdom Metazoa; phylum Chordata; class Mammalia; order Primates; family Hominidae; genus Homo; species Homo sapiens. Next base: position 47,017,894 of record NC_000011.10, on the reverse strand, counting down.
GGAGTTCGAGACCAGCCTGGCCAGCATGGTGAAATCCCATCTCTACTAATAACACAAAAATTAGCCAGGCATGGTGATGTCTGCTTATAATCCCAGCTACTTGGGAGGCTGAGGCATGAGAATTGCCTGAACCCAAGAAGGGGAGGTTTCAGTGAGCCAAGATCGTGCCACTGCACCCCAGCCTGGGCAACAGAGTGAGACTCTGTCTCAAAAAAAAAAAAAAAAAAGTTTATATATTGTATAAGTCCATGGATATGACATTGTTGAAAAGACAAAACTATAGTGATGGAGAACAAATCAGTGGTTGTCAGGGGTTTGCGTTGGGAGACAGAAGAGGGTGTGATTATAAAGGGATAGTATGGAGTTTTTTGTGGTGATGAAATTGTTCTGTATATATACATGTGTTAAAAATTCATAGAACTGGTCGGGCACTGTGGCTCACGCCTGTAATCCCAGCACTTTGGGAGGCCAAGGCGGGAAGATCACGAGGTCAGCAGTTCAAGATCAGCCTGACCAATATGGTGAAACCCCATCTCTACTAAAAATACAAAAATTAGCTGGGCGTGGTGGCATGCACCTGTAGTCCCAGCTACTCGGGTGATTGAGGTGGGAGAACCGCTTGAACCTGGGAAGTGGAGGTTGCAGTGAGCCAAGATTGCGCCACTGCACTCCAGCCTGGGGAACAGAGTGAGACTCCATCTCAAAAAAAAAAAAAAAAAAATTCATAGAATTAAATGAAAAAGTGGCTGGGCATGGTGGCTCACACCTGTAATCCCAGCACTTTAAGAGGCTGAGGCGGGCAGATCATGAGATCAGGAGATCGAGACCATCCTGGCTAACACGGTGAAAACTCATCTCTACTAAAAATACAAAAAAAAAAAAAAATTAGCCAGGCGTGGTGGTGGGCGCCTGTAGTTCCAGCTACTCGGGAGGCTGAGGCAGGAGAATGGCGTGAACCTGGGAGGCGGAGCCTGCAGTGAGCCGAGATTGGGCCACTGCACTCCAGCCTGGGCGACAGAGCGAGACTCCATCTCAAAAAAAAAAAAAAAAAAAAAGTACTAAATGAAAAAGTACACATATAATTTGGTAAGTTTTTATATATGTGTATACCCAAGAAACCATCACCACAATCAAGATAATGAACATATCCATTACCTCCCAAAGTTTCCTTTGACCCTATTTGGAATTCCTCCCTCCTGTCTGCCTGTGACCTCCTGTCCACAACTGATATACTTTGTTACCATATATTAATCAGTCACTATAGTCTTTAATTCCTCTCAGCAATGTTTTGTAATTTTCAGTGTAAACCTTTTGTCAGAATTATTTCTAAGTATTTTGTATTTTTTGATGCTATTGTAAATGACACTGCTTTTAAAATTTAAATTTCCAATTGTTCTTTGCTGGAATACAAAAATACAATTTTTATATATTGATATACAGCCTTGATAAATTCACTTATTAGTTCTAGTAGCGTTTTTTTTTTGTTTTTTGTTTTTTGTTTTTTGTAGATTCCATAGGCTTTTCTATATAGACAATCATGTCCTATGTGAACAAACTTGTTTTTTTTCAAGTTTTCTTGCCTTATCCACTGGCTAGAACCTCCAGGACAATGTTGAACAAAAATGGTGAGAATGGAAATCGTTGCCCTGTTCCTGATTTTAGCAGGAAAGTCTTCTGTCTTTCACCATTAAGTTTGATAGGTTTTTCGTAGATGCCCTTCACTTGGTGAAAAAATTCCCTTCTATTCCTGCTTTGCTAGGTGGTCTTTGTTGTTGTTTGAGGCAAGGTCTGGCTCTATTGCCCAGGCTGGAGTACAGTGGCATGATCTCAGCTCACTGCAACCTCCACCTCTGGGGCTCAAGCAATCCTCCTGCTTCAGCCTCCCAAAGTGCTGGGATTACAGGTGAGAGACAGCATGAACAGTCTTGATTTTTGTTTTTTTGAATCAGGAATGAATGCTCGATTTTATAAAATGCTTTTTCTCTATTTATTGAAATGATCTTTTTTTTTCTTTTTATATGGTGGGTTACGCATTTCTTTTTCCAGAATTTTTAAGTTTACATTGATTTTTAAATGTGAAACCACCACATGCATTCCTGGAATAAATCCCACATGGTTTTTATATATTGTTGGATTCAATTTACTAAAATTTTAAGAATTTTTGTGACAAGGAATATTGGTTTGCAGTTTTCTTTTCTGGAAATGTCTTTGTTTTGTTTGGGTATTAGAATAATGCTAGTCTCCTAGATTGAGTTCAGAAGTACTTCTTTTCAATTTTCTGGAAGCATTTGTGTAGAACTGGTGTTCTTTCTTCCTAATATGCTTGGTAGAATTCACCAGTGAAGCCACCTGGGCCTGGAGTTTCTGATATATATACATATATACATATATATATTTTTTGTTTGTTTGTTTGTTTGTTTTTGAGACGGAGTCTTGCTCTGTTGCCAGGCTGGAGTGCAGTGGCATGACCTTGGCTCACTGCAGCCTCCTCCTCCCGAGTTCAAGTGATTCTCCTGCCTCAGCCTCCTGAGTAGCTGGGATTACAGGCGCGCACCACCATGCCTGGCTAATTTTTGTATTTTTTTTTTTTAGTAGAGACGGGGTTTCACCATGTTGGCCAGGATGGTCTCAGTCTCCTGACCTCGCGATCCCCCTGCCTTGGATTGCTGGGATTATAGGCGTGAGCCACCGTGCCCAGCCTGTGAGATTATTTTTAACTACAAATTCTGTTTCTTCAAGTTATCTATTTATTCTTGAATGTCCTTTGTGTCTTTGTCCGTTTGGTCTAAGTCATTGAATTTATTGGTATAAAATTGATAATATTTCCTTATTATCTCTTAATACCTATAGAATCTGTAATGATGTATCTCTCTCGTTCCTGATATTGGTAATTTGTGTCTTTTCTCTCTTTTGTTGTGATCAGTCTGGCTCATGATTTTCCGATTTTATTTATCTTCTCAAAGAACCTGCTTGGCTTCACTAATTTTCTCTACTGTTTTTCTGGTATCTATTTCATTGATTTCTACTCTAATCTTTACTCTTTCCATCCCCTTCCCCCCTAACTTTTAAATTGCTCTTCTTTTTCTAATTTCTTTCTCTTTCCCTCCCTCCCTCCCTCCTTCCTTCCTTCCCTCCCTCCCTTCCTTCCTTTCCTTCTCTCTCTCTTTCTTTCTCTCTCTTTCTCTTTCTTTGAGACAGAGTTTCGCTCGTTGCCCAGGCTGGAGTGCAATGGTGTGATCTCTGCTCACCACAACCTCTGCCTCCCGGGTCCAAGTGTGATTCTCCTGCCTCAGCCTCCCGAATAGCTGGGATTATAGTCATGCACCACCACGCCTGGCTAATTTTGTATTTTTAGTAGAGATGGGGTTTTTCCGCGTTGGTCAGGCTGATCTCAAATTCCCAACTTAGGTGATCGGTGATCCACCCACCTCAGTCTCCCAAAGTGCTGGGATTACAAGCATGAGCCACCGCGCCAGGCTTTCTTTCTTTCCTTTCTCTCTTTTTTTTTTCTTTTTCTTTCTTTTTTTCTTTCTTCCTTCCTTTCTCTTTCTTTTCTGTTTCTTTCTCTCTTTTACTCTTTCTTTCTCTTCTCTCTTTCTTCCTCCCTCCTTCCTTTCTTTTCTCTTTCTTTCTCTCCTTCCTTCCTTTCTTCCTTCCTTCCTTCTTTCTTTTTCCTTTCTTTTTCTCTTTCTCTCTTTCTTTTCATGGGGGTCTCACTGTGTCACTCAGGCTGGAGTACAATGGCATACTCATGGCTAATTGCAGCCTTGACCTTCTGGGCTCAAGCCATACCAAGTAGCTGGGACTACAGGTGTGCACTGCCATGCATGGCTAATTTTGTTGTATTTTTTTGTAGAGATGGGGTTTTGTCATGTTGCCCAGGCTGGTCTCAAACTCCTGGGCTCAAACAATCCACCCACCTTGGCCTCCCAAAGTGTTAGGATTATGGGTGTGAGCTACTGCACCTGGCTATTATTACAAAGTCAAAAAACAACAGATGCTGGCAAGGCTGTGAAGAAATATGAACACTTTTACACTGTTGGTGGGAATGTAAATTAGTTCAACCATTGTGGAAGATAGTGTGATGATTCCTCAAAGACCTAGAACCAGAAATACCATTTGACTCAGCAATCCCATTACCGGGTATACACCCAAAGGAATATAAATTATTCTATTGTAAAGATACATGCATGCATATGTTCATTCACAATAGCAAAGACATAGAATCAACCCAAATGCCCATCAATGATAGACTGCATAAAGAAAATGTGGTACATATACACCATAGAATACTATGCAGCCATAAAAAGGAATGAGGTCATGTCCTTTGCAGGGACATGGATGGAGCTGGAAGCCATTATCCTCAGCAAACTAACACAGAAACAGAAAACCAAACACTGCATGTTCTCACTTACAAGTGGGAGATGAACAGTGAGAAAACATGGACATGGGGATGGGAACAACATACACTGGGGTCTGTTAGGAGGGGTGCAGGAGGGAGAATATTAGGAAAAATAGCTATTGCATGCTGGGCTTAATACCTAGGTGATGGGTTGAGAGATGCAGCAAATCACCATGGCACACATGTTTATCTATGTAACAAACCTGCATATCCTGTACATGTACCCTGGAACTTAAAACAAAACAAAACAACAACAATAAATAAATAAATATATATATATAACCATTTATATATAACTACATATGGTTATATATGTTATATATAATAACCATTTATATATAACTACATATGGTTATATATGCTATATGATTATATATGTTATTTATATAATAATATATGATTATATGTTATTTATATAATAAAATATATATGTTATTATTTATATAATAACATATTATTATATATAGTTATTATTTATATAATAAAATATATATATAACCATTCTGTCTCGCACCAATACAGCAAGGGCACAGGAGGGTCAAGTATTTTCTAAATAACAAAGGATAAAAGGGCTCTCTCAGAAATTTCTGTTTTAAGTTTAACATTAGACCCAAGGATACCTGACCTCGGTAGTATAAAAAAATGTTCATTTCCCCCTTTTATTCCTATGAGAGATAGAAAGAAAAGAAGACTCAGTTCCTGGCTCCTGTAAAATCAGGGAGATTATGAATCCTGATTTATATAGAAGGCACCTCAGAGAAGACCTAGTGGCATAATTTAAAGAAAGGGCTCCCATCGTGAATCCAGTCGTACCTGCCAGCCAATTCCTATCATTATTATATCCTTGAAATGGAAGTCAATGGTCACAAATTATTTACAAAGCAAATAATAAAGTTCAAGCTTCTCTTTTTCTTTTTTCTCTTCCTTTCCCCTATACAGCTATCTACAAAGCAAATAAAGTTTGCTTTGCTATCCCCTATCCCCTATCTTTTTTCTCTTCCTTTCCCCTATACAGCTACAGGTTGTAATATCCCTTTTTTCTTCCTCTTCTCTCTCCATTATCTTAATCAAGAATATACTTTTTAAAAGACCACCTCTCTTTCTTTAAGCAAGTATCTAAAATAGCAATGGCAATAGAAAGCCTCAGTGAGGCCTTCTCTGACTACACTATTGAAAGTAGATTTCCATCTCCCAGTCATTCAGTATCCCAAAGCCCTCCTTTATTTCCTTTTTTTGGAGACACAGTCTCACTCTGTTGCCCAGGTTGGAGTGCAGTGGGATGATCACAGTTCACTGGGCTGAAGCAATCCTCTTGCCTCAGCCCCCTGAGTAGCTGGGACTATAGGTGTGTGCCACTAAGCCTGGCTAATTTTTTTTTTTTTTTTAAACGAGGTACTGCTAAGTTGCCCAGGTTGGTCTTGAACTCCTGGCCTCAATCAATCCTCCCGCTTCAGCCTCCCAAGTCGCTGAGATTATAGGCACGAGCCATCATGTCCGGCTCCTGATTTTCTTAATAGAATTTATCACTATCTGAAGCTACCTTACTAATTTATTTGTTTATTTATTTATTACATGTCTAGGGTGCAGTAGGCCTTCAATAAACATTTGTTAAATGTATGTTAATTAATCCACATACTACTGCATATTCACACCAACTTTTATTACTGAAAAACTACCTAAATCCATGTTGTGATATGAAAAGTTTAGACATCTAGAAGAGCATCACAGAAAAGAAAATGGGTCAGAAAACCTGCCAATTAGGGCATTAATAATGGAGAGGAAATAAGCTGATTACACAATGAAGTTAGATTCTTAAAAAGCCATAAAAGACAAGCCAGTCGTAGTTCTTGGAAAAAGTGAAGTGTGATAAGGATGGATACATGGCCTACCTCTAAGTGATTTTTGCATCTGAGAGACTCTATACTTCGTTTCTTCTTCATATCACTCTCAAGAAGCTTAATAGAAATATATCTTTGAAATTGTGCCCACACCCCAAAACTTGGAGCCTTCTATGGCTGTGTTAAATCACATGGGTACTGAAGGGAGAAGAATCTCTATTTTCATCTACCTTGCCTAATTCCTTTTCAAAACTCAACAAGAGCAAATAAGAAGTCAATAGTTGTAAAGTTCTATCTATTAATCTGGATACCCAAATTCTTGTCTTCTCGTCATTCATCTTTCAATCTGTAAGTGTCAGAGACTTCTAGGAAATTTCTACCATCTGGCATATTTCTCAGATACAGAAGAAAATGTAATAAAAATGTATTTTAAATGGATAATTCACAGTTTTTTTTGATAAAAAGTTTGACAGACTGACACAAATGTATATTTTTGGAAAAACCGTGGGTGATAAATGTTTCAAATTCCTCAAATAGACTTCAATTCCACTTCTCTCACCACTTAAAAATTAGTTTTAATATGTTCAGCTTTCCTTTATCTCAAATATTTCAATAATATATTAGGAAGTGTTTGGGGGGAATTTCATCAGCACTCAAGCAACTACTGAACAGGCAGAATCACATCTTGGGAAACTTATTAGATGTCCTTCCAAGAAAACTTCTGATACTTAGTAATACATCTTCTCTATTGGCAATTTCCAAGATTTTCCTGGGGAATCACACTGAAGCTTGAGAGAAGAAAAAAAAATTTACCAGGGACAGTGTTAACATCAAACAAAATCTAAATATTACCTGTAAATAAGAATAACAGTCCAATCATACCTCTTTTTCCCTACAAAGTAAAAGTCACTACCAAATAACATTTATGAGAATTCAGTTTCATCTGGTAACTAATACATTCCTAAATGACTCAAGAATGTACCAAAAAAATTAATAACAGTAATAGGGTTCTTGGTTGCAAGCAACAGAAACCAAGTCTCACTATCTTAAGCAAAAAAGGGCTCTGCTGGAAGGGTATTATTAGTGGCTCACAAAATCCACAGGTGGCTGAACCATCAGACTTGAAAAACAGACAGGAATCAAAGGAGCTTTGGAGGCTGAGCATCAGGAAACTAGGCAAAGGTCTCACCACAACAGTCTGATCCATAAGCAGCTACTGCAACTGACACATCTTTCCACTCCAGTCTCTTTGCTTAAGATAGCCAGAGACAGATTCCGTTGCTTCGGCCAAGAACATTTACTGCTACGGAATTTGTATAAAGTGAGACTCTTTGAAGAAAAGCTGGTCCCACTCTTTTGAGGAATTTCATTTCTCAACATGATCTCCATTCCCATCCACTTTCCTCTTTTTGCCAAGGCACACTAAACTTGGGATCTACTTTTTATTTCCACTCCTTTCCCAAGTAGTCTTCGCTTCCCGGAGTTCCATTCTCTCTTCTCTGTCTGATAATTATCTACACATTCTTTAAAACTAAATTAATGTCACTATTCTGTGAATTCTTTCCTGACCGTATAAATAATCACTTTTCCTGTCAAAGTTTACTCACTAGTCCAGAACTTCTAATGCTCTATTTTAATTGTATTTGTGTCACTATCTAATTTTTACATGACAGTGAATTTCTTGAGGACCATATCTGACACACAGTGATTGGCATATGATAACTATTTAATAAATAGTTACTGAATTTTAAAAATTGAAAGAAGACCAAACAATGAGTTTCTCAGCATTTATGAGGTACTGTCTTTGCCTTTCTTCCTCTTCCTTTTTTTTTTCTTTTTGAGACAGAGTCTTACTCTGTCACTCTGTTGCCCATGCTAGAGTGCAGTAGTGCGATCTTGGGTCACTGCAACCTCCCTGCAACCTCTGCCTCCCAGGTTCAAGCAATTCTTCTGCCTCAGCCTCCCAAGTGGCTGGGATTACAGGCGCCTGCCACCACACCCAGTTAATTTTTCTATTTTTAGTAGAAATGGGGTTTCACCATGTTGGCCGGACTGGTCTCGAGCTCCTGACCCCAGCTGATGCTCCCGCCTTGGCCTCCCAAAGTGCTGGGATTACAGGCATGAGCCACCACACTCAGCCATTTTACCTTTCTACTTATTTCAATATAATTGAGCCTTCCACAAACTGGCCCTATCCTCATTATATATTTTCTGTTTGTTGCTTTTTACCTTGTACTAGTCCTCCATGAGTCAAATTAGATTCCTTTATGATCCCTTGCAGTGTATGATATTTTCTACTTCAACTAATTATTAATATGTTCCATCAGAATGCAAGTTTTAAAAGAGTTCTTCCTCCAATAAAAGTAGAGTAGGTAATTCAGACTAACTCTTCTGGCTGAGAAAAAAATGGATAAATTATTAAAGACAATTGTCTGAAGTCATCAGAGAGCCACCAAGGCAAATGAAGAATGACAAGGCCAAGTTATGAGAGAATAAAACCGAGAAAGGTGAGCTGAGCATTTAGTGCCACTTTTCCCAATGTGTAGGGTTTCTAAACAGAAGGGTCCATGGATTAAATTCAAGAGATCCACACACTTGGATAGGGAAATTTTTTTTTTTTTTTTTAGATGGAGTCTTGCTCTGTTGCCCAGGCTGGAGTGCAGTGGTGTGATCTTGGCTCACTGCAAGTTCCACCTCCTGGGTTCCTGGCATTCTCCTGCCTCAGCCTCCTGAGAAGCTGGGACTACAGGAGCCTGCCACTACGCCCAGCTAATTTTTTTGTATTTTTAGTAGAGACGGGGTTTCACCGTGTTAGCCAGGATGGTCTCGATCTCCTGACCTTGTGATCTGCTTGCTCAGCCTCCCAAAGTGCTGGGAGGCATGAGCCAGGGAAATTTTTATGTTTATTTTTACTAACCTCTAACTGGAATTTGGCATTTCCTTCTATTATGAATATAAGCATAGCAGAATTAACAGTACCTGTGACTCTTTCAATAATAGAAATCTCAGATATTGGCTAGGCACAGTGGTTCACACCTGTAATCCCAGCACTTTAGGAGGCTGAGGCAGGAGGATGACTTGAGGACTGGAGTTTGAGAGTAGCCTGGGCAATATAGCAAGACCAAATCTTTACAAAAAACTTTAAAATAAAAAAAAAGAAACCTCAGATATTTTCATATAACATTACTGTCATACCAGATATCTCACAATATCATTTATACTTATCACCACTTCAGAAATAAGGTATTATTATATCACTGGTAGCTCTAGGGGCCTCTGCCAGTTCTGGAAGATTCAACTGATACACTAAGCAGTTAATAATTTTGAATTAATGTTAAGTTCCTGAGTTTTCAAATGACTGTTAGGGCTTGCAGATAAAAAATCAGAGTTGGCTGGGCGCGGTGGCTCACACCTGTAATCCCAGCACTTTGAGAGGCCAAGGCGGGCAGATCACCAGGTCAGGAGTTCGAGACCAGCCTGGCCAGCACGGTGAAACCCCGTCTCTACTAAAAACAAAAAATTAGCCTGGCATGGTGGCGCAGGCCTGTAATCCCAGCTACTTGGGAGGCTGAGGCAGGAGAATCACTTGAACCCGGGAGGCAGAGGTTGCAGTGAGCCAAGATCATTCCACTGCACTCCAGCCTGGGCGACAGAGTGAGACTCAGTCTCAAAAAGAAAAGAAAAAAAAAATAGAGTTCAGGACCCACCCACGTTGGGGGCTGGGACTCTGGTAAACCCTAAAGCTCTTTTGGCACTCCTCAGAGCTATACTGAAAATCAGCCCTCCCTGAGATGTAAATCTATATTCAAATCCTTTCAAACCCTCATGGGATTGAGGTAATCCAGGATTGCTAGTGCCCAGGCCATCTGCCAAAAGCAAATATAAATCCCCTCCGAAGAAAGATAACATCATTCTGGGCCTCACATTATCTGTATAGTTTTTCAATTTACATAACTCATACACAATTTACATAACTCAACTAGAGAAAAAAAAAAGTATAACACAAGATAAGATAATGGAGTAAAAAAAAAATGGATAGGACAGAAAACAGAAACAGACCCACAGGGTATCCAGACAATAAATTATGGACTTTGTAATAACCATGCTTTATTTACTATGTTCAAGCAAATGAAAGACAAGATTTAGCAAGGAAACAAACAAAAACTGAATAAAAATACTTGAACTAAAAAAATACAATAATTAGAATTAAGAACTCAGTAGATGGGTTTAATAGTAAATTACACAGAAATGAAGAGAGAATTAATGACCTGGAAAATAGATCAGAAGAAAATATCCAGAATAAAGCATAAACTACAAAATGATGGGCTGGGCATGGTGGCTCATGACTGTAATTCCAGCACTTTGGGAGGCCGAGGCAGGCAGATCATTTGAGGTCAGGAGTTTGAGACCAGCCTGCCCAACATGGTGAAACCCCATCTCTACTAAAAACACAAATTAGCCAGCCACGGTGGTGGGCGCCTGTAATCCCAGCTACTCAGGAGGCTGAGGCAGAAGAATCACTTGAACCAGGAAGGCAGAGTGGGTTGAACCTGGGAGGCAAACCTGGGTTGCAGTGAGCCAAGATAGTGCTACTGCACTCCAGCCTGGGTGACAGAGTGAGACTCTGTCTCAAAAAAAAAAAAAAAAAAAAAACCACACAAAATGATAGAAAATGCAAAAAAGAGCATAAGAGACAGAGAATACTATGAAAAGGTCTAATGTTTGTGTAATTAGAATCCCAATAGGAGTAAAGAGAGGGTAGAGGCCAGTCGTGTTGGCTCATGTCTGTAATCCCAGCACTTTGGGAGGGCGAGGCAGGAGGATCACTTGAGCCCAGGAGTTTGAGACCAGTCTGGGCAAGATGGCAAGACCCTATCTCTAAAAAAAAAAAAAAAAAAATTAGCTGAGTGTGGTGGCGTGCAACTGTGGTCCCAGCCACTTGGGAGGCTGAGTGAGGCAAGAGGATTGCCTGAGCCCAGGAGGTAGAGGCTGCAGTGAGCCATGACTGCACCACTGCACTCCAACCTGGGTGACAGACAGAGATCCTGCCTCAAAAAAAAAAAAGAGACAGAGACAGAGAGAGAGTAGAACAGAAGTAAATTTGAAGAGCTAATTATTGAGAGTTTTCCAGGACTGATAAATGATATCAAGCTATAGGTTCAAGAAGCACTAAGAACACCGAATAGTTTAAATATAAAGAAAAGCAAAACTAGACACATTACACTAAAACTATCAAAAACCAAAGACCAAGTAGAAATATCCAAAAACCATCCAGAGATTTAAAAAAAGATTATTTTCAAAGAAGCAAGAATAAAACTGAGAGCAACTTCTCAACAAAGTCAGTAGAAACCAAAAGATAATGGAATGGTAAAACAGCTGCCAACCTAGAATTTATCTCAGGAAAAAAACTGCCCTTCAAAAATGAGGTGAAAATGTAAATAAGACGTATAGATTAGTTAATAGTTTTGAATTAATGTTAAGTTCTTGATTTTGGCAGTTATATTATGGATACAGGAAATGTTAACATTAGTAGAAGCTGTATGAAATGGATGTGGGAACTCCATATATAGATTTTTTTAAACTTTATGTAAGTCCAAAATTATTCACACACATTCTAAAAAGGTAAAATGAAAACAATTTCAGAATGGAAGCTCCATAAGAGTTGAAATTTCTGGTCTGTTTTTTTCACTGCTATATCCCTAGTATCTAGAACGCTAAGACGTAGGCACTCAATAAATATATATTGAATGAATGAGTGAACAACAGTAGTAGCAGTAGCTACTAATTAATTCAACACTTATTGTATCTTAAGTGAAATGCCAAGCACTTTACTTTCATTAACTCATTTAATCATTCCAACAATTATGTAACATGGAATTTTATATTTTATATATGAGTCTCCCTATTTTATAGATGAGGTAAGCAATCTGCCCAAGATCTCATACCAGAAAGTGGCAGGCCCTCTAACATAGACCTATCTGATTCCAAAGTCCATGTTCTTAACCACTATGTTATGGTGCTTTCATGTTGCAAAATATGTCTCCTTTCTGTTTTGTTTATCCAAACTCTACCTTCCTTTCCAAAATTAAGACAAACTCCTCTATAAGACTCAACTAATTTTACTTAACTAATAGCCATTATTTTTCCTTACTCTCAATTCTCAGTGTACTGGGCCATATAACTTAATGCCATTATATAAGGTCTTGTATTGCTCTGTAATTGTTCGTTATTCAATGAGTTTTACCTCTTTAACCAGATTACATCTTACAGGGAAGTGACCATATCTTATATTCCTATTAATATAGAGCACATTTGAAGCTCTATAACAATACTTAATATTTTTGTAAAGGGATGAAGAAAAACATTTCCATGCAAGAAACAGTGTTTTTGAATGCTTTAGTGATCAGGCTTACATGGTCTAAGATTCTAAACATAAAATTTGACTCAGAAAAACAAAAAAACCACTATCTTAAAAAGTTTTTACATCAATTTTCTGTAGTATCTCTTTTTCCTTATGACATTTTAGGGGATGTTCAGGGTAATTTGGACATAGCAGTACAAGTTCTCCTGGTTAAACCTTCTTGAGAGGGTATATAGATTGCATAGAAGGTAAAGTATGAGAGTGTGCAGATGAACAATTATCCCCACACATGTAAGCTGCAGTTTGTCTGGTGTAAATATACTCTCCCTGCCTGGAACTGCCTGTGTAATGTTCTCTCTTTGGGCTCTGTGGTTTCTCAATACATTCCAACTGTTCAGAGGCTGGAGCTTGGCTCTGCAAGCATAGATAAACAGCTTCCTGGAGCAGGCTGCCAGCATGAGGAGCAATGACCTCAGCAGAGAAAGTCTGCTTTTCATTACCCTGAGCCCATCACTGTACTGCTAGAGCTAAGAGTGGGAACAACACAAGTTGGATAGAGTTGACTGACTCAAGTCTCCCACTACACCTTGAGTTTTAAAATTCTGTATCTAGAGGAAAGGGGGTAAAGACAGGAAGTGAGAAAATGGCATATGCAAAGAAAACAAAGATAGAAAAGCTTTCTTAGGCTATTCTGTGAATGAACTAAATGATGAGTGAAGTGGTTAAGAGTCATGCAGGCAATCATTGAATGTTTTAGTCTCCAAAAACGTACACAAAATACAGGGCAAGAAAGAAGTGTTATAGAAAGTAAGAGAGGCCAGGTACAGTGGCGCACACCTGTAATTCTAGCATTTTGGGAGGCTGAGGCAGGAGCATAACATGAGCCCAGGAGTTCAAGACCAGTTTGAGCAATAAAATGAGACCCGTCTCTATAAAAAAGAAAAAAAAAAGTTAGCTGGGTATGGTGGCACGCACCTGTGGTCATGGCTACATGGGAAGCTGAGGCAGGAGGATTGCTTGAGCCCAGGTTAAGGCTGCAATGAGCCATGTTTGTGCTACAACTCCAGCCTGGGTGACAGAGTGAGACACTATCTCAAAAAAAAAAAACAAAAACAAAAAAACAAAAACAAAAACAAACCAGTAACAACAACAACAACAAAAAACAAAAGAGAGACTAAAAAGTCCTCAAGATCTTCAACTCTGATGCCATTTAAAGAGAGAGAAAAGGAAGACTATCCAGATCCACAGAGATACAAAAATCCCAGAAAAGTGGAGCTTAAGGAGAACAACACACAATGAAGATGAATTATATATAGCCAGACATCTTGCATGTGTAATTTCATGTGATTTGCATAACAACCCTAGAAGATAGGTATTATCATCCCTAGCAATAATCTAGACCTAGAAAATTACAATACAATGACATCAACAAAGACATTTGTTGTTGATATTATTTAATGACAAAGGGATGATTTCAAGTCTGCTTCTACGGCCACCCAGGAAACAATGCTTTTCCCAAACATCTCTCATTGTAGTATTATCTATTGTTGCAGCCCCAGAACTCAGCAATACTAGAACTGTGACCTAGAAGAAATGTACACATTTGTGCCACTTTCTGATAAGACAGTTTCTGCAGTGCTGGTAGCATTGCATCTGATAGTTGAAGAAGGGAATCACAATTATGTCCTCAGACAAGAAATTGGTTAGATATGACCCCTCCTGAAGGATCCTGAGAGACAATTTGTTTTTTGGAGAAGTCACTGACTATAATGATGCACCTGCAAGGGGGCCGGGAGCTGAGAGACAGACAAACATCTTAGCAAATTCTAAAAGCAGAGTGAAGCTTCATTTGACTTTCATTTCACTTTTCTCAGGGAAGAAGAACCTTTGTGTTACTGCCAAAATCCTAACTGTCCTTCCTTCCTCTCTGTCCCCTCCACCCCCACGCCAGCTCATTAAAGATCTTCTGGTTAAAGGTGCCAAATTGTGTCATTCTTTCCTACTCCAGTGCCAAGCCTGTGCCAATGGCACCACAGATTGATCTGCTAGAGTTCTGAGCAAATTATGGAAGAAATTAAAAGCACTGAAAATTTTAAATTGTTCTGTTGCTGGTGAAGTAAAGCTTTTTAAACTTCTTATTCTTCTTGTAGAGACAGGGGTCTCATTGTGTTGCCCAGGATGGCCTCAAACTCCTGGCCTCAAGTGATTTTCCCACCTTGGCTTCCCAAAGTGCTGGGATTATAGGTGTGAGCCTATAATCTGGCCTAGTTTCTTAACTTTTGATGACTGACTTTACATTGCTAATGGCATAACACTTGTTAATTAAGACTCGTGTGAGTGTACTTGATTGCCAGACAAGTATTCAGGGAATTATCAGAGTGGTGGTGTGAAGGAATATCAGGGCTTGGACCAAATAAAGATCCTTCATATTATTTATAGATTGAAATAAATCAAGTTATTTATCTAAGGGGAGATATTTTAATGTAAAAAATCAGACCTAAATTTTATACTAGCTAGCTGCAAAAGCAGCTCCCATGAAAACAGAAATAGTATCATTGGGGCTTGAGAACACTTCAGCCAAGGATGGTGTTTCTTCATTTCCTCTTATTGAATGGTTTTATAACAGATAAGTTTCTCTTAACTTGTAGAAGGCAGGGGGTGGGGTGGGGGGAACAAGGTCTTTCCTGACAGGGAGAATCTGGGCCCAATTATTACTTCTGTAACCTTTGACTCTGACTTCTAAACGAGTCAAGGGACCAGTGGGCTGTGAAATAGCTTCCTCCATTACCAGGTCAAGTGCTGCTGGATAGTTTCCTGTAACCATAATACAAAGGGACTGAAGAAGTGAGATGGATTCTACAAAAACAGGCAACTTCTTGCATCCTCAATGACCCTGGATTTTTAAGTTTCAAAACAGATTTTGACTCTTAACTCACCACCATGGCTCCCTGTAGTCTTTTTGCTATAGCATACCTCTAGTAATACAGAAAAGAGCCAGAAAGAATCCTCTATAGATTTGGTTCTATGATGGTCTAACAGAGGTGCCTGGCCTAGTAACAGTGGGGATAGGGTTGCTTTAACTGAAGGCAAATCTCTTCCTGACAATTATCTGAGTCTGTGGGAAACCAGATGCTGACAATGAGAAACGGGTAATTTTCTGTTACAATGTTTAACAGCTAAGAACTGAACTATGGAAAAAAGTCAGGGGAGGGGGTGGGTAAAGGGGGAAGCATTACCCCTTTTGAAGAAGTCTATAATAGGATTAGTCACCATTACTTTACCACACCACATTTTGGCTCAATTTAACGTAAATAAGTAGAGAAAACATGAGCAGAAATGGCCCAAAGAAGTCTCAAGTCCATCTCTCATTCAGAGCTACAAGCTGGAAATCAGCGAAGTCTTGGTTTGTTCTGATGTGCTTCTTGTTGCCTCACACCTGCTCCTCTGTTACCATGGACACAAGAAGAACCCCAAACAACATTATTTAAACTCTAGATGGTGAATGATCCTTAAAAAATCTGTCACCTTTAGAATGAATGTTTATGCCCTGATTGTTATAGATTATGTAGGAAAGAAGTGGGTCATCTTTTCATAGGGCTTAAAGCACCTGTCTGAAAAAAAAAATAACAAGAAATGATACATATTTTATAATCATGGATTGTTTTCATTAGAGTTACGTTTTAAGTTATTTAGGAATATGCACTATTACCTATGTAACAAACCTGCACGTTCTACACATGTATCCCAGAACTTAAAGTAAAAGAAAAGAAAAAAGAAAAAAAAAACGGGTATGCACTATTGGAATCTCTTTTTTTCTCCAAGGATGAATTAATGAAGTTCATATTTTATGGATTTATTTGAATCAAAATTAATTCTGATGATTAACATGTATCAAAATGAAATTATTAATGCTCCTTTTCTAAAAACTGACAAAGATTTCCATCTCCATATTTATACTATGTAGTGTAGAACACAAATACTTTTGATGATGAATTATTTTATTTACTTTCACTGGTTAAATAGGAGCAGAGCATGAGGGAGGCCAGTTACCCATGAGGGGGTCCTAAGAACACTGCCTAGTAAGGGTACTCCATTCTCAGTAGCAACAAATAAAATCAATCAAATGATCATTTTTGGACACAGGAAGCTTACTTAGATAATCAAGGTGGACAAAGAAAAGGTGCATCACCCTCTGAGCTAAGTTATTGGCTCTCTGATGGGATGAGCTCTCAATCGTCATCTCTTCCAAGAGGACTTCCCTGTCCATACTATATATTACCTTACTCTGGCTGTTTTCTTGTTATTTGTCTTGTTACAGTTACCAGCTATGTAACCATGAGAATGTTACTTTTATAGCCTGAATTTCCTTATGAGTAAAATGAGGATAATACTAATACCCTGTTTATATAGAACTGTGAAGATTAAATAAAATAATGGATATTATATGCTTAGAACAGTGCCTAGCACACAGTGCTTATTAACTATTAGCTATTCTCATCCCCATCAGTTTGCTTGTTTATTGATTATTACCCTCATTAAAACACTAGGTTCATAAAGATAGGTACCTTATTTGTCTTGCTCACTGCTCTATTCCCATTGCATAGTACACACAGGCACAGAGTAGGTGCCCAAAAGTAATTTGTGAATGAATAATTCACAAATGAATGCTGCATATTCTCACGTATCCTTAAAATAAACCAAAGGTAGTCTGTGTACTTCTTTCCCTTGCAACCAAAACAGTCATCATAAAAACTTCACCAAAAAACTAAAATCATCCTTTAAAAAACGAAAACAAGACACTTGATCATAAAAGCGAGCTCTCCTGGGCCCACCAACCAAGACCACAGAATATTATTCTTTTCTATATTAGTATGTGGAAGTCAAGCTCCCTGATGCCATAGTGTTGGAACTATCAATTTAGCCTGTGAAGAATGGTTCCCAATTCTGATACAAATTCTCAGATTTCATCCTGTTTTTCTCTCATCATTATTTTCCAATGTCTCAAAAAGCCACATTTCTCATTTTATCTTTACCACAAGAATCTGGTCACACTCTGCTGTGGTTTCTAAGTTAGAGCTACTCTCGCCCATTTTCTTGGATGTATTTCTTCAGAGGTCCTGACCCAGTGCTGACATTTGGCCTATTCTTAGAGTAGCACCTCTAAATATTAATTTCTTTTACCTTCCACTGGTTGAAGGACAACATTCAGAGGTAGAGGTTACATACAACATAAAAGAAAATCCTCTGGGATTTAGTATCCGTCTTTCAAGAGTGTCCAGAGGAATATGATCTACAGAGCTCATGGTCTTGCAGACATACACAAAGTACTGTTCAGCCACTTGTGTTTTACAGTTTATCCAGATTTGCTGGAACAGTCATGGACTTGTTTGAAAACACCAACAACCAAGGAGTGACAGACAGCATAGGTGAGAGGGCAAGCAGACCCAGAGAAGAAAATCAGAAGAGAAGCCTTCCAAATACAATTTCAAGGAGTACTTTTATCACTGTTTAAAGGTAAATCACCCACGGCTAAATATATGAAAGTCTCAAGATGTGAACTCGAAACTGTAAGATGGAAGGATACCGTTAACATATTTTTGAAAATCATGCTTCCTGCTCTTTATAGTCAGCTCTAGTTGCATCCCCCAAAAGGCCATATTAAACATTTAAATGGCAGTAAACTGAGGTCACCAGCTAAGGCTGTGTGATAAGCTTGCAAAGTATAGTTCATAAGGGAGAATTCAAAAATAGTAGAAATTATAGCTAGAAGAAACCTCCAAATATGATCTGGTTAGCCCTCTAGCAACATTAAGCAGTAAAGTGGCTTGGAGGCAGTAGAGAACAGTGGACTCTATAATACTGCAGATGAGGCTTGATTCCTGAGTCTGTCACTTAACAGCTTGTGAACTTGAAGAAGCTATTTTAATCTTTCTGAGCATCCACTTCCTCCTCTATAAAACAGAGATAACAATAATAATAGTACCCATCTCAAAGAATTGTAGTAGCTGAGACATGGTATTAGTTTAGTAAAAACTGCATATTATAATATATAATTATTATATTATTATTATTATCATGTAAGGCTTTATTAAACCCACTTCATAGATGAGGCAACTGAAGCCCATATTTCAGAAATTTGCCCAGGGTTATAGAGTGAGGACTTAGAAGAATAAGCAGCTCTTTTTCCTTCTAGGGTAGTGCTCTTTCCACTTCACTATGTTTCTCTTATTAATCAATACAAAACTGAAGCCTGAGGCCAGGCGCGGTGGCTCACACCTGTAATCCCAGCACTTTGGAAGGCCGAGGCAGGCGGATCACAAGGTCAGGAAATCGAGACCATCCTGGCTAACACGGTGAAGCCCCCTCTCTACTAAAAATACAAAAAACAAAAATTAGCCGGGCATGTGGCGGGCACCTGTAGTCCCAGATACTCGGGAGGCTGAGGCGGGAGAATGTCGTGAACCTGAGAGGCGGAGCTTGCGGTGAGCCGAGATCGCGCCACTGCACCCCAGCCTGGGCGACAGAGCAAGACTCCATCTCAAAAAACAAAAAAAAACAAAACAAAAAAACTGAAGCCTGAAAGTGAAGGATTTTCACTAACTAAATCAAATTCACAAAGTAAACTCAGGAGCTTCCATCATCCAGGTCTCCTTGTCTACCAAATTATACTTACACTATTTCCCATTCTGTCATACATCCACACCTTTCAGGTCTTCAAAAAAAAAGAAAACCCAAAAGTTTCTGGAGCTGGTTTACTTTTCACTTCTTAGAATAATTTACCTCAAGCCAATCTGGTGTCATAGACTTATGGAAGTGTCAGGTATGTGTCACTCGTATATTATGTAAATTTCAGCTTTCTGGGGACAAGAAACAGCCTGCTTGGCAAGTACATTTCTATCAGCACTGTAGAAAATCTTACGATTTTTTTTCAACAGTGTGTTGGTAGATAAAAGCTGCCTACAGTCAGCCTTACTGTTGGTTCACTACAGCTCAGCATTGGCTACACAGAACAAGTGGAATTCACTTTTGGAGTGCAAGGCGCACAGTATACAGCTTCTAAAATGGCACAATATAGAGCTTTACCACAAAGAATCAAGAAAGGGAGGAAAAGGGGAGGTTCCAAGATGGCCGAATAGGAACAGCTCCAGTCTACAGCTCCCAGCGTGAGCGACGCAGAAGACGGGTGATTTCCGCATTTCCAACGGAGCTTTGAAGAGGGTAATGGATCTCCCAGCACGGAGTTTGAGATCTGAGAATGGAAAGACTGCCTCCTCAAGTGGGTCCCTGACCCCCGAGTAGCCTAACTGGTAAGCACCTCCCAGTAGGGGCCGACTGACACTTCATACGGCTGGGTGCCCCTCTGAGACAAAGCTTCCAGAGGAACGATCAGGCAACTACATTTGCTCCTCTGCAATATTTGCGGTTCTGCAGCCTCCGCTGGTGATACCCAGGCAAACAGGGTCTGGAGTGGACCTCCAACAAACTCCAACAGACCTGCAGCTGAGGGTCCTGTCTGTTAGAAGGAAAACTAACAAACAGAAAGGGCATCCACACCAAAACCCCATCTGTACGTCACCATCATCAAAGACCAAAGGTAGATAAAACCACAAAGATGGGGAGAAACCAGAGCAGAAAAGCTGAAAATTCTAAAAATCAGAGTGCCTTTTCTCCAAAGAAACGCAGATCCTCGCCAGCAACAGAGGAAAGCTGGACGGAGAACGACTTTGACGAGTTGAGAGAAGAAGGCTTCAGACGATAGGTAATAACAAACTTCTCCGAGCTAAAGGAGGATGTCCGAATCCATCGCAAAGAAGCTAAAAACCTTGAAAAATGATTAGACGAATGGCTAACTAGAATAACCAGTGTAGAAAAGACCTTAAATGACCTGATGGAGCTGAAAACCATGGCACAAGAACTATGTGACACACACACAAGCTTCAGTAGCCGATTTGATCAACTGGAAAAAAGGGTAAGAGTGATTGAAGATCAAATGAATGAAATGAAGCAAGAAGAGAAGTTTAGAGAAAAAAGAGTAAAAAGAAACGAACAAAGCCTCCAAGAAATATGGGACTATGTGAAAAGACCAAATCTACATCTGATTGGTGTACCTGAAAGTAATGCGGAGAACAGAACCAAGTTGGAAAACACTCTTCAGGATATTATCCAGGAGAACTTCCCCAACCTAGCGAGGAAAGCCAACATTCAAATTCAGGAAATACAGAGAACACCACAAAGATACTCCTCGAGAAGAGCAACTCCAAGACACAAAATTGTCAGATTCATCAAAGCTGAAATGAAGGAAAAAATGTTAAGGACAGCCAGAGGGAAAGGTCGGGTTACCCGCAAAGGGAAGCCCATCAGACTAACAGCAGATCTCTTGGCAGAAACTCTACAAGCCAGAAGAGAGTGGGGGCCAATATTCAACATTCTTAAAGAAAAGAATTTTCAACCCAGAATTTCATACCCAGTCAAACTAAGCTTCATAAGTGAAGGAGAAATAAAATCCTTTACAGACAAGCAAATGCTGAGAGATTTTATCACCACCAGGCGAGCCCCTGAAGGAAGCACTAAACGTGGAAAGGAAAAACCAGTACCAGCCACTGCAAAAACATGCCAAATTGTAAAGACCATCAATGCTAGGAAGAAACTGCATCAACTAAAGAGCAAAATAATCAGCTAACATCATAATGACAGGATCAAATTCACACATTAACAATATTAACCTTAACTTTGGGAGACCGAGACGGGCGGATCACGAGGTCAGGAGATCGAGACCATCCTGGCTAACATGGTGAAACCCCGTCTCTACTAAAAATACAAAAATTAGCCGGGCATGGTGGCGCGTGCCTGTAGTCCCAGCTAGACGGGAGGCTGAGGCAGGAGAATGGCGTGAACCCGGGAGGCGGAGCTTGCAGTGAGTCGAGATTGCACCACTGCACTCCAGCCTGGGCGACAGAGCGAAACTCCGTCTCAAAAAAAAAAATAAAATAAAATAAAAAACAATATTAACCTTAAATGTAAATGGGCTAAATGCTCCAGTTAAAAGACACAGACTGGCAAATTGGATAAAGAGTCAAGACCCATCAGTGTGCTATATTCAGGAGACCCATCTCACATGCAGAGACACACATAGGCTCAAAATAAAGGGATGGAGGAAGATCTACCATGCAAATGGAAAACAAAAAAAAGCAGGGGTTGCAATCCTAGTCTTTGATTAAACAGACTTTAAACCAACAAAGATCAAAAGAGACAAAGAAGGCCATTACATAATGGTAAAGGGATCAATTCAACAAGAAGAGCTAACTATCCTAAATATATACGCACCCAATACAGGAGCACCCAGATTCATAAAGCAAGTCCTTAGAGACCTACAAAGAGACTTAGACTCCCACACAATAATAATGGGAGACTTTAACACCCCACTGTCAACATATGACAGATCAACGAGACAGAAAGTTAACAAGGATATCCAGGAATTGAACTCAGCTCTGCACCAAGCAGACCTAGTAGACATCTACAGAACTCTCCACCCCATATCAACAGAATATACATTCTACTCAGCACCACATCGCACTTATTCCAAAATTGACCACATAGTTGGTAGTAAAGCACTCCTCAGCAAATGTAAAACACCAGAAATTATAACAAACTGTCTCTCAGACCACAGTGCAATCAAACTAGAACTCAGCATGAAGAAACTCTCTCAAAACCAATCAACTACATGGAAACTGAACAACTTGCTCCTGAATGACTACTGGGTACATAATGAAATGAAGGCAGAAATAAAGATGTTCTTTGAAACCAATGAGAACAAAGACACAACATACCAGAATCTCTGGGACACATTTAAAGCAGTGTGTAGAGGGAAATTGATAGCACTAAATGCCCACAAGGGAAAGCAGGAAAGATCTAAAACTGACACCCTAACATCACAATTAAAAGAACTAAAGAAGCAAGAGCAAACAAATTCAAAAGCTAGCAGAAGGCAAGAAATAACTAAGATCAGAGCAGAACTGAAGGAGATAGAGACACAAAAAAACTTTCAAAAAATCAATGAATCCAGGAGCTGGTTTTTTGAAAAGATCAACAAAATTGATAGACCACTAGCAAGACTAATAAAGAAGAAAAGAGAGAAGAATCAAATAGACGCAATAAAAAATGATAAAGGGGATATTACCACTGATCCCACAGAAATACAAACTACCATCAGAGAATGCTATAAACACCTCTACGCAAATAAACTAGAAAATCTAGAAGAAATGGATAAATTCCTGGACACATACACTCTCCCAAGACTAAACCAGGAAGAAGTTGAATCCCTGAGTAGACCAATAACAGGCTCTGAAATTAAGGCAATAATTAATAGCCTACCAACCAAAAAAAGTCCAGGACCAGATGGATTCACAGCTGAATTCTACCAGAGGTACAAAGAGGAGCTGGTACTATTCCTTCTGAAACTATTCCAATCAATAGAAAAAGAGGGAATCCTCCCTAACTCATTTTATGAGGCCAGCATCATCCTGATACCAAAGCCTGGCAGAGACATAACAAAAAAAGAGAATTTTAGACCAATATCCCTGATGAACATCGATGCAAAAATCCTCAATAAAATACTGGCAAACCGAATCCAGCAGTACATCAAAAAGCTTATCCACCATGATCAAGTGGGCTTCATCCCTGGGATGCAAGACTGGTTCAACATACACAAATCAATAAATGTAATCCATCATATAAACAGAACCAAAGACAAAAACCACATGATTATCTCAACAGATGCAGAAAAGGCCTTTGACAAAATTCAACAGCCCTTCCTGCTAAAAACTCTCAATAAATCAGGTATTGACGGGGTGTATCTCAAAATAATGAGCTATTTATGACAATCCCACAGCCAATATCATACTGAATGGGCAAAAGCTGGAAGCATTCCCTTTGAAAACTGGCACAAGACAGGGATGCCCTCTCTCACCACTCCTATTCAACATAGTGTTGGAAGTTCTGGCCAGGGCAATTAGGCAGGAGAAGGAAATAAAGGGTATTCAATTAGGAAAAGAGGAAGTCAAATTGTCCCTCTTTGCAGATGACATGATTATATATTTAGAAAACCCCATCATCTCAGCCCAAAATCTCCTTAAGCTGATAAGCAACTTCAGCAAAGTCTCAGGATACAAAATCAATGTGCAAAAATCACAAGCATTCCTATACACCAATAACAGACAAACTGAGAGCAAAATCATGAGTGAACGCCCATTCACAATTACTTCAAAGAGAATAAAATACCCAGGAATCCAACTTACAAGGGATGTGAAGGACCTCTTCAAGGAGAATTACAAACCACTGCTCAACGAAATAAAAGAGGACACAAACAAAAGGAAGAACATTCCATGCTCATGGATGGGAAGAATCAATATCGTGAAAATGGCCATACTGCCCAAGGTAATTTATAGATTCAATGCCATCCCCATCAAGCTACCAATGACTTTCTTCACAGAACTGGAAAAAACTACTTTAAAGTACATATGGAACCAAAAAAGAGCCCTCATTTCCAAGACAATCCTAAGCCAAAAGAACAAAGCTGGAGACATCATGCTATCTGACTTCAAACTATACTACAAGGCTACAGTAACCAAAACAGCATGGTACTGGTACCAAAACAGAGATATAGACCAATGGAACAGAACAGAGCCCTCAGAAATAATACCACACATCTACAACCATCTGATCTTTGACAAACCTGACAAAAACAAGAAATGGGGAAAGGATTCCCTATTTAATAAATGGTTCTGGGAAAACTGGCTAGCCATATGTAGAAAGCTGAAACTGGATCCCTTCCTTACACCTTATACAAAAATTAATTCAAGATGAATTAAAGACTTAAATGTCAGACCTAAAACCATAAAAACCCTAGAAGAAAACCTAGGCAAAAAAAAAAAGAAAAGAAAAGAAAAGAAAACCTAGGCAATACCATTCAGGACAGGCATGGGCAAGGACTTCTTCACGTCTAAAACACCAAAAGCAATGGCAACAAAAGCCAAAACTGAGAAATGGGGTATAATTAAACTAAAGAGCTTCTGCACTGCAAAAGAAACTACCATCAGAGTGAACAGGCAACCTACAGAATGGGAGAAAATTTCTGCAATCTACCCATCTGACAAAGGGCTACTATCCAGAATCTACAAAGAACTTCAACAAATTTACAAGAAAAAATCAAACAACCCCATCAAAAAGTGGGCAAAGGATACGAACAGATACTTCTCAAAAGAAGACATTTATGCAGCCAACAGACACATGAAAAAATGCTCATCATCACTGGCCATCAGAGAACGCAAATCAAAACCACAATGAGATACCATTTCACACCAGTTAGAATGGTGATCATTAAAAAGTCAGGAAACAACAGGTGCTGGAGAGGATGTGGAGAAATAGGAACATTTTTACACTGTTGGTGGGACTGTAAACTAGTTCAACCATTATGGAAGACAGTGTGGCGATTCCTCAAGGATCTAGAACTAGAAATACCATTTGACCCAGCCATCCCATTACTGGGTATATACCCAAAGGATTATAAATCATGCTGCTATAAAGACACATGCACATGTATGTTTATTGTGGCACTATTCACGATAGCAAAGACTTGGAACCAACCCAAATGTCCATCAATGATAGACTGGGTTAAGAAAATGGGCACATATACACCATGGAATACTATGCAGCCATAAAAAAGGATGAGATCATGTCCTTTGTAGGGACATGGATGAAGCTGGAAACCATCACTCTGAGCAAACTGTCACAAGGAGAGAAAACCAAACACCGCATGTTCTCACTCATAGGTGGGCATTGAACAATGAAAACACTTGGACACAGGATGGGAAACATCACACACTGGGGCCTGTCTTGGGGTGGGGGGAGGGGGAAGGGATAGCATTAGTAGATATACCCAATGTAAATGACAAGTTAATGGGTGCAGCACACCAACATGGCACATGTATACATATGTAACAAACCTCCATGTTGTGCACATATACCCTAGAACTTAAAGTATAATAAAAAATAATAATAAATAAAAAAAATAAAAAAAGAAAGGGAGGAAAAAACAAGAAAGTAGTCCTTATTATAACAAAATCTAGAAGAGTAGATAGTATTCAATAACTTAAAATATAGATACTGCTGTTGATTCAATAAATATTTAGCTAACATCTATTATATGCAAAGCATCATGCCAAGTACCAGGAATGCAAAGATGAAGAATAAATGAGGCCGGGCACAAATGGCTCACACCTATAATCCCAACACTTTGGGATGCCAAGGCGGGCAGATCACTTGAGGCCAGGAGTTCAAGACAAGCCTGGCTAACACGGTGAAACCCCGTCTCTAGTAAAAATACAAAAATTAGCCAGGTATGGTGGCGGGTGCCTGTAATCCCAGCTACTCGGGAGGCTGAGGCGGGAGAATCTCTTGAACCCGGGAGACGGAGGTTGCAGTGAGCCAAGATTGCACCACTGCACTCCGGCCTGGGCAACAGAGGGAGACTCTGCCTCAAAAAAAAATTTAAATGATGCCTACCTTCAAGCAACCAGTGTAATAGGGAAAAGACTTGTAACAGAGATGGGGAGGGGAGTAAAATGAAAAAAGCCAGGAAGAAGCATTACCCCCAGAAGAGTCATATTTCACTTGGCAAGGAGCCTCAAGAGTGCTGGTACAGATTAAATGGTATAGAAACTTGACCCGTAGGCTTGTCAGTTCACTTGTCTGTTCTGTAAAAGCAAGCAAGGCTATTCAATCTCAGTCTTTATTCCCTGCCCACCTCATTTGCTCCAGCCCACATCATGAGAACAAATAAAATTCCTTTCTCTACTTCATCCTCCTTTAGAAGACTGGGTGAAAGGAACAACTTTACTCCCAGAAAGCTTCTTTTTCCAACGAACCTAAATGCCAATCCATAAAAAATCTAGATTTCATTGAAAAGAACTTTAGAGTTCAGCAAAAGAGCTAGGGAATCTCAAGTATTCCCCTAACAGAAACCCAAGGTGAGGCCATTTGAATAGCTGTCTGATCTCCAAGGAGCCTCTGGAGAACAGAAAGGAAAAAAAAAAAAAAAAACTATGTTCAAGAAAGATGAACTTGAGTTCAAGATTCACTTAAATGGAAGCCTATAAGGATTACTCTTCCTTTCTTAGAATGTTCCCAAAAACCAGAAGAAAAGGAAAGAGAATCCAAACGATTATATAAATATGTGATGGCATATGTATTTCTCTAGCACATCCTTTCATGAAGATTGCGTTTTGCATGGTACCGGTACAAAAACAGAAACATAGACCAATGGAAAGTACAGAAAACTCAAAAATAAAGCACACACTTAAAACAATCTTATCTTTGACAAGGCTGACAAAAACAAGCACTGGGGAAAGGACTCCCTGTTTAATAAATGGTGCTGGGATAACTGGCTAGCCATATGCAGAAGAATGAAACTGGACCCTTACCTTTCACTATATACAAAAATTAATTCAAGATAGATTAAAGATTTAAATGTAAGATCTCAAACTATAAAAATCCTAGAAGAAAACCTAGGAAATATCCTTCTCAACATCAGCCTTGGCAAATAATTCTTGGCCAAGTCCCCAAAAGCAATTGCAACAAAAACAAAAACTGACAAGTGGGACCTAATTAAACTAAAAAGCTTCTGCACAGCAAAAGAAACTATCAATAGACAACCTACAGAATGGGAAAAAATATTCACAAACTATGCATCCAACAAAGGTCTAATATCCAGAATCTATAAGGAACTTAAGAAGCAAAAACGAAATAACCCCATTTAAAAATGGTCAAAGGACATGAACAGACATTTTCTCAAAAGAAGATATATAAGTGGCCAAGAAACATATGAAAAAATGCTCATTATCACTCATCATCAGAGAAATGCAAATCAAAACCACAGTGAGATACCATCTCATGCCAGTCAGAATGACTATTATTAAAAAGTCAAAAAAGAAAAAACACAGATGCTGGCAAGGCTGCTGAGAAAAGAGGATGCTTATACACTGTTGGTGGGAATGTAAATTAATTCAGCTACTGTGGAAATGAGTTTGGAGATTTCTCAAAGAACTTAAAACAGAGCTACAATTTGACTCAGCAGTCCCATTCATTAGTGGGTATGCCAAAGGAAAATACATCATTCTCCCCATGCACTCGTACATTCATTGCTGCACTATTCACAATAGCAAAGACATGGAGTCAACCTAGGTGCCCATCAAGGTGAACTGGATAAAGAAAATATGGTACATATATACCATGGAGTACTATGCAGCCATAAAAAAGAATGAAATCATGTCCTTTGTAGCAACATGGATGGAGCTAGAGGCCATAATCCTAAGTGAATTAATGTAGGTACAGAAAACCAAATACCACATGTTCTCACTTATAAGTGGGAGCTAAACATTGAGCATTCATGGACATGAACATGGGAGCAACAGACACTGTGGACTGCTAGAGGGGAGAAGGGAGAGGGGTAATGGGTCAAAAACTACCTATTGGGTACTATGCTCACTACCTGGGTGCAATGTACCCATGTAACAAACCTGCACATGTATTCCCTGTATCTAAAATAAAAGTTGGAAGAAAAAGAATATTAATGTGTTTTTAAAGTGTTTATCTCATTCAGCCTAAAAACAGTTCTGTGATATTCAAAAAGTGGTAATCAGTTGGGCATGGTGGCTCATGCCTACAATCCCAACACTTTGAGAGGCCAAGGTGAGAGGATTACTTGAGGCCTGCAGTTCAAAACCAGCCTGGTCAACATACTGAAACCCTGTCTCTACAAAAGATAAATTTTAAATTTAGCTGAGCATGATAGTACATACCTGTAGTCCCAGCTACTGGGGAGGCTGAGGCAGGAGGATTCCTTGAACCCAGGAGTTCAAGGCTACAATGAGCCATGATGATGCCACTGTACTCCAGCCTTAACAACAGAGTAAAATTCTATCTCAGAAAAATAAAAAAGGTAGTAATCATTTTGACTTTTACACATTCTAAGTATACTTTATAAAGAAGTATGACCTGTTTTTTTTTTTGAGACGGAGTCTCTCTCTGTTGGCCAGGCTGGAGTGCAGTGGCACCATCTTGGCTCACTGCCACCTCTGCCTACTGGGTTCAAGCGATTCTCCTGCCTCAGCCTCCCTAGTAGCTGGGATTACAGGTGCGTGCCACCATGCCTGGCTGATTTTTGTATTTTTAGTAGAGATGGGGTTTCAACATGTTGGTCAGGCTGGTCTCCAACTCCTGACCTCATGATCTGCCCACCTCAGCCTCCCAAAGTGCTGGGATTACGGGTTTGAGCCACCATGCCTGGCCTAGGTATGACCTTTCAAATATATAATCTATGAAAGATATCCTCCCTCTAGAAATATTCCTTTAAAAAATTTTTTTAAGTTCTAATTTTCATGGGTACATAGTAGGTGTATATATTTTTAGGGCACATAATATGTTTTGATACAGACATGCAATGTTAACTAATCATATCATGGAGAATAGGGTATCCACCCCATCAAGCATTTTTCCTTTGTGTTACAAACAATCTAAATGTACCCTTTGAGTTATTTTAAAATGAACAATTAAGTTATCATTGACTAGAGTCACCCTGTTGTGCTATCAAATAGCAGGTCTTTTTCATTCTTTTTTTTCTTTTTTGTAACCATCAACCATCCCCACCTCTTCCCCCAGCCCCCTGCTACCCTTCCCAATCTCTGGTAACCATCCTTCTATTCTCTTTGTCCATGAGTTTAATTGTTTTGATTTTTACATCCCACAAACAAGTGAGAACATCCAATGTTTGTCTTTCTGTGCCTGGCTTATTTCACTTAACATAATGATCTTCAGTTCCATTCATGTTGTTGCAAATGACAGGATCTCATTCTTTCTTAGGGCCAAATAATACTCCATTGTGTATATGTACCACATTTTCTTTACCCATTCATCTGTTGATGGACACTTAGATTGCTTCCAAATCTTAGTACTCTAAACAGTGCTGTAACAAACATAGGAGTACTGATATTTATTCGATACACTAATTTCCTTTCTTTTGGGTATATACCCAGCAGTTGAATTGCTGGATCATATGGCAGCCCTATTCCTAGTTTTTTGAGGAACCTCCAAACTGTTCTCCACAGTGGTTATACTAATTTACATCCCCATCAACAGTGTAGAAGGGTTCCCTTTCTCCACATCCTCGCCAGCATTTGTTATTGCCTGTCTTTAGGATACAAGCCATTGTAACTGGGGTGAGATGTTATCTCATTGTAGTTTTGATTTGCATTTCTCTGATGATCAATGATGTTGAGCACCTTTGCTTATGCCTGTTTGCCATTTGTATGTCTTGTTTTGAGAAGTGTCTATGCACATCTTTTGTCCATTTTTTGATGGGATTATTGGATGTTTTCCTATAGAGATATTTGAGCTCCTTATATATTCTGGTTATTAATCCCTTGTCAGATGGGTAGTTTGCAAATACTTTCTCCCATTCTGTGGGTTGTCTCTTCACTTTGCTGATTAGAAATACACTTAAATCATTAAGTGATTGGCACAGCATCCTGTAGAAAGAAAACTGCAGAGGAACATTAGCCTAGATTCCATGAGAAAAGCCAGCCATGAAAAAAAACAGGCTAGATGAACATCAGCGAAAGGAAATCAAAGTGAATATTTTGAATAAAGGAGAAAGTTAAAAGAGAAACCTACAGAAATAGATCTAATAGATCAAACAAGCAGTTGTTAAGCTACTGTAATCAAAACTATTCATGAGACATCACTGGACAAACTAGCTGCACCAAAGGCATGCTCCAAAACATGTTTGGGCGGCCCACAACCAACCTACCAAAACTAAACATTCACTGCCACTACCTAATCAGCATTGTCCTGCTCTGTTCCTCAAGTATCCTGCCTGCTTCCAAGCGCCTCCTCTGGGTTCACTGTATTAGTACAACATTCATGTACTTACTATTCAGTGAAGAACCTGGCAATTCCATATTGGCTAATATCTTCCCTGTTTTCTAGCAGCTGGCACACTGCATCCTCCATGTAGGTGAGGACATGTCGCTGAGCTGCAATCAAATAGCAAGAGAGAAAGAGAAAATGAGAGAAAGATTTTAAAAAGAATGATCCCAATCCTAGTAGGAGGTCATGTGTAAGGCAATCCAGGTGTTGGCTCTGTCTGATGACACTTCATCAGTGGACTGGAATAGGCAAAGCAAACTTGCTGACCCTAACTGAGCTATAGTCTCAAAGGATAGATTGGGAGATGATGTGAACATGACCAATTGCCATTTGACTGGCTGTTAGTATTAGCATCAACCCTTCATTCTTCATCTCAATCACAAGGGTGGGTTGAAGAGGAGATTTAGCACCATTCAGCAGATACACCTGGAAGTTCTTTTCTTTCTACCTCCTTCTATTCTTTTCCATTTCTGCATCAGAAACTTATCCCAGGGAGTTAGTAATTCCATGCTTGAAGCATGGATGGTATGATTGTAAAGAAAACTCTGGCCAGGCACAGTGGCTCAGGCCTGTAATCCCAGCATTTTGGGAGGCTGAGGCGGGTGGATCACTTGAGGTCAGGAGTTCGAGACCAGCTTGGCAACATGGTGAAAACCTGTCTCTACCAATAATACAAAAATTAGCCAGATGCAGTGGCTACTTCCTGAGTAGCTAGTAATCCCAGCTACTCAGGAAGCTGCGGCAGGGGAATTGCTTGAACCTGGGAGGTGGAGGTTGCAGTGAGCCAAGATCATGCCATTGCACTCCAGCCTGGGCGACAGAGCCAGACTTCATTTCAGAACAGAAAAAAAAGAAAACTCAGTTAATTTAAATTAGAAAAAAAAAAAAAAAGTCACTGGAAAGGTTTAAGGACCATGAAAATTTTCGTACTGGTGTATATATAAGTTATTAACTTTGGTAAATAACAAGACCATGAAATCTATCTGGCTTGGTTTATTAGATGTCATGTTTTCTGCATTTGTTGTGACTTGGAAATGTGTGAGTTAATCATGGGCGTATAATAAAAAGTATGAGTATTAGAGTGAGACAGACCTGAGTTTGAATCATGGCTCTGTCTTGGTAGCTTAATCTTGGATAGTTACTTAGTCTACACCTGTTTTCTTCTTTATCAAGTGTGAAAAGCAATATAATTTAACTATGTTTCTCAAAATATGGTCAATCAATTTCTTGATCTGAATCCCCTGGGATGCCGTTTAAAACGCAGATTTATAGTCTGGCACTGTCCCAGATTTAGTGACCTTACATTTTTTACTACAGCCCAGTAATTTTTAACAAGTACTCCTGATGCTTCTTATGTACTCTTAAGTTTAAGAATCACTGGTTAAGAACCTGGGCTTTGGATTACAGAGAGTTGAGAGCTCCATTCTCAGCTCTGCCACTTCCTAGTTATGTGACCATAAACAAATTATTCTTCAAGCCTATTCTTCATGGTAAAATGGGGATAATAATGGTACTTACATTATAGGGTTATGAGAAATAAATAAGATAATACAGGTAAAACACCACTATGTGTTTGGTACATAGTACGTGATTGATAACATGTTTCCTTAAAAGCCTGTCTCAAAGCATTATTGGGAGTTTACTCAGTAAACAACATAGGCCAGAACTTCTTAGATGTCAGGTACTCAAATACTTCTTCCCTTTCTCTGAATTTTATCCTTAGGTATGACAGAGGTTTCCTGACAAACTTTACATAGAAGCTTCCAATTCAGTGTCCACATTTACCATAAAAAATTCAGAAAAATACTTTCATCTGGAGCAGTGAGAACAAAAAACCCCAAAGTGATGAATATCCTTCCAAAAAGCAATTCTATGAAGTTGCTGCCAAAGTAGACATTTACTTCTTTCACAGTTTCATTCCTCAGGAAAATATGATGGAATTACCTAAAATTTATAAATATTGGTATTTCAAAAAACTATTTCTGAAGTCCTGGTAGTCTAGTGAAGCTCATAAAACAAGTAAGTTTACCTGCCAACCTGAGCCCAAAAGTCTTCATTTGACCATAATGATCGCGGTGACCTAAGGTTTCACCACGTTCCCAGCAGCCTAAAGTCCAGATGGATGACCTGTTTACATTCTGTGACTCATTCTATCTAAATGAGTGCTTCCCAAAACTAACAACTATAAACCACTGCAAACCCTGACTGCCCACCCCCAACCCCACCCAAAAAGAGGTGAAAACAAAATCAGTGCCTCAACTCAACAGTTCATCCAACTAGAAAACTGTTTCTTTAAGAAACGGCCAAAACTAAGAGTGAAGCTGTGAGATAATACCTGCCAATTTCTGGTATTGTTTTCAAAATATAATAATTATAATTAGGTGTATATTAAATTGGGAGGGAAAATGGCCAGGGAAACATTAAAATCAGCTGCATTTTCACCTCTGTGTTCTCCTTCCTTTCTTCTATCGGTTTATCCTGATCTTATAAAAAGAGTCCTTCCTTAGGCTATATGGCCTTTTATGACTTAGCTCTACCTAAGGCTAGCACAGGATTTTTTTTTTTTTTCTTTTTGATGGTAGAAATGAAAGAGCTCTACTTAGTAGCAAATCCTGCTGCTTCTCCTCCCTAGCTCCAGGGACTCAAAGTTAATGTGAAAGCTTTTTACGGGATAAATATTTTCAGAGCAGTAAAAATCAAAGTACTTTTGTCCTTCTAGAAAAAAAAAGCAGGAATTTTCAAGAAAATAGACTTTATACCAAAAATATAAAAAAGGAAAGAAAGAAATATATTGGACCATGCATGTTTAACATTAATCTACCAATCAGATATTTAGTTTCATATTACAAATAATAACAGCTACCATTTTTGAGTACTTGCACAATTTATTAAACAACAATGTGACAGATATAGTACTGTACTAATTGTTTCACATGCTTTATTCTATTTCTTCCAAATACAATCCTATAATAGTTATTCTTAGACTTCTATTTTTACAAGTGGGAGAACTGAGACTTACAAAATTAATTTACACAGCTAGTGGGAAGAGAAGCCAAGATTTGAACCAAGGTTTACCTGATACAAGAACCCATTCTCTTAACACGTTGCCTCACCATTAACACTTTATAATCAGTTATGGAAGTAAAAATTATCTTTATTTTACACAGTGCACAAAGGCAGGAATGTATGTTGATAGTAAAATCACCTGAGAGATATGGTCCATTTGGGTCCACGTGAATTTATGTGTGTGTATGTCTGTCTGTCCTGTCCCCCCACCTTCATACCAATCAGCATTTGTGTGAAGTTAGAACTTGTCCCTAAATTTGAAAGTTTCTTGAAAAGAACCATCCCATCCATTCCTAGTTCGCAAAGTAGAAATAGAAAGCCCTGGTGTTCTTTTTACGTGTGGGTGAAGGGAAGAAGCTAAGAAGAAAAGTTCCTCCCTGCAGAGAGTTTTACACCAGCCAACAGCCAAGTGCGAAGCTCTCCCTAATTGCCGTGCCCTGGTGGTTTCCTTCACCTGCAGCTCTTATCAGTCTAATGCTCCCTCTGTGGTTAAGGGTACCACCCAACACGGGAAAATCCTTAGTTTATCAAACTTCAATGAGACAGAAGTTCAAAGCTCTTGCCTGGCAATAAAACACGGAGAGTGTCATTTTACATTTTTTTTAATGCAAAGGAATAGGCTTTAATTTATGTGAATGATTAAAGAATAAAAAACAGCACACCTGCATCCCTGGAGGGCAAAGATATCTGGGCACCTTAGCTGCCCCTTGGAAAAGGAAAAGCATTTAAGACAGGCTTTTCCTCTTTGGCTTTGCCATGACTTCCACAAGATGAGGATTAAGTTTTCTAACCTGTACCTACGCTCTAGTGTCCTAAAATTCACACTAATGCCCAATTGTCCATGTCTTGCTCAGATAGCATCACTGTCTGAGATAAGCATTTAGAATTTCATCATGCTATACTGAAAAATCTAAGGCAAATGTAAGTAAACACTATATGATCCTTACTTGAACCTAGCAAGTGAAGGCAATTGTGGATCAGAAACTTCTTGGTTCTGTTGACTCACCCCATGTTGATCACGTAATCTCTTTATAACACTGTCAATCCTGCTATAAAATGGGTATGATTCTAAGAATATGTCTGATAATAAACTACTTCTTTAGAAAGCATTCAATATATGCAAAATGTAACATGTTAATGATTATATTATTATTGCTACATGCTGACTCTACAGATTAAAACAGCATAACAATTTTTACTGCAATGGTTAAGAATATGGGTTCTTGAGCCAACTGAACCTGGATATGATTTCTAGCTCTGTCATTTACTGACTGTGTAACTTCATATAAGTTACCTTATCTCTCTGCCCTTTTCTATAAAATTGGGCAATACTAGTACCTACCACAGAAGACTGTGGTGAAGATTAAATAAAATAATCTATGTAATCATCTTAGAATAGTGCTTGGCACATAGTAAGTGCTCAAACAATATTAGCCCCTTACCCCCTTATTGAAAGTTCTGCTCATCAAACCAAGATGTTTAGACTATCTTCAAGGATTCTTGGGCTATATAAAATCTATAACTATAAAAATATACATCATCATATACCCATTTCAGGTATGACCTTTAAACTTGTAGGAAGCATTCACTTATTAACTGCTAATTACTCAGCAGGCCCTAATTTATATGGGGAAAATCCAAAACTATTTATTTTATTCTCTTCCCAAGCATAAATACCATAAAAGCATTAGTTGTTTATTTCACAATTAAATGATAAGGGGTCCTATTTGGAAATTTTTGTTTGAGGGGTCTAGAATTTCCACCTTAACATTAGTTAGAGCACTCTTTTTTAAAAATTATTATTTAATACAGAGTCCCAATAATAGAATAACTAAGTCTCACTGGAAAAAATCTTCATATGAATTGCTATATATGATATTAACAGATGCACACATAGGCAATAGCAGTACAAGTGAAAAGCAGAGTATATACATATACTCAACTTTAAACCTGACTTTTTCCCCCCTTGCCAGAGTTTGATAAATAAATTGATAAATACATAGAGTTTTCCTTTCTTCCTTTTGAGACATATTTTGGTCTATGAGGCCTCTTGAGATTGAGATGCTGGATGGCACAAATAAATGTTTGCTGAACTAAATTAAAATGTTCTCTGAGATTTAAAAAAAAAAGTAAACCTGTTAATCAACAACCTGTCATGTAAACTGCTTAGAAGTTTCAAGTTCAATATCATTTATAAATCACTAACATAATCTAGTATTTGATCTTGTGAGGTACAAATAGATAGCTTAATGGTTTAAACAGTTAATAGACCTCTAAAATTTATTATTTACATCCTCCATCTTTACTGGTATATCCTGGTCCAAGGATATAGTGTGTTCTTGTGAAACATTTTGTCATCCATACGAGACCATCTTTGATCTTAGACCACACTAGACCAATTTCCCTTAACCAAAGGGAATGGGGAAATGAGGAAATCTAGCACATGTAATTCTTATACAACCCAACGAAGTAGGTAATAGCAATTTTTTTAAAAACTAGAGAGGTTAAGAAACCTGCCCAAAGTCTAAATAAATGGCAGAGCTTGGATTCAAACTTAGATTTGACTCCAAAGCCCGTATTCTTCCATTCACCCCACTACCTCTCAAAACCAAAAATGAAAGCAAAACAAGAAAAATCCAAAAACCTACAAAGTGCCCCATCTTACGTTGTATTATCTAGAAATTGCTGGCTCTTCCCTGTTAATACTTTATAGTATTAAGAAGCTTAAATTGGTAAATCAAAGTACTGGTATGATCTTTAAATTTTTAAAAATGTTTATTTCTAGTTAAACACACAATAATTTTTAAAGGTTCAAACAATACAGATAAAGCTAAAGACTAATTCCAGTTCCCATAGATAACAACTATTATCAGTTTGGGGTACATATTTTCAAAAATACAGAAATATAGTTTGTGAGCTTGTTCTGTTTTCATGTTTTAAGTTGTTTTTAAGTGTCTGATATATCCTTTCTGCATCTTTTTTTTTTTTAATCAACAATGTCTGGAGATCTTTTATAAAACAATATGGAACCTACTTACCTTTTTGATAGTTCCCAATGGTAAATATTTCCCTACTGATAAACATTTAGGTTGTTTCCATGTTTTCACTATAATAAACTGGGCTGTGTTGAACATTCTTGTACGTGTTTCCTTGTATATATGTGCAAGAGTTTTTCTAAGGTAGATTCCTCAAGATGGAATTGGCATTTCATAGGATGCACAGGATATCTTCATGTTTACCAGAGATAGACAATTGCTTTTACAAATTAGTTATTCCAATTTACACACCACCAGCTGTATGAGTATCTATTTTCACTATCCTTGGCCTAATGCTTTTTAATTTTGCCGATTTAATAGTTAGAAAATAGCTTTTCTCTGTTGTTTTAATTTTACTTTTCTTGATTACAAATAAAGTTAAGCACATTTTCATGTTTATTTGTATTTCTTATCCTTTGCCAATTTTCTTCTCTGGTTGTCTTTTTTTCTTCTTCTTGACTTGTAGATAATTCTATACATGTCACAAATACATACATCTACTTCATGGTCTTCTTTTAACTTGTCTGTGGTATCTTTCATTTTACAGAAGTTTTAAGTGTTGATACAGTCAAAATAATGTATCTGTGGCTTTTTTTTGGTGTGCTTTGTGTCCTATTCAAAAAGGCCTTCTCTACTCCAAGTGTATAAGCCTATTATCCTATATTCCAGTCTGTACTGCATGATACTGCCACCTTTAAAGAGCCATGCAGTATGACATGTATCAAACAGAACTTTCTGAGAACAAATTTGCAAATTAAGGAATGACCTTTTATTTTATAATTGTTAATTATAAAACAGACAAAAGCAATACATTGCATCTATGCATCCAAACCACTAAAGTCCTGCTATACGGCTAGTCAAACTCAAATACTAAAAGACACGCCAGAGGCAAACAAAGCATTACACATATGCTAACATCACCTGTGACAACCAGAAAACAAGAGGTGTCTAAAGATCTTTATGTTAAGTAGAGGATGAAAAACTAAAGTCTATTTCCCTCAACCAAAAGGGGTATTGTACTGGTTAATAGCTGTGAAAAGCTGAGTGCCTTGACACTCAAAACAGTCTCTGGTCAACCATTAATCCTCCCCTCTTCCCTTCTCTTTCCTAAAACTGGTGGGTTTTTTTGTTTTTTTGTTTGTTTGTTTGTTTTATATATAGTTTTGGGATGTCAATTAAGGGTAAGTGCTTAAATCCTACTGCCTCAGTATTTCCAGCCTAAATCTCATAATAATACAGCATTTGTAGGTTGGAGTCCTGCAATTTCAAGTGCCAGAAACTACAGAATCTTTTTTATTTTAAGTCAGAGTCTCGCTGTTGTCACCCAGGCTGGAGTGTAGTGGCGTGATCGCGGCTCACTGCAACCTCCACCTCCAGGGTTCAAGCGATTCTCCTGCCTCAGCCTCCTGAGTAGGTGGGATTACAGGCGCCCGCCACCATGCTCAGCTAATTTTTGTACTTTTAGTAGAGACAGGGTTTCACCATGTTGGCCAGGCTGGTCTCAAACTCTTGACCTCAGGTGATCCGCCTGCCTTGGCCTCCCAAAGTGCTGCGATTACAGGCATAAGCCACCGCGTCCTTTTTTTTTTTAAGGAGATTTTCATAGTTCAAACTTAAAGCACTCAGCTAGCTGACCATAACAAAATGTACTTCCTGAACACCAGAGAAATCTAAAGTAGCACTTAAGTTTCCCACAGTTACAATCTAAGGGACATATGAAGAACCCAAGTAATATTTGTCATGGCAATAACTTTGCAAAAATAGTTACTAATAAAGCAGTATAGTTATCAAGTCAACGCCATAAACATTCACATAACTATTTTCCAGAAAGTATCATGGGTAAAAAAAAAATCCTGTAAATTGCTAAACATGTAGTAAATCATATGCCACTCATGTTTTCAAACAGGGAAGTAATAAAATTACAAGGTGAAAATTAATTGTGCTATAGCACGAGTTGTAGTCTTGCAGCCGGGCATGGTGATGCATGCCTATGGTCCCAGTTACTCAGGAGGCTGAGGCAGGATGATCCCTTGAGCCCAGGAGTTCAAGACCAACATAGTAGGACTCCTGTCTCTTTAAAAAAAAGAAAAAGTATAGCCTTTGGGGGCAAACCATGTATTTATCAATTATCATTAAATTTACAGATTAATATTAATTGGTAATATGCAATTTAACTATGAATATACAGAATAGTGATATTAATGCAATAAGATACTAATACAACAGCTTAATCATTTGCTTGGCATTTTACATTAAAAATATTACATAAAAATTAGTTGGCATTCACAACTGAACTAACAGTAACAGGATCTCATTTTTTCTAATGACAAAAAGATACAGAAAAGTTCTAATTTAAAGTAACTGAAAACTCACGGGCTTAGAATTCCCTGTCCTCTCTCTTGTGGTTGATGTGGCTCTGCACGAAGGTGGGGATTCTTTTTCAAATAAGAGTCTCACATGTGAAATCCCCACTAAGAACTATCTCCACATACTGTTTATGGGATATAGCTGTAATAGTGCTCAATAATCCCTTTGAGTTTCTATTTTTGTTATGAAAGTAAAGGATGCTATTGTAGATATTTATAGATACAAAAAGGCCTAGGCCAAAGTGCACAAAAACCGTATGGGGCAAATGGTTGGAACAACATAGACTAGACAGAGAGGCCCCAGTTTAGTCTACACAGAAAACTCATAACACTTAACATATCATCTAAATTAATGGTATAAAAACACCACCAAAGTACCCTATAAAAACATACTTTGGATCTGTTTTACTAGAACAACATAATTTTTGACTCATCACTTTTAGGAATGTTGCAATGTTCAGTCCTACCTTTTCTGCCAGGCCCAACTCAAATGCCACCTTCTTTGTGAACCTTTCCCTGATTCTGTCCCAGCCAGAAGTGATCTTCCCTTTTCCCAAACTCCCTAAACATCTATTTTAAATATTTCCAGTGGCACTTTCTACCTTGATACACAGTTATTTCTGTTATGCGTATGTTATCTTCTTTGTTGGATGTCCTGATCCTTAAAGATAGGCACCATGACTCATTTATCTTTTATTTCCTTTAACACTCAGGACCATTCAGTGTCTTTCACATGGTAGACATTCAAATATTTACTTAATGAACATACAAACTGTATCCACTATTTATAAACTGTGATGCTGTTCTTTATTCAACTCAACCACTTTAGGACTGTGCCTCCCAGGTGGGAAACGCTAAATATCAAAACACATTCTATTACAATGTTAGTGTTCTTACTGGAAGCCACTTTTGTCCTGTTCTCAACTACTCTTTCTGTTGCCTTTTTACTACTGTTCCTTCTCTCTATTCCAATGAGAAGGCACTTGTTCCTTCTATTGTTACTAAGAGCCTCATTATGTTCAAGGTAAAGCGAAAAAATGCATTCGATGCAATTACCAGTTCCTCACAAATTTGGGGGCTACTTGTCATTTCAACATCCAGGACTTGAATAAAAGAAAGTCCAAATTCTTTTTACTCCTAATAACTATTTTCTTTTTTTCTTTTTAGACAAAATGGAAGCACACAGCACAGGAAGCAGTCCTCAGTAAGCCACCGTTCATAAACAGCTTTGCTGAAAGCCTAACAAAGGTTCTGTTGTGCTCTTGCATGGCAGGGCCAGTAAGCAGCAGGAGCAGATGAACTCTTTAAGAAACAAAGGTTCTGTCTTCATGCAAATGTTTGCATTAATAAAAAATAAAGAAAAAGATATAGAAAATGCAGGCTAGCTGGACATAATAGGTCTCTAAATGGGAGGTTTTTCACATTTTTCAGGCGGAGTCAGCAGGTCTTTTAAAAACTTTGTCATTCTAAACATTTCACAGACATCACAAGAGAGACATGCAAATAACAGAAGCAAATCAAAAGACATCCCGCTGCTGTGCTGGCGCCTCCCTCATCCATTCCTGGTTTGTCATTTTCTGTTAACCCTAGTGCTGGCTGCTGTTTTGTTGAGGAATGGAGTCCCTAGCCCATGTAGCAGTACATGTCTAGCCAGCTGGCCCCAGCACTGATAACATTACAATGCAAGCCATGTACTACCACTCAGGGACACGTGCTGCCAGGCAACAAGTGCAATGTGTGATTTTTACACACTCCGCTTGCAAATCTGCATGGGAAAGAGCTTCTAAACTAACCACTTAATAAGATATGGTCTTCTTGAGTGTGAGCATCACTGAGTAGTTCAGAAGATGAACTTGCTGAGGACCAGTCCTTCAAAGTGAAATACGATTGACCCTTGAACAATACGGATTTCAATAGCTTGGGTCCACTTAAAAGTGAGGGTTTTTTCCAACCAAATGTAGGTCGAAACTTCAGTATTCTCAGGAAGCAAAACACACGTATAGGGAGGGTCAACTTCTCGTAGATTCGGGTTCCACAGGGCCAACTGCAGGACTTGAGTATGCACAGATTTTGGTATACTCAGAGAGCCCTGGAACTAACCCCCTGCATATACTCATGGATGACTGCATACAATAAGGGCCTTAAAGTAAATACAGAAACTTAAAAAACTCATGTGGGGAAAGGGTTACCAAATACCTATTCTGTGCCAAGCACTGTACTATGTACTCAACTTACATTGTCTCTAATTTTCACAACCACCATTTAAGGTACTTTTATCCTTATTTTATAGCAGAGGAAATTGAAGCTTAGGGAGGTTCTGTAACATGCCCAAGGTGCAGCTAATAATAGCAAGCCAAAACCCAAAACTGTACAGCAAATTCCCCACGATTCTATACATTTCTCTCATTGTGTGTGTGTGTGTACTGTGTGTGTGTGTGTGTGTGTGTGTGTGTGACTGAAACCTAGCTTACTCTGAAAATATCACAATGACTATATTCACCCACTGCAGGACCACTGAAGTGTCACTTTTTCTGTTTTTAATCATTTAAAGTCTTTATTATTCATTTTTAAGAGCAAGTGGCTTTGTTAGCTTACAATAAGAATCTGATTAAAGCTACAAATGCTTTCTCACAGAAAAACGAATATAATATGTTGCATATAATTTTAGAGCATTCAAGAACACCCTAATGCTCATCTATAGTTCCTCTGAGGGTTCATTGCCTACATGTTAGAAAACAATCACATCTCTCTTCCTAGGAGCACATAGTCCATTTTCTTTTTCTCCATCTTTTTCTCCACCACTCTCCTAAAACTCTGTAACAAACACAATGATGACCCATTAAGCCCCCTGACCTGAAAAGTCCTTGTCTTCCTCAATTTCCATTGAACACACTATTCCTCTTCACCAGGACTTAAAATCACTTAAGTCCTCCCACATCGTCCCACAGATTCTGTCCCACTGGCCTCTCTGGATTGTACTTAACTTGGAAGTAGTAGTTAGAAACTTCATTACTATTCTTACCACTGCTCCTGAATTATAAAAACTTAAGAAGTTGAAAGACTTTCAGATCATATTGTTTATCTCCATCATTTTACAGATAAAGAACTTGAAATATTTTCTTCATTTTTTCTCCTCTTGATTCAATGATTCAAAGTTCTTGGGCTTGCTCAAAGTAGCTCTAAAGTTTTCCATATTTCTGTCTATAACCATAAAGCCAACATTTCATTTGTACAAAGCAAGCAAAATCATGGCAACAACTGAATATTTTCATTTCCAAAGAGACGAGAAAAGCTAAAGTAAAAGGAGCTAAAGATACATATACATAAGAGGGTTCAAATTAAACCAATGTACCCCCTGTATTTCTAGCATTTTTCCTCTCATTTTTCTTTCCTTTTTTGCTTAATACATCTTTCAAAATTAAATGAAGTACTTTGTTTTCACATTATAAATATTTCTTTATGCAAATACTGCTGAGCTTAAAAAATGTCTCCAGAATTTTTAGTTTTCCCTGCACAAATCACTTTGTTATTGCACTATAGAAATATATTTTCTAACTTTTAAAATTTTTTTGAGAGAGGGTCATGCTCTGTCGCCCAGGCTGGAGTGCAGTGGTGTGATCATGGCTCACTGCAGCCTTGACCTCCCAGGTTCAAGCAATCCTCCTATCTCAGCCTCCTGAGCAGCTGGGATTACAAGTGTGCACCACCATGCCTGGCTAACTTTTAAATTTTTTTGTAGAGACAGGGTCTCACTATGGCTGGTGTCAAACTCCTGGGCTCAAGCAATCCTCCTGCCTCAGCCTCCCCAAAGTGCTGGGATTACAGGTGTGAGCCACTGCACCCAGACTTTTTTTTCTTTATTTTAATATTTATTTTATAAGGAAATATATTTTCTTTGGTTTCTTCCCTAATTTCTCGAATCTCCAGGTAAAAATTGGAGTATTGTGTGTGTGTGTGTGTGTGTGTGTGTGTGTGTGTGTGTGTGTGTGTTTTGAGATAGAGTCTCACTCTGTCACCCAGACTGGAATGCAGTGGCATGATCTCAGCTCACTGCAACCTCTACCTCCCAGGTTCAAGCGAGCCTCCCACCTCAGCCTCCCAAGTAGCTGGGACTACAGGTGCACACCACCACACCCAGCTAATTTTTGTTTTGTTTTGTTTTGTTTTTTGGTATAGATGGGGTTTCACCATGTTGGCCAGGCTGGTCTCAAACTCCTGATCTCAAGTGAACCACCCACCTCGGCCTCCCAAAGTGCTGGGATTACAGGTGTTAGTCACCATGCCTGGCCTGTTTCTTTTTCTTTCTTTTTTTTTTTTTTTTGAGACAGAGTCTCGCTCTTTTGCCCAGGCTGGAGTGCAATGGCAAGGTCTCTGCTCACTGCAACCTCTGCTCCCAGATTCAAGTGATTCTCCTGCCTCAGCCTCCCAAGTAGCTGGGATTACAGGCGCCTGGCACCACGCCTGGATAATTTTTGTATTTTTAGTAGAGACGGGGTTGCACCATCTTGGACAGGCTGGTCTCGAACTCTTGACCTCAAGCGATCTGCCCGCCTCGGCCTTCCAAAGTGCTGGGATTACAGGCGTGAGCCACTGCGCCAGGCCTGTTTCATTTTTGAGACAAGGTCTTGCTCTGTTGCCCACAGTGGAGTGCAGTGTGGTGCAATCATAGCTCATCGCAACCTCCACAGCTGGGCTCAAGGAATCCTCCTGCCTCAGCCCCCTGGAGTAGCTGGGACTACAGGTGTGCACCACCAAACCCAGTTTAATTTTTTGTTTTTGTTTTTTGGTAGAGACAGGGTCTTGCTATGTTGCCCAGGGTAGTCTCAAACTTCCAGCCTCAAGCAATCTTCCCACCTCAGTTTCCCAAAGCACTGGGATTACAGGTGTGAGCCACCATGACTGGCCAAAACTGCAAGTACGTTTCTAAGGAAGAAGAAGCCATTGAAGTTTGCA
Source organism: Homo sapiens (assembly GCF_000001405.40). NCBI lineage: Eukaryota > Metazoa > Chordata > Mammalia > Primates > Hominidae > Homo > Homo sapiens. Next base: position 46,973,894 of record NC_000011.10, on the reverse strand, counting down.
ACTTGAAGTCTCTGCCACAGCATTATATAAAAATATGAATGTTTTTGGTTATAAATTACCCTCTTCAACACACACAGACACACAGACACACACAGACACACACACACACACACATACACCCTCCAGTATACATACCTGGGTTCATGGTCACTGGCATAAAGATTATATTTCTCAGCTTCTCTTGTAGCTAGTCTTTAGTCATGTGACTCAGTTATAAAATGTAAGCAAAATACTGTGTGGATTTTCTAGAAAGTACTTAAATGGGACTGATTCAGTTGAGATATCCTTTATTTATCCCAATGGATAAAAAGGAGTTCCTTCAGTCCTCATGGGTCATGAGGTAAAGAATGGATTCTATGGTGAGGATGTTGGCACAGAAAAATATATGCTTGAGTCCTGATGAAACCCTGGAGTATACTCTACCAGCTGTGGACTGCCTATTTTCAGACTTGTTTTCCATGAAAGAGAAATAATCTTCTATCTTGTTTAAACCACGGTATTTTAGGTTTCTCTGTTGTATGCAGACAAACCTAACATAAAGCATCCATATATTTTCCAGAAAGTATAAATGAAGAGATCAAACTAATATATCTGGCAAGCAACCAATCAACCAAGGAGAGGGCTCCTTGGCCTATTCACAGACCTAGGTTAGCGCATGCTAGGATAGGATAGAACATTTCTTGACACTATTTTAGAATCTTAAGAGACGTACTGACATCTTCAGTGCTTACTGTGTTTTAAACAGGGTAATGACTTTCATAACTTCAACAAAAACATTTGTATTGCTCTTGAAAGTTTACCGAATACTTTCACATACATTATCTCATTGAACCTTACAACAAACCTAGGAGTCAGATAAGGCTGGGATTATTATCTCCATATTACCAGTGAAGAAACTGCCCAAGGTCACACAGTTGTTAAGTGGTAGGGCAGAAAATTGAACCTTAATCTCTTGAGTATAAATATTTTCCACTGAATCACAGAATTAGGATAGAGAAATTCAGAAAGTTTAAAATGATCATGATTGGTACTAATTAATATAATTATCATGATTGCAAACTAGACCACAAATCAATGTCTTGGTATTTCACAAACATACATGAAGATTTTTTAAAATAATTTTTCCATTTACTAACTGAGGAAACATTCTGTTCAGGTTTAGAACTGATGACAGCTCCGTCTCCTTCTCAGATCCTGCATTTTGAACTAGAGAGGAAAAGGAACAAATGAGAGGCAGCACATAAAATATGAGGTAGCAAAGGGGAAGCACAACTTCTCTCTAAGGGCCATTTCTCTTTGGACAGCTTAGGTCAGATTCTACCCTGTATAAGAAACTTCTGCAATTGCTTCCAGAAATCTCTTCAGAAAGTGTACACTGTACCGCTCAAATAGCCCAGCTCAAAAAGGAAAGAACTGACCTTCAGACTTGCTCTTAAACAGAGAATTGATCCCAGCCCTGCACTGCCATCCCACAGACAGGCACCAATGCTCAACAACCCTAGCAAGGGGGTCTCATTATATAAGACCTGGTCTCTAATCCCTGTCCTATCTCTTTGGGGTATTATGCAAGGTATTTAACCTCCAACTTAACCTCCTCACTAGATCATGGAGGAGGATATTCTACTCTCCAGGACAATTTGGAAACCTGATTAAGTGTAAGTAAATATTTTGCTTCTATAATGTTTACTATAAATAGATAAGGAGAAAAAATTACTATACTCTCTTCTACTTCTCTAAATTCATACTTTGTCTTTCCAAAACAAAATGACCCAGTAAAAAGTCTTGTTAGAGGGACCAAGTTGAAGAAAAATGTTAAACTGAGCAGAAGAATTTGAATGGTACTATAGGGAAAAGATAAAAGAAACTTTACTTTTAATTTCATTTTTTTGACATTATAAAAGGATGAAGCTGATGGCAATCTTATTAGGTCACCTAGCTTTTTTCTTTTTGAGACAAGGTCTCGCTGTGTTGCTTGCTGAAGTGCAGTGGCACAATCACGGCTCACTGCAGCCTCAACCTCCCAGGCTCTCACTATTCTCCTATCTCAGCCTCCCAAGTAGCTAGGACCACAAGTGCCACACCACCACACCTGCCTAATTTTTAAAAAGTTTTTGCAGAGACAGGGTCTCACTGTGTTGCCCAGGGTGGTCTCAAACTCCTAGGCTCAAGCGATCCTCCTGCCTTGGCCTCCCAAAGGGTTGAGATTACTGGCGTGAGCCACTGCACCCAGCAATACTTAAAAAAAAAAAATTAGAAGATCAATGTATTACTGCATTTTAAAATATTGCTTAAATACAGAATTCTTTTTGGATTATTTTCAGTTTTCTGCTTAAAATAATGTGGCTATAAATATATTTGCACAAGCAAATTTCTTTTCTCTTTTGAGTTACTTCCTTAGGGTATATTCCCAGAAGTAAGGCTCTAGGATCAAAAGATATGCTCATTTTTATGGCTCCTGTTATGTATTGTCAGATTACTTTCCAGAAAGATTACACCAGATTATATTACATCCAAGAAACGGAAGAGACCAATTTCCTTGCAGATGTCCCAATATAAAGTTCTGTGTTTTAACTAACTCAAAAGTATCTTATTTCCAGTGGTTTATTTATTGGTAAATGTGAATATTTAGTTAACTTACCTTTCTCCTTTATATATAGTTTAAAATTTTTAATTGTAAAAGCACACATCAATGAAACAGAACAATACAGGAGGGTGTGAAGTAAAAACAGGATAAGCGCCCTCTTATGCCAATTCCCCAGAGTATTCACTGCTAACAGTTTGATCTATACCTTCCATAACTTACACTACATGTGACCATATACTTGTTGACAAATGTTGCATTAACTTGTTTTGTAGAAAAGTGTAATGACACTATACATATGTACTTTATTCTACAACTCATTTTTTCACTTAATACTTCATGTACATCTTTCCATATTAACAAATCTAATTCTTTGTAATGGCTACATCGTAGTATCTATCATAGAAATACCATAATTTATTAATTGTTCCCTTATTGATGGGCATGTGGATTGATTCTAATTTTTCACCTTTATGAAGAATGTTGCACATGAACAAACTCTTAAATCATTTCCTTTGACTGCTTGACAGGACTGTAACATAAATTTGTGTCATTTATTTTCTGTACATATCATATTAAGCTTTATTCATCATATTCATCATAATCGTCCTTATTCTGTCATTTTCCTTTTATCTGTGTTATTTGTTGTACACAAATTTTAAAAACCAACATCTATTTATGCATCAATCTGCCCTTACAGATCTATATCAATTTTTATATGTAAAATTATCTCAGCCATAATTATACTTTAGTTATAAAAAATACATTAATATTTTATTAATATTTTAATTCAAACTACAATTCAATGTACCATATGGTATGAGGCATGAACCTAAATTTATTTTTGCCATATTGAAATCTAGTTATCTCAATTAATGAATTTTATTTATTTATTTATTTATTTATTTATTATTATTATAAAGTTTTAGGGTACATGTGCACAATGTGCAGGTTAGTTACATATGTATACATGTGCCATGCTTACTTTGTTACACTTAGTTTGTCACAGATTAAATAGATTTGTTCTTTGGCATCTATTTCCGGGATCTCAATTGTGTATCATTTGCTTAGTTTTAAGTTAGAAATTTACTACCAAACATTTTTTACAACTTTCTATTTAAATATAATAATATACAGAAAAATGTAAATTTATACTTATAATCAGCACCCTAGAAAACATCCTACAGCCACTGTCTAGTCCCTAACCCCTCAATGGTAAATTGTGCCTGTTTTATATATGTATGTGTGTATACATATATAAACTATCTATATAGTCTATTATAGTATGCAGTCTTTTGCCTCTGGCTTCTTTCACTCAACATTATGTTTGTGCATCCTGGCCAACATGGCGAAACCATGTCTGTACTAAAAATACAAAAAAATTAGTCGGGTGTGGTGAAGTGCACCTGTAATCCCTGCTACTTGGGAGGCTGAGGCATGAGAATCGCTTGAACCCAGGAGGCGGAGGTTGCAGTCAGCTGAGATCATGCCACTGCACTCTAGCCTGGGTGACAGAGTGAGACCCTGTCTCAAAAAAAAACATTATGTTTGTGGGGTTTATCCATATAGCTGTGGGTAACTGTTCATTAATTCTCATTGCAGCATAATATCCCATTGTTCAATCTCATTACAGAATAACAGTCCATTGTTGAATATACCACAATTTATTTATCAGTTCCACTGTTGACGGCATTTGTTTTCTTTAGTTCCAGTTTCCCATAATCTGGACCTATTATGAATAGTGCCACTACGAGCATTCTAGTATGAGTTTTTTGGTAAACATATGTCCACACTTCCCTTGTTTCTGTGCCTAGAAGTGAATAACTGGGTCACAGGGTATACATAGGTTCAGCTTTATATACTGCCAAACAATTTTCCAAAATATATCATTTCATATTCTCATCAGCAAACAATTATAAAAGCTTTTACCATTTATAATGTTTCTATATCCATCTTCTGTTATATAAAACTGCATCTTTTTATTTTGCATACTTTAATCAGAACAATGTAAACAAAAAAACTCAATACACAATGTCCAACCCTGTTGTCAAATGCAGGAGGGGCGGGGGCTTCAGGCCCTTGTATTCTGCCTTACACATAAGGACAGAAGAGAAAGAAAAAAAACCCCACTGTATTAGCAAAGTGAGCCAGGTAGAACAAGGCCACTCAGTGTTGCCGTGGGAGTCATGGGGACCTATATTCATCTTTTTAAAAAAAATGTTCAGATCTGGTCTTTCTGTAAGACAAGAATATCCAATAGTATAAAAACGAACAGTGGTTCTAGAGGATTCTAGAGGCCTAAGAACAGTGTTTCTTTTTCTTATTTTTCAAGAAATATAACCCTAATGCTTCTCTTGGTTGTAAATGAAGACATTAACAAAAGTTAGAAACACTCTTTTTTTTATTATTATTATTGAGACAGAATCTCACTCTGTTGCCCAGGCTGGAATGCAGTGGCACGATCTCGGCTCACTGCAACCTCCGCCCCCCGGGTTCAAGCGATTCTCCTGCCTCAGCCTCCTGAGTAGCTGGGATTACAGGCACACACCATCACACCCGGCTAATTTTTGTATTTTTAGTAGAGACGGGGTGTCACCATGTTGGTCAGGCTGGTCTCGAACTCCTGACCTCGTGATCCACCTGCCTCAGCCGCCCAAAGTGCTGGGATTACAGCTGTGAGCCACTGCGCCCAGCAGAAACACTCTATTTTTAATTGTTCGGGGGGGTGATCAAGATTAGATACTAAAAAAAATTAGATAATTTTATCAAAAGGCTTTGAATGTCTACTAATGTGCTCCTATGGGTAATTCCAGTTATCATTTTCTTATAAATAATATTATAGATAAGACTGGTCTATTTCTGGGATAAACATATATATGTATATATATTTATTTTAATAATATATTAAATATATTATTTAAATATATTAAATATTATATATAATTATATATTATATATATTAATTAAATATATATATATTTATGCCATTTGCTAGAATTGTATTGAGGGATGTTTACATTTTTGCTTGTATCTTAAAATAGTGTTAAATAAAATTTATAGAAGGCCTTTGATTTCAACTGAGTTCCTGCGCTAGGCCCCAGTAGACTAAACCAAAATGGAGTCACTCAGGCTAAAGCTCCAGGTCACCAAACTAAAACTAAGTCAGTTATCTGACCTTCTGAGAAGTCAAGAGAGATAACAGCCAAATCTCCAAATGGGCCAGTTTCAGCCAGCATGAAAAGAAGTCTCCTCTGTTCTGACCCTACAAGGAAAGTAACTTCAAAACAACCAATCTGCTTCAGTTTCTTGTTTCTGCTTTCTTCCGCCCTTCCCTACCTATAAAGCCAATCTCCTCCACTCAGCTCACCGGAGCCCCTTTTCTAAATTTTTAGAGGAGATACTGCCCTGTTCATGAATCATTAATAAAAGTTAATTTGATATTTGAACTAAATTTGTTGAAATGTTGTCTCGATAATAATATAGTTAATAATAATATATAATAATATAGTTATAAATAATAATATAGTTTCCTATTTTAAGATTATTTTTTGCCAGGATTAAGGATAAATCCAATATTTACCTCATTAAATATACCCAAAATTACTAAGATTAGCTAATATTTATGGAGTTCTTCCTATGTGCCGGGCACAGTTGTAAGAGTTTTATTCATTTAATCCTCCTAAGAGTCTAATATTATTCTTCATTTTACAAATCTGGAAACTAAGCACAGAGAAGACAAGTAACCTGCCCAAGATCACATAGCTATGAAGAAACATGAAATAGCGAAAACAACTTTGAAAAAGAAAAACTAAGTTGGAGGACTTACTCTACCTGATTTTAAGATTTATGGTAAAGCTACAGTCATTAAGACAGTGTGATATTAGCATAAAGATACATATATACAATGATGGAATATAAGAATCTAGAAATATGCACATACATGGCCAATTCATTTTCAACAAGGTGGCAAGGCAATTCATTGGAGAAAATATAATCTTTTTAATAAATGGTGCTGGAATACTTCGATATTCATATACAACTCATATACAAAAAAATGAACCTTTCCTCACACCATTAGAAAAATTAACTCATTAACTCAGAATGGGCCATAGACCTAAATGTAAGAGCTAAAACTATAAAACTTCCAGAAGAAAATATAGGAGATAATCTTAGTGACCCTGGGTTAGGTAAAAATTTCCTAAATATGACATAAAATATATGAGCTATTAAAGAAAAAATTTGATGTTACACTTTATCAAAATTTTAAATGTTTGCTCTTCAAAAGACACCATAGAGTCTGTCTCTCCCAGCCATATAAGGTCACCCCGAGAAGGCAAAAATCTGGAAGGGAAGGGAGCCCTCACCAGGAGCCAAATTGGCCAGCACCTTGATCTTGGACTTCTGAGCCTCCAGAACTGCGAGAAAACAGTTGTTTAAGCCACCCCAGTTTGCATATTTTGTTATGACAGCCCAAGCTGACTAATACAGCCAGTTTCACTTACAAATATTCTTGAAGATACAGTAAATATTAATTTCATTAAATCTTACCCCTTGCCCCATAAGTACATGCCTTTTTAATATTCTATGTACAAACTAGAAAGTATGCATAAAAAATTTCTGCAAAAGCATGAAAGTTGTCTTAAAGAAAAGCACTGGAAGATTATTTGACATGCAAGCTCAACTAGCTGTTTTTTTTTTATAAAACACCATTTTTACTTGAAAGAACTAATGCACAAATCCTGGTTGTTCAGACTTGGGTATTTGGCAGAAATTTTCTCAAAAATGAACAAAATGAGCCTGTTACTTCAAGGAAAACAAGTGATAGTATTTGTTATCAGTGATAAAAAGTCAAGCTTTCACATGAAAAATTAAAATTTTGGAAAACTCTACATCTGTGCAGTATGGGAAAAAAAGGAGGAAAACATACTTCATCCATGAGCCTGAGAGCTTCTCGATTCTTAAAGACTTTTCTGGGCCAGGCGCGGTGGCTCACGCCTGTAATCCCAACACTTTGGGAGGCCGAGGCAGGCAGATCACGAGGTCAAGAGATCGAGACCATCCTGGCCAACATGGTGAAACCCCGTCTCTACTAAAAATACAAAAATTAGCTGGGCATGGTGGCGCACGTCTGTAGTCCCAGCTACTTGGGAGGCTGAGGCAGGAGAATCACTTGAACCCGGGAGGTAGAGGTTGCAGTGAGCCAAGATCACGCCACTGAACTCCAGCCTGGTGACACAGCAAGATTCCATCTCAAACAAACAAACAAAAAAAAGACTTTTCTGATAAGATCTGTGGTGATATTAATGAACGTGATCTTTTGATACTGTATCATGAAATACACATTTGGAAGACCTGCTATACTTAAGTGAAGCACCATTTTCTGCATAAATCATACGAGGGTAAAATGTCCTTTCGTAGTGCACATAGACCTGTGAACTTTAATATAAAAGACTCTGAAAAGTTCACTGATGTAGTTTTAGATTTCACAATGCAACTAACCTGTAAGAAACTACTATTTCTCTAGTTTTGGTGAAATAAATACCTGAAAAGGCAATTTAAAATATTCCTGTTTTTTGAACTACGTATCTGTGTAAGGATAGACTTCCTTCATATTCTTCAACTAAAGCAACATTTTGTAACAGTCTGAATGCAAAAGCAAATATGAGAATTCATCTGTCTTCTATTACTAAGCTAGAGATTAAAAAGATATGCAAAAGTGTAAAACAATGCTACTATTGTCACTAATTATTTTGGTTTTTAGAAAATATTTTTAATAAAAATGCTCTTTAGGCCAGGCACGGTGGCTCATGCCTGTAATCCTAACACTTTGGGAGGCCCAGGCGGGCAGATCACTTTAGGTCAGGAGTTCAAGACCAGCCTGACCAACATGGCAAAACCCCATCTCTACTAAAAATACAAAAATTAGCTGGGCGTGGTGGTGCATGCCTGTAATCCCAGCTACTCAGGAGGCTGAGGAAGAAGAATCGCTTGAACCCGGGAGGAGGAGGTAGAGTTACCCGAGATTGCACCACTGCATTCCAGCCCGAGCGACAGAGCCAGACTCTGTCTCCAAAAAAAAATAAAAAAAAAAAAGCTGTTTGTGTTAATATGCTATAGGCTGATTATTGTTATTTTAAATGAATTAATGTTTAAATTTTCTGTTTTAAATTCAAATATAGTAACATTTTGAAAGTATTTTGAAAGTAGTCCACTTGTCCCATAGAACTGATGTTTATGGTTTCTTTGAATAAACATAGAAATCGACCCCCCCAGTCTTAAAATTTGTGCACTCACCTGTCATGATTACCTGTCCAACCATCTGCTTCCTACTAACCAATTCCTTTTCCTTAGCCCTCCCTAATTCCTGTTTTCCCACACATGGTTACGTTTCTTCCCTGCTATAGAAACCCCCAATTTTAGTCAGTCCCGGGAGATGAATTTGGGACTGATCTCCCATGTCCTCAGCTTCAGCACCCGATTAAAGCCTTGTTCCCTGGCAATACTCGTAGTCTCAGTGATCAGCTTTCTGAGGGGCAAGCAATGGGACCTATACCAAACCCCTAGAGTTTCAGTAACAATTTGATAGATATATCCTACCTAAAGCTCAATGAAATCCTCAATTATTTTTAAAAGTGTAAAGAGATCCTGAAACCAAAAAGTTTGAGAATTACAGTTCTAAGTAAACAAAACAGTCCGTATTAAGGCCCAGAGATAAGAGAAAGCACTGTGGGCCAGGCGCGGTGGCTCACGCCTGTAATCCCAGCACTCTGGGGGGCCGAGGCGGGCGGATCACGAGGTCAGGAGATCAAGACCATCCTGGCTAACACAGTGAAACCCCGTCTCTACTAAAAATACAAAATATTAGTCAGGCGTGGAGGCGGGCGCCTATAGTCCCAGCTACTCGGGAGGCTAAGGCAGGAGAATGGCGTGAACCCGGGAGGCGGAGCTTCCAGTGAGCCGAAATCGCGTCACTGCACTCCAGCCTGGGTGACAGAGCGAGACTCCATTTCAAAAAAAAAAAAAAGAGAGAGAGAGAGAAGACACTGTGAATTCTGGAACTGTACATTGTTCAGCATAGCTAGAGAAAACAGTTTGATGGAAGAATTGTGCTAGACGGAGGGAAAAAAGCTGCCATATCACAAGGTTTGTATGCCATGCTAACATGGGGAGTTAGTGAAAGATTTTAACCAGATCCAGTTTAGGTTTTAGAAAGATAGCTCTGATAGAAATAAAGAGAAAGAATTGAAGGTAACGAGACCAGATAGAAAACTGCTGAGTCATCGAATAAAAACCTATACTTTTCCTTTTTCTTTGAGGGATAATAGGTTGTTATTTATTATTTTAATTATACATTTAAAAATAATGAATTAGGTGTTTTAGCATGATCAAGCAGTTATCTTTTCTAAATTTCCAAATTTCTTAAACTATGGTCTAGCTATGGTCTAGTAATTGGTCATAGCTAGTTGGTCTAGCTATGACCAACTTCAAACAAACTACATTAGTTTCTAATATCTTTTTTTTTTTTTTTTGATACAGAGTCTCACTCTGTTGCCCAGGATGGAGTGCAATGGCGTGATCTCAGCTCACTGCAACCTTTATCTCCAGGGTTCAAACGATTCTCATGCCTCAGCCTCCGGAGTAGCTGGGATTACAGGTGTGTGCACCACACCCAGCTAATTTTTTTTGTATTTTTAGTATAGACGGGTTTCACCATGTTGGCCAGGCTGGTCTCGAACTCCTGGCCTCATATGGTCTGCCCATCCAGGCCTTCTCGCGCCCGGCCCCTAATATCTTTTTTAAAATCTCTTTGTATCTTGCAGTTAAATGTATCAGCTTAAATGTGTTTTCTTTTTTTCCCTCCAAAACCTCTGCTAAAATATCACTGAAGGGATTTTAAAAAGACTTAAACCCTACTACTTGATCATCTCAATAGATGTGGAAAAACTACTTGACAAAGTCTAACATCCTTTCATGAAAAAAAAAAAAAAAGCTAAAACTAAAACTAAACAAACTAGGAATAAAAGGGAACTTCCTCAACCTGATAAAGAATATCTACAAAACTCCCCCAGTTAACATTGTACTTGATGGCAAAAGACAAAATGTGCTTTCCTCCTATCAGTAACAACACAAAGATGTCCACTTTTGCCAATTCTACTCAATATTCTACTGCAGGTTCTAACCAGCACAATTAGGCAAGAAAAAAAAAATAAAAGCATCCAGATTGGAAAGGATGACGTAAAATGATCTCTACTTGGAGATGACATTATCTGGTATAAAAAATCCTAAGAAATCTAAGAAACTATTAGAGCTAATATACTAGTTCAGCAATGTTGAAAGATACAAGATCATTTTTCCTTTTTGGACAGGGTCTCACTCCCGTTGCCCAGGCTGGAGTGCAGTAATGTGAACACGGCTCCCTGCAGCCTCAGCTTCCTAGGTTCAGGTGATTCTCCCACCTTAGCTTCCTGAATAGCTGGGACTACAGGTGAGCACCATCAAGCCCAGGTAATTTTTTGTATTTTTAGTAGAGATGGGGTTTCGCCATGTTGCCCAGGCTGGCACTATATTTCTATATATGAGCAATGAACAATTCAAAGGTGAAATAGAGAAAACAGTGCTAACTATGATAATATAAAAATGAAATACTTAAGAACACATTTAACAAAGAAGTATAAGACTTATACAATGAAAACTATAGAACATTGTTGAAAGAAATTAAAGGCCTAAATAATAGGAAAGACACTCCATGTTCGTAGGTTGTTAGACTTAATATTGTTAAATGGCACACTCCACAAACTGACCTACAATATCAATACAATCCCTATCAAAATCCCAGCTGGCTTTTTGGAGAGAAACTGACAAGCTGATCCTAAAATTCATAAGGAAATGCAAAAGACCCAGAATAACCAAAACAATCTCGAAAAAGAAGAACAAATTTGTAGGATTCACATTCCCAATTTCAAAACTTATTCAAAGCTACAGTAACCAAGACTGTGTGGTACTGGCATAAGGCAGACATAGAAACCAATGAAATATAATTGAGAGTCTATAAATAAACCCTTATATTTTATAGCAAATTGATTTTTGACGTAAGTGCCTGATATGGCTTGGCTGTGTCCCCACCCAAATCTCATCTTGAACTGTAGTTCCCATAATCCCCACGTGTCATGGAAGGGACCCAGTGGGGTAACTGAATCATGGGGGTGATTACCTCCATGCTGTTCTTGTGATAGTGAGAGACTTCTCACAAGATCTGATGGTTTTATAAGGGACTTTTCCCCCTTTTGCTCAGCACTTCTCCTTGCTCCTATCATGTGAAGGACGTGTTTGCTTCCTCTTCTGCCATGATTGTAAACTTCCTGAGGCCTCCCCAGCCATGCTGAACTGTGAATCAATTAAACCTTTTTCCTTTATAAATTATCCAGTCTTGGGTATGTCTTTATTAGCAGTGTGAGAATGGACTAATACAGTGCCAAAAACACTCAATGGGGAAAGAACAGTCTTTTTTTTAAATGGTGCTGGGACAACTGGATACTCATATGTAAAAAAATGATTTTTGACTCCTACCTCAAGCCATTTTAAAATGGATCAAAAACCTAAATGTAAAAGCTAATACTATAAAACTCTTAGAATAAAAAATAGGTACAAAGTTTTGTGAACTTGGTTTAGGTAACCATTTCTTAGATATAACACCTAAAGCATAAATATCCAAAGAAAAAATAAATTGGACTTCATCAAAATTAAAAACTGTACTCCAAAGGACACTACCAAGAAAGTAAAAAGACAACCCACAAGATGGGAGAAAATATTTGCAAATCATATATCTATAAGGGTCTAGTATCCAGAATATGTAAAGACTGTTACAATTCAACAGTCCAGATCTAAACTGCCATCTTAACCTCAACCCAATTAAAAAGAGGCAAAAGATTTGAGTAGACATTTCTCCAAGAAGACAAACCCTTGGCCAAAAACACATGAAAAGACACTCAACATCATTAATCATTAGGGAAATGCAAAACAAACCCACAATGAGATACTACTTCACATGCACTAGGATGGCTATAATAAAAAAGGCAACAACAACAAGTGTTGGAAAGGATATGGAGAAATTAGAACCCTCATATACTGCTGGTGGGTAAAATGGAGCAGCTGCTTTGAAAAAGTTTGGCAATCCTTTAAAAAGTTAAACATAGAGTTACCAAATGACCTAGAAATTCCACGCCTAGGTATATGCTTAAAAGAAATGAAAAAAGGTGTTCGAACAAAAACTTGTATACAGATGTTCACAGCAGTATTTTCATAAAATCCAAGTAGTGAAAATAATCCAAAGGTCCATCAAGTGATGAATGAATAAACAAAATGTGATGTACCCATACAATCAAACATTATTTAGCCACAACAGGAATGAAGTGCTGAAATACCCTACAACAATTGATGAATCTTTTTTTTTTTCTTTTTTTTGAGACAGAGTTTCGCTCTTGTTGCCCAGGCTGGAGTGCAGTGGCACGATCTTGGCTCACTGCAACCTCTGCCTACTGGATTCAAGCAGTTCTCCTGCCTCAGACTCCTGAGTTGCTGAGATTACAGGCACCCGCCACCATGCCTGGCTAATTTTTTGTATTTTTAGTAGAGACGGGGTTTCACCATGTTGGCCAGGCTGGTCTCGAACTCCTGACCTCAGGTCATTTACCCACCTCGGCCTCCCAAAGTGCTGGGTTAGCCACCGCGCCCAGCAAACATCGATGAATCTTAAAAACATTATGCTAAGTGAAAGAAGCCAGACACAATAAACCCCATATTGTATAATAATTATCATTTGTATGCAATATCTAGAATAAGCAAATTCATAGAGACAAAAATTAGATTAGTGGTTGCCAGGGGTTGCGGGGAAAGTAAAATGGGAGTGGCTGCTAATTGGTATGAAGTTTCTTTATGGGTTGATAAAAATGTTCTGCAATTATATCATGGTGGTAGTTACATAACCTTGTGAGTACACTAAAAAATGCCAGGCATTGTGGCGTCATGCATAGTATACTAAAAAATCTCACCTACACAGGAAACTGAGGCAAGAGAATCACTTGAGCCCAGGAGTTCAAGATCAGCCTGGGCAATATATTGAGACTCTGTGTCTTTCAAAAAATTATTTAGGCCCAGTGCAGTGGCTCACGCCTATAATCCCAGCACTTTGGAAAGCCAAGTTAGGCAGATTGCCTGAAGTTGGGTGTTCGAGACCAGCCTGGCCAGCATGGTGAAACGCTGTCTCTACTAAAAATACAAAAATTAGCCAGGTATGGTGGCATGTGCCTGTAATCCCAGCTACTCGGGAAGCTAAGGCAGAAGAATTGCTTGAACCTGGGAGGTGGAGGTTGCAGTGAGCCGAAATCGCACCATTGCATTCCAGCCTGGGTTACAGAGAAAGACTCCATCTCAAAAAAAAAAAAAAAAAAATTATTTAAACCCCACTGAATTGGTGTGCTAAGCATATCTAAATAAAAGAAGACATAGATTTATAAAAATAGAGTTGAAGTTAAGATGGCAGCAGATAAGAAATGTTAAAAATTTTGGAAAATGGAAATTAGACACACAACTTATTGTATGAACAGAAAAAAAGCTAAAACTTAAGTGGCTATACTGAGAAAAGAGAACAAAAAACAAGCACACCCTCTTATACAACATCAGAAAGGCTTAGGAACAGTAGGTATCAGGCACCTCTAAAGCCGTGGGAGTAAGTAAAGGTAAAAATGGAAAATTGGGTTAAAAGTCTACATAAGAAGCAGTTATATTTCTAGATCCTCTTCCCAACCTTACATAGTAAAGTTACTACTCCTCCTCCACCCAGGTTTAAAATTAAAGGTTTATTCTCTATTGAGAAGTTGAATCAGAAGGATGTTGAACTTGGGAACACCAAGAATAGTTTGAAGACAGAGGTGCCCTACTAAAAACAGGAATATTACATAAAACTCTATATATTGATCTGTAAGACCCTTTCCTAAACAAGTAGCTTCAAAAACTTGAGAAAAGTCTGTATATGAAAAACACATTTAAAAACTAGAAAAAAAGAACTCAGGAGAAAAAGAAAATGTAGACGACATTCACATGCAAAAAAAAAAACCAATAAAACAACAACAAAAAAGAAACTCTACAATTAATATTCTCAGAAAGGCAAGATTAAATCTTATATTTAGGAATTCAACAAACTTTTTTAAATGGAGTAGAAATTTAAATCATCAAATCTACCATAATTGAATTTTTTTATGTCAACTTGATTGGGCTAAGGGATGCCCAGATAGCTGGTAAAACATCATTTCTGGTTGTGTTTGTGATAGACTTTCTGGCAGAGACTAGCATTTGAATGAGTAGATTGAATAAAGAAGATTCACCTTCACCAATGTGGGTGGGCACCATCTAACCCAATGAGGGCCCACGCAGAACAAAAGGCAGAGGGGAAAGGCAAATTCTCCCTCTCATCTTGCCCTGGGACACCAAGGCTTCTGGTTCTCAGGCTTTCAGACTCTGGAACTTATACCAGCACACTGCTCCTCCTCACCCTACCTTCTCAAGCCTATGAACTCAGACGGAACTACACCACTGGCTTTCCTGGTTCTCTACCTTGCAGGCACAAATGGTGGGACTTCTCAGCCTCCATAGTCATGTCAGCCAATTCCCATAATAAATCTATACAGCTGACCCTTTAACAAAGTGGGGCCTGGGTATAGTGGCTCACACTTGTAACCCCAGCACATTGGGACTTCAAGGAGGGAGGAATGCTTGAACCCAGGAGTTCAAGACCAGCCTGGACAATATAGCGAGACTCTATCTCTATAAAAAGAAAAGAAAAAATATCCACATATAACTTTGGACTCCCCCAAAACATAACTATTAATAGCCAATATTTGACTGACAGCGTTACCAATAACATAAACAGTCAATTAGCACATATTTTGTATATGTATTATATACTGTATTCTTACAATAAAGTAAGCTAGGGAAAAGAAAATGTTAAGAAAATTATGGGGCCAGGCGTGGTGGCTCATGCCTGTAATCCCAACACTGTGGGAGGCCAAGGCAGGAGAATCACTTGAAGCCAGGAGTTCAAGACCAGCCTGGACAACAAAGCAAGATCCCATCTCTACAATAATAATAATTTAAAATTTAAAAAAAAGAAAATCACAAGGAGAAAATATATTTACTATTCATTAAGTGGAAGTAGATCATTCATTATAAAGGTCTTCATCGTTGTTTTCACACTGAATAGGCTGAGGAGGTAGAAATGGAGGGGGTTGATCTTACTGTCTCAGAGGTGGCAAAGAAAATCTGTGTATAAGTGGATCACACAATTCAAATCCATGTTGTTCAAGGGTCAGCTGTATATCTATATAGCTATGTATCTAGGTCTTTACATATCCTATTAGTTCAGTTTTTCTGGGGAACTCTGGCTAATACAATAGATATTTTTGATATTCAACAAAAGGATTGGAAAGGTTAAGGATATTCATATAACATACAAAAATCAAAAAAGACAGAAAAGAGAAAACAAGAAAAATTAGAGCATAAATCCATAAGTCCAATGTCTAAGTAACAACAGTTCCAGAGATAGAACAGAGATGAGACAATATTAAACACATAATTCAAGAAAACTTCTCAGAACTGATATACATGAATTTCTACACTGAAAGGATCTCAAGACAATGAAAGAAGATCCACACCAATGTAAAACTACATGAAATATCACAAATCAGAATGGCATTAGATCACTCAATAGCAATACAGAAAGCTAAAAGATAGGGGAGAAATGCTTTAAAAATTCTAAGGGAAAATTATCTCCAACACAGAATTTTATATGTATCTAAACTATCAATCAAGGGTAAGGGTAGTATAAAGTCATTTTCATAAACAGAAGATTCCCTAAAATATTACTTTGCATGCACCCTTTCTCAGAAAGCTACTAGAGGATGCAATCTAATAAAAAGAAGGAACATGTAAGGAAAAAGGAAGACATAGGCTTTAGGAAATATGCACTAAAACTTACTTAAGCAAGACAAGTAATATCCATGTAAGGATGAAGAATGAAGTAATACCCATGATAAAGATGAAGGATTTAGAGAGCAACCAGGCCAGACTGAAGCAGGGGGACCAGTTAGATGAAGAAGTACTTCAGAAAAGTTACCTTGAAGAAAAGAAATTGAAACTGAGAGGATGCCTGATGTGTTTGAACTGACCTTAGGCTATAAAGTCTGGGGCACAAGTTCATCGAAAACCATGCACAAAAGGAAAGGCAATTATTAATTGCAGGAAAATGAAAAAAAATGTTCAAAAAGGAGAAATGTAATCATAGTATACTATATTATATATATTTTACATATATATGTTGTATACTGTGTGTATATATATATACATATATACTATGTATACGTGCATACATATGTATAATTTTCACAGTCATAATAAACACTGAATATTGATTTAACCAAAAATTATAATAATTTTGTTGGAAGACTAGGAAGAAGGGAAATTGAGTAGTATAAGAGACCTAAATCCTCATCTTCTATAATATAAAGTCATTAAATAATATCTAAAACTGAAAAATCAAGAAGAGCAATTTAAGCATGTTATTTTAAAGTACACAGCAAAAAAAAATTGTTTTTAATGCTGAAAAATTTGAAAATGGCCTCCTCGAAAAAGGGGGTTTCGTTTACATGCTGTGAGATCACCGCAAACCTACCTCACTGTGTTGAAACGGGACAAATACAATAGAACGCATTGGGTGGTGTGTGTCTGATCCTGGGTTCTTGTCTCCCCTAAATGCTGCCCCCCAAGTTACTGTATTTGTCTGGGCTTTGTAGGACTTCACTAAGTTGATTGCTAGGTGGCCTAGTTTGTGTAAATATAATGTATTGGTCTTCCTCCGTGTTCTTTGGGGGTTTTGTTTACAAAGTTCTTTTTGTATTGAGAGAAAAATAGCCAAAGCATCTTTGACAGAAGTTTCTGCACCAGGCAAAAAGATCTGAAACATTAGTTTGGGGGGCCCGCTTCTTAAAGTGGGGATCTTGAACCATCCTTTCTTTTGTATTCCCCTTCCCCTATTACCTATTAGACCAGATCTTCTGTCCTAAAAACTTGTCTTCTACCCTGCCCTCTTTTCTGTTCACCCCCAAAAGAAAACTTACACACCCACACACATACACATTTAATGCTTGGAGTGTCTCCACAACTCTTAAATGATGTATGCAAAAATCCTGAAGCTAGGAAAACCCTCCATCCCTTGTTCCCAACCTCCTAAGTCAAGACCATTACCATTTCTTTCTTTTTTTGGTGGGGGGGGGGGGGTGGATGGAGTCTCGCTCTGTCGCCCAGGCTGGAGTGCAGTGGCATGATCGGCTCACTGCAGCCTCTGCCTCTTGGGTTCGGGCGATTCTCCTGCCTCAGCCTCCTGAGTAGCTGGGATTTCAGGCACCCGCCGCGCCCAGCTAATTTTTTTATTTTTAGTAGAGACGGGGTTTCACCGTGTTGTCCAGGCTGGTCTGGAACTCCTGACCTCAGGTGATCTGCCCACCTTGGCTTCCCAGGGTACTAGGATTGCAGGCATGAGCCACCACGCTAGGCCGACCATTTCTTCATGTATTCATGCCAAACACTTAAGACACTGCTGTAGCCTGGGCGCAGTGGCTCACACCTGTAGTCCCAGCACTTTGGAAGGCTGAGGCGGGCGAATCACAAGGTCAGGAGTTCAAAACCATCCTGGCCAACACGGTGAAACCCCGTCTCTGCTGAAATACAAAAAAATTAGCCAGGTGTGGTGGCGCATACCTGTGGTCCCGGCTATTCAGGAGGCTGAGGCGGGGGAATCGCTTTAACCTGGAAGGCGGAGGTTGCAGTGAGCTGAGATCGCACCACTGCACTCCAGCCTGGTTACAGAGCAAGACCCTGTCTCGAAAAAAAAAAAACAAAAAAACAACAAAAAAAAAACCACACTACTGTATTTTGGATGGATCAAACCTACTTACTTTTAATTTCTAATCCTAAAGTAAAGAGATGCAATTGGGGGCCTTCCATGTAGAAAGTGGGGTCAGGAGGCCAAGAAAGGGAATATGAATGTATATCCAAGTCACTCAGGAACTTTTATGCAGGTGGTAGAAACTTATGTCAAAGTGGCCACAAGATTGTTTAATAGGAGATGAATGAATGTAACTCCATGTTTACTGCTAGAAACCAAAGCTTTGTGTAAAATCTTGAATTTATGGGGAGGGAGGGTAGGAAAGCCTGTACCTGTCTGTTTTTTTCCTGATCCTTTTCCCTCATTCCTGAACTGCAGGAGACTGAGCCCCTTTGGGCTTTGGTGACCCCATCACTGGGGTGTGTTTATTTGACGGTTGATTTTGCTGTACTGGGTACTTCCTTTCCCATTTTCTCATCAT
Source organism: Homo sapiens (assembly GCF_000001405.40). NCBI lineage: Eukaryota > Metazoa > Chordata > Mammalia > Primates > Hominidae > Homo > Homo sapiens. The sequence goes on along the minus strand of NC_000011.10, from coordinate 46,954,898 downwards.
TTTTTAACACATGCTGACTCTTCCCTTCCCTTCTCCTTTCCCTGGGAAAATACAATGAATAAATAAAGACTTACTGGTACTCAAAAAAAAAAAAAAGAAAGAAAATGGCCTCCTCTGAGGAGTGAGACTTCGGGGTGAGAAGGTTATGGTGTAGGGTACTGCTTTTTTTTGTTATAACTCTTATAGACCCATTTGATTTTTAAAATTCTGTAGTTAAGAAACATAAACATCAAAAACTTTAAATCCAGCAATTCTTTGAACTTTCTTCAATGGAAGAAGTGGAATTTTGCGCTCTCTGGATTCTCCCTCTTCTTTTTTATTTTATTTTTTATTTATTTATTTATTTTTTCAAAACAGAGTCTCACTGTGTCGCCCAGGCTGAAGTGCAGTGGTACGATCTCGGCTCACTGCCACCTCTGCCTCCAGGGTTCAAGCGATTCTCCTGCCTCAGCCTCCAGGGTAGCCGGAATTATAGGCACCTGCCACCATACCCAACCAAATTTTGTATTTTTAGTAGAAATGGGGTTTCACCACATTGGCCAGGCTGGTCTCGAACTCCTGACCTCAAGTGATCCACCAGCCTCAGCCTCCCAACGTGCTAGGATTATAGGCATAAGCTACTGCATCCAGCCGAATCCTCCCTCTTCTTATGCATTATTTGTGACATCATGTTTTCCTAAAAGAGTTTTTCAACTGTTTCTTCTAATTATTATTTTGTAATGCTTTTGTATTTTTTCTTTTACCAATTCCCATAGTCAACTTTGCTCCTGTTAGCATTCTTAGTTACTTCTTTTTTTAAAATGATTTATGCAGCCTTACTTCACATGCTTTAATGTAGCTCAGAATACTTGTACTTGGCCCTAGTCGAGCTATCTTTCTTCTTTCCCCCAGTAGCTAATACAAACTTTCTTTGCTCTCCTCAAGCCTTTTACTTCTGCTTCCCTAACTCTAAGAAGATAATCTTGATTCTTACTTCAGACAAAGAAGAGGTCATCAGGTAAAGAACACCAATTTCTAGCTCCATTTCTAAGTTTAACCATGTCCTTCATCACCCTTACTTCCCACCTCTGTTGTTCAAATTTAATTACGCCATGTGAAGCGGTTTTAAGATCACCTTAAGACCTGATTTCTCACTTGGGAATTCTTCCTAATTGAGAAAATTCTTACTTATGAATTGCTTTCAAATATGGCAAAATGTCTGTCAATATTACATGTAATAATGAAAGTTGACATTATATTGTTTTATACATATATAATAAAACATATATCCATACTTTAGGGTTGATAAATTTTTTTTTAGGTCTCAAATATTTTCAAAGATCCCATAACAGTTTGTTGGTTAGGCACCACACAAACAGTGCCTTCTGGATAAATATGGTCCTGACTCCCAACTTCAAAATAGCCTTGCACCTCTGCCTTTGATCCTAAATTTCCTCGTACTTCTAAAAATGTTCCATCAAGTATTCATCATCCTTTCCTTCCCTTGGATCTTCCCTCTCTCCCTGTACAATGGTTCCTTTCCCTTCAGCCTAAAAACATACTCAAGTTTCTCCCATCTAAAAACTAAAAACAATAAACTCTCTCTTCCTCCTCTTGCTATCACCCCCTCTCCTCCTTTCCCTAATTGGTCAAACTTCTTGAAACGAATCTAGCCTATTCTCAACGCCTTCACCCTCCGATTTACTCTTCAATCCAGCAAAATCAGGCATCTTGCCACACTACTCCATGAAAACCTCCCTTAATGCCACTAACAACCTGCCTTGCAGCCCGTATCTTCTTTGACCTCTCTGAGGCATCTGGTATCATTGAACACTTCCTCCATCTTGAAACTCTCCACCCCCACGTCCCCAGTGTCTGTGGCACTGCCTTTTTCTCACTCTCCTCCTAAATCTCTTACAAATCACTCTCCAGTCTAGGAAGATAAATATCTTTCTTTATTGTAAAACTAGCTCTCTGGAAACAAGATTTTGGTTTCTACAATGGGTCTCTAACTCTCAATAGAAAAATAAAATTATTTAGCAGCAAAGTTACCTCCAACGCCCAGCAACAAACCAATTATAAAGAACTAAAAATTCTAAAATTACATGTTCTCACTAAGGTGAACGACTCACTAGAGTATAGAGAGGAACTATTCTGATTATTGGAAATGTTTACAAAGGACAGGAAGTGACACAGAGAAATGACAGGCAACATAAAGTTAAGAAAGAAAATAATAACCATTGTAAAAAGGGAGCAACTGAACTCAGAGACAGGGACCAAGGATAAAATAACTTTGTACTTCAAGAGGTAGAGGACAAAAACCAAATACTGACCAGCACATCTATGCTTCACCTGTGAATAAGGGCAAGCAGCTACCAACAATACAACTTGCCTTGAGTAGGGTAGATGTCTCCACCGCATATACTAGGTATGACAGATTTTTGTTTGTGTACCACCAAAAATACACTGCCATTCTTCTTGCACACGACTGTCCATTAGACTAAAATTCCCTGCCTCGTTGGCAGTTAGCAGGGACCTTATTAAGTTCTCACCTATGAAATGTGAGCACAAGTGATGTTTGCATCTTCGGCTTCACTTGCCTAAAAGGTCCTTGCCCTGGATTCACTGTTTCCCCTTTTACTGGCTGAAAATGGCTACAATTGAGGCAGCTTTGGAAACCATGTGTTTCAGACAGAATGACTGCTCTGCTAGCTGAAATCCAATGATGACTTCCTAAAGCAGACCCTGCCTTTCACATCCTGGATTTGGATTAAGTAAGAAAGAAAGAAAGTGCTTCTTGTATGAGCCATTGCACTGGGAGGGAGGGGGAGTTAAGTGGTGGAGGTTTTTTGTTTTGTTTTGTTTTTATAACACCAGCTCAGCCCTCACCCTAATACCCTGAGAGATTAGGAGCACCAAACCACCTGAAGCGCCAAACAAACCTCAGTAGACCTCAACAGCTTACTGACTCAGTAGGAAACATTAGTCTGGAGAGAAGGGAATGGTAAGTACTGGTGTGGGAGCAGGGAGATGTCTTCTTATTAATTAATAGCTATAAATTAGAATTTAACACTGAGTGGCACCTAAACCACTTAATTTCAAATTAGAAGAATTAGAATCAAATAACAGCTTCACTAACTGCTATCTATATAAATGGAAAATTTACTTAAGTTATTTGAGCCACCATTTCTTCTCATGCATAAAAAAAATAACATCCATCTTCATGGGTAACTGTTATAACACATTTATAGCACAATATAATAAATTAGGTCTAAAATAATGACACTACCTCACCAAGAAAATGTTAAATTATCTTCTATATATTAAAACAATCTGGCAGGGTATGGTGGCTCACGTCTGTAATCTCAGCACTGTGGGAGGCCAAGGCGGGTGGATCACCTGAGCCCAGGAGTTCGAGACCAGCCTGGGCAACATAACAAACAAAGAATTTAAAAATTAGCTAGGCATGGTAGCACACTCCTATAGTCCCAGCTACCTGGGAGGCTGAGGTGGGAGGATCACCTGAGCTCAGGAGGTCGAGGCTACACTGAGCCATGATCATGCCACTGCACTTCAGCCTGGATGACAGAGTGAGACCTTGTCTCAAAAAAAAAAAAAAAAAAAGAGTCTAAGGAATATATCATATATTCTGTAGAATTTTCTACTGAATTTAAGTTCTGACACTTAAATTTTTATTGAACTGAATGGGAAAGAAGGCTCTTAGAAATTACAAAACCTGAAAGAAAGTGGCTAACAATACTACTGGCTTTAGAGTCAGATAAACTTCATTCAAACTTCAGCTCCAGACATACTAGCTCAGTGACCTTGGACAAGTTATATAACTTAAATCCCAGTTTCCTCAAAGAAAAGTGGGATCAGCTGGTGTCTACCTGCTGTGAGGACTGAACGAGACTGCTGTCTCCTTCAGTCCTCCTGCATATGAGAATTACTCTAGATGGCATATGAAGAACACCTATTTGAAAACAGTTTCCAGGCCAGGCCTGGTGGCTCATGGCTGTAATCCCAGCATTTTGGGAGGCTGAGGCGGGTGGCTCATGAGGTCAGGAGTTCAAGACCACCCTGACCAACAGACCAGCCTGGCCAATATGGTGAAACCCTGTCTCTACTAAAAATACAAAAATTAGCCAGGCGTGATAGCAGGCGCCTATAATCCCAGCTACTCGGGAGGCTGAGGCAGGAGAATTGCTTGAACCCGGGAGGTGGAGGTTGCAGTGAGCCGAGATCGGGCCATTGCACTCCAGCCTGGGCAACAAAGTGAGACTCCACCTCAAAAAAAGAAAAAAGGAAAAAAGAAAACAGTTTCTACTTAAGACAGTATTTAGGCAGCTGTACTACTTAAAAGTTGAAATATTATCTCTGTATTAAAAAATATATATATGAGACATGATCCCTGCCTAAGGGATTAGAATTTAAAAGAAAGTCTTTAGGCCGGGCGCGGTGGCTCATGCCTGTAATCCCAGCACTTTGGGAGGCCGAGGCAGGCGGATCACAAGGTCAGGAGATCGAGACCATCCTGGCTAACACGGTGAAACTCCGTCTCTACTAAAAATACAAAAAATTAGCTGGGCGAGGTGGCGGGCGCCTGTAGTCCTAGCTACTCGGGAGGCTGAGGCAGGAGAATGGCGTGAACCTGGGAGGCGGAGCTTGCAGTGAGCCAAGATCACGCCACTGCACTCCAGCCTGGGCGACAGAGCGAGACTCCATCTCAAAAAAAAAAAAAAAGAAAAGAAAAAGTCTTTCCCCTTTTTGTGTCACCTAACAGCAAATGAAATCTGGGAAATGAAGTTACCCAAATACTACTAACTGTAATTGAAAACAAAAGATTAAATTCTGAACAGCCAAAGCTGTTTTTAATCACTTGGCTAAGTTTGAGAACTTTCCAGTTGGAGAGCCTGATGTCTGGTCCTTCAATAATAGTTATTTTCAGGCCGGGCACGGTGGCTCATGCTTGTAATCCCAGCATTTGGGGAGGCCGAGGCGGGAGGATCACTTGAGATCAGGAGTTTGAGACCAGCCTGGCCAACATGGCGAAACCCCCATCTCTACTAAAAATACAAAAATTAGCCAGGCATGGTGGCATGCACCTATAATTCCAGCTACTCGGGAGGCTGAGGCATGAGAATTGATTGCATGAACCCAGGAGGCAGAGGTTGCAGTGAGCTGAGATTGTGCCATTGCACTCCAGCCTGGGTGATGGAGCGAAACTCTGTCTCAAAAAAAAAAAAAAAAGTTATTTTCTCTTACCATCCTAGGAAAGATAAGAAAAAATTTATAATGTGAGACAAATTCAACCACTTCTTTTCCTTCTAAGTTTGTTTCTCATTTAGAAATATGATATCAAAAATAAATATTTATTGGAAGAACAAAGGTCAAAACAGTCCCTATGTTCAGGCATGGTAACAAAGATTAGCAAGACTCCAAAGGCTATTTGTAAATATACCCTTGAAAAGAAAAAAGGCAAGGCTGTTCTCCCTGAAGATTTAGCCTATCTTTTGCCTGTACATTCACTATTCTTTATCGTGCCAACCCTTGAAGAGAAGGCAAAGACTGCATATGTGAGACTTTAGAAGACAATCATGTTTCTAAACAGCAGGTCTGGTAGTTCATAGACTATCAAGAAAGACAATCAATTTTAGGTTTCATTAAATAGTTTACTCTTAAGATACTAGACGTATATTAATTAATTCAGCCTCTCAACCCTCTGTGAGGTAGCTTTTATCAACTCCATTTGTTGGGGAAATTTGATCAAGGAGAATAATAACAGTGTTTTCTATTTACAAAATACCTTCCCTATAAGGAACTCCACAAGTTTATCTTCTCAATCATCTTTCATTCCTGTGAGGTAGGTGGCAATATTACCTTTCCCACTTTTATAGGTGAAATGCTGTGGCTCAAGGAGCTTAATGACTTACTCACATGGTAGCCTGTATTTTATCCACTAACTAGAATGTACTCTTGAGATTAACACTAGACCATGGACTCAAGGCTTAACTGCACATAACTGACGTGTGGAGCTTCTAGTTTTCTCTATAGCCATCTTTCAATGCATCGCATTCCAAAAAGGACTGGAGTCATGCTTGCTGTTTAAGCTCATGTGTTCACTGTTTATGAAGTTTATTGTTATCATTTCTCTAAATTGGACTACTTAAGTTTCGTCTAGGTGCCCAAGGGCTAAATTATTTTTTGTTTACTGTCTGTGCACCAGCATTGTAAATGATGTCATGAGGAGTGTATAAAACTCTTAGACAAAGCAGCAGGGCCAATAAAAGCAGCTCACTTGGGGAAGAGTACATTTCTTCTTTCCTTTTTTTTTATGTAGCCATCACACAAAAAGATGACTCATTAAGTCCAAAAGAGGTGACTATGCCATGTAAGCACTTCTTACGCAGCCTTCCACAAAGAGACCTGAGTGGCAGCATAAGGCATCCTCTTCTGTGCAATTTCCTCCAGGCAGAATGTGCATTTGTGTGGCTATATACACAATTATAATCTCCTCTGAAAGGCAATTCCTTCCATATGACAGGCTGAACAGTGTCCTGAGTGCTAGCCTCATGTTGCCCAAGCAGTTAACATGCTGATATACCAGACACATTTAATCTCTCCTTTCTGAAAAACTAAGATGGGACAGAAGAGGCAAAGTTGGAAAGAACTCCACACAGAGAGAAAGGAGGCCAGCCCAAGCGCCCAAACTCACTTTCTCATGGGCTGAACTTCTTTGTGTGTTGCCTACTTACGTGTCAATTTGCAGGACTTTGGGGCATGAGAACCATGGAGCCGACCGGTTCTGGCAGCCTCTCCATTTGACAAGCAAAGCCGAAGACGTGTGGCCTTTCATATATCTTACATTCAAAAGTGTTATTGTTTCAAGCATGCCTATTTTAAAATACAGAATTTTCCCATTTAGAACAGGTCTTTGTAAGTTGGCCACAGGAGGAGTTCTGCCACATTAATTTAAAGGGAAAAAAAAAAAGTGGCAATGGGCCCTAATGCAGCTCTATCCCCGCCAGATGCCTCTGTTTACTTTGGGCCAATGGGACTGTCCCAGGTGAGAGAAGTCTGAATTTAAAAAACACCTGATCTGAAGTCCTGGGGCACAAGCAGATTTCTGTCTGAGATTACAGAAACTGAAGCTTGTGTTTTATCACAATTACCTGTAATCTCGGGGCTAGATAATAGTATTAACGAGACCTTGAGTTACACAATAGGACAGCTGGAAAAAAGGCTCTTACTTTCTCCAAAGAATAGTGCTTTAAAAGCTAATTGAATGAAGAAAAAGAACAGGCTCTGAAAGTGCTGTCTCAAACAATATTTACTTTTAGTAGGTTCCTGCTAATCAAACAAAACTTAGTCAAAAGCTTTCCATGAAAAAAATACATTTGATGATTTCAGCAGTAATTGCTTTGTTTAAAGAAAGGTGCTTAAGAAAAAACATAGCTAGTGGGATCAGTAATTTGTAAGTTCAGTTGTGTTTGGGAAAATCCCTCCTCTCTTTGATAAATCATTAAAATTCTGCTCAGATAAATGTGTTTTGACTTGAAATTCCAATCATAGAATGAGCTATTTCCTAAGGCCCCTAGGGAAGTAGTGTAAGGGTGATCCCAACACAGAAAGAGGACCCAGAGATTAGTTTACAAGGGTAATTCCAGTCTTAATCAAAGCATATCACTCTGTCCAACTAAAGGACAGGATCTCATTGAGATGCTCCAAAATTGTAGAAAATCTCCTTCCTTTTTAAAATATTGGTTTTACAAAATGGATTAAATTTTAATGTTATGTAACCCAAACACAGAAACTATGGTATCAACCAAGAAATTAACTTTAGGTATAAATCAGAGTTAAAACCGAAAAGATCCAGAGCAGATTTAATCATCCTTTTTCATTCATGGAAGGGGGGAAAAACATAGTTTCTCTCACATGTTAGGAATTCAGTAACTATTTGTTGAACTGGATTCCTTTCTCCCATTTATTTTAAAATTTATTCTGTTACTTAAAGTAGACCATTCATTCAACAACTGAGCACTTCATTTGGGCCAAGCATTGTGCTAGATTTTAGAGAGAAAAGGCCTGCCCTCATGGCTCACATTCTAATAAGAAACAGACAATAACCAAGTATACAAGTAGGTACACAAGATAACTCTGATAAGTGCTATGAAGGACATAAATAGGATGATGAACCAGAAATAGGATAATGGATCATGTCTCTTCTGCTCTACTATTATTTTTATTTATTTACTTATTTTTGAGATGGAGTCTCGCTCTGTCGCCCAGGCTGGAGTGCCGTGGTGCAATCTCGGCTCACTGCAAGCTCCGCCTCCCGGGTTCACACCATTCTCCTGCCTCAGCCTCGCGAGTAGCTGGGACTACAGGCGCCTGCCACCACGCCCGGCTAATTTTTTGTATTTTTAGTAGAGACAGGGTTTCACCGTGTTAGCCAGGATGGTCTCGATCTCCTGACCTCGTGATCCACCCGCCTTGGCCTCCCAAAGTGCTGGGATTACAGGCGTTGAGCCACTGCTCCCGGCCTGCTCTACTATTATTTTTAAAACTTCAATTTATCTACTCGGCCTCCTAGAATTATTCATTTAGCACATATTGCATTTGTGCAAATAAAAGTGATCCCCAACTTCTGAATAGCATTTGGAATAAAGATTTTAACATTACTTGAATATATAAATGATAAACAAAGTCAAAAATTTTAAAGCTATCTTAAAACCCCAGAATAACACTGACATCACTCTGCAATTTACTTTGGAGAAATGGAGGTAGGCAAGGGTTGGGAACAACATGGCTTAGAACTTACTGGCTCTTTTTTCCCCCCAACAAAAAGATATTTATTTATTACATGTATTAAATAGGTTACAGAATCTTTGGAAAAGGAAAAAAATCTAGATCGACCTTCCAGGAACAACTCCCAAAAGGCCCATTCCAGAACTAGGCTACCAAGGGAACTGCTGTCCCTTCCATGACTGAGAAGCTGCTGACCAAACTGAGAAAAGGCCAAGATAGCTGCTGGCTCTAGAACCATATAGGTCACATACTCTTTACTTATTATACTGTCTTTTTATGTTATGGTCATTTATGAATATGTCCCATCTCCCATCTACTGTGTAAGTTTCCTGTGGGGAGGGATGCTTTATATTCATATATTCATGCCTGGCTTTATATAGAGAAGGTATTCAGGGAGGAAGAAAAGGAAGGAGAAGGGTAGGGGGAGGAAAAGGAAAGAAAGAGGTGACTTTGTGAACATGTTCATAATTATTTTATTTATTTATTATTATTATTTTGAGACAGAGTCTTGCTCTGTCGCCCAGGCTGGAGTGCACTGGCGTGATCTCAGTGGACTGCAACCTCTGCCTCCCGGGTTCAAGCGATTCTCATGCCTCAGCCTCCCAAGTAGCTGGGACTCCAGGTGCGCACCACCATGCCCAGCTATTTTTCATATTTTTAGTAGAGACAGGGTTTCACCATGTTGGCCAAGCTGGTCTCGAACTCCTGACCTCAAGTGATCTGCCCGCCTCAGCCTTCCAAAATGCTGGGATTACAGGCATGAGCCACCGCACCTGGCCCATAATCATTTCAAAGTGACCAGTTTTATGTATTATAAACCTAGTTTCCAAAGATTTAGGAAGTCAGTTTAACACCTATTTTATTTCATTTCCTTTCTGCAGCAACCAAACACTTTAAGGCCCTAAGAGAATTTCTGCTAACTTACTGTAAACAGCAATATTTCCTAGAATAGAATTGGGTTTGGAAGGCTCACTAGTTATATTCAAATAAAAATAAGTTTATCAGGATTCATTCAAAATCAAAAAATAGAATGTGTCTGGAAGTCAGACAAGTAACTATCATATGCTGTGGTATCAGCAAATACAAAAAAAATTAAGATTAGTAACACTTATCTTCCACATAGAAGGGGTCCTATGTCAGAACCTTTGCCAAGTCCTAAAGAAGTTGTATTAACCTCATGGCTGGAAGAGACTATATCAGTAACTGTTAGATGTTGTCTTAGCTCAGATACTGTGAGAAACAGACACCAAAACAGGATCAGACATGCGAGAGATGTACTGGGGGAAACGCCCATGATAGAAAATGGGAAGGAAGCCGGAGGAGTCTGGGAGAGCTAAGAGATCAAATGCAGGTGTGACCCTAATTTATTATCCCTCCTTTAGGAGGGACCCTAATTATTATCCCTCCTTTAGGAGGGAGAAGGGAGAATGAGGGACTTAGCAGTGTGCAGTGAGAGTCTTTAAGCCAAAGTCACCCACTAGAGGAGTAAAACATCTCATGGAAGTGGGTCTGTCCTGCCCAGTCATTGACTAGGAGCAGTCTGTGGAAAGTGTGACCTCAGTGTGAACAAGGTGTTAGATTCAGAGCTGGGGTCAGGAGTCAATTACCCTCCCCTCCCCAGTGTAGGAGATCTGAGAGGCACACATTCCTGGTTGCCACCAGATGTTTACGTATTTGCACAAAAATATGGTAATAACACTAGCAGCTAATATTTATTGAGCACCTACACAGGTGCTCTAACAGGATAAATGCTTACATGTATGAGGCAAGCACAATTTTTTTTTTTTTTTTTTTGAGAAGCAGTCTCACTCTGTCACCCAGGCTGGAGTGCAGTGGTGAGATTTCAGCTCACTGCAGCCTCCTCCTCCCGGGTTCAAGCAATTCTCGTGTCTCAACCTCCTGAGTAGCTGGGACTATAGGAACACACCCCCACGCTCTGCTAATTTTTGCATTTTTAGTAGAGATGGGGTTTCACCATTTTGGCCAGGCTGGTCTCGAACTCCTGACCTCAGGTGATCCACCCGCCTCGGCCTCCCAAAATGCTGGGATTATAGGCATGAGCCACCATGCCTGGCCTTTTTTAAATTTTTTGAGAAAGGGTCTCACTTTGTCACCCAGGCTGGAGTGCAGTGGTGTGAAAACAGCTCACTGCAGCCTTGACCTCCTGGGCTCAAGCCATCCTCCCACCTCCGCCTCCTGAGTAACTGGGACTACAGATGCATGCTGTTGCACCCAGCTATTTTTTTTTTATTTTTAGTAGAGACGAAGTCTCACTATGTCCCATTGGTCTCAAACTCCTGGGCTCAAGCAATCCTCCCTCCTTGGCCTCCCACAGTGCTGGGAATATAGGCGTAAGCCACCATGACTGTACTATTACCACCCACATTTTGGAGATGTGGAAACTAAGGCACAGAGAGGTTAAGTGATTTCTTCTAGGTCATACAGCTACCCAAAGTACAAAGATGATTGTCAATAAAATTCTCCCAAATGGTAGAAGTTATCTTCCTCACTGCCTGCCTCTGAGAGATGAGTCCAGTGGCAAGAAGAAATTGGAAATTTTACCATTCCCTGATCCATCCTCATTCCTCGGATGCCTCCTCATGGCAGAAATGTTAAATGAAGACACTGGAATCACTTGACCTTACTCCAGGATCCACGTATAGGTCTACACAATAGTTGGAGCCCCACTTTGGGAGTTGCTCAAAGTATTTATAGCATAGAGTTTAACCATGTGGACTTCAATTAGACTGCTGGGTTAGAATTCTGGATCCACCACTTACAACTTGTTATTTGGTATCTTTGTGTGTAGTTTCCTCATCTGCCGAATGGAGATAACAACTGAAACTATCTTCATATACATCAATATATGTAAAGCATTTAAAATGGTACCTGGTACAGAGTAAGTTCTTAATAAGTCTCGGTTGCTTTTGTTAGCTACTCATGTTTAGGGTACCCTAAGGTCAGATTATTCATATTCCATTTCACATATACGTATGAATTAAGTGTAGGAGAGTATACAATGATAGAAGGTATACAGTGATAGAAGGTAGACAATGATAGAAGGTTGACAATGATGAGTAAAACACAATTCTTGTTCCCAAGAAATTTATTTGCAAGAGCCTCATCCTTAATAAGGAAGCAAGAATTACTGCCCTTTGAACCAATAGGGGTTTTTTGGTTTGTTTTTATCTTTTTAGTGAAGAGGAAAAAACACAAGCTGTGGAATATGACAAACCTGGGTATGAACCCCTGTTTACTATGCATCATTGCCTGTGTGACCTTGTGCAAATCAATTAGCCTTTCTAAGCCTCAGCTTCCTTATTTATAAAATGAGAAGATGATATTAATAACTACTAATTGGGACCAGTAAGAGTACCCACTTCATATGGTAGTTGTGAAAATTAAATGAGATAAACCACAGTGCCAGGCATATAGGAAGAGTTCAAAAACTATAGCTTAAAAAAAAAACTACCCAATTTATTGTGATTCTTCTAAATGTCTAGTCCCCAAAGGAGAAAGGCCATCTTTGATTTCTAGAGTTATCTATTATACTAACCCACTATCAACCGTAGTGAGAATAAGCAGGTTCCATGGAAAAGAAGAGGCAACTTGGAGCGTGAGTGAAAGCATGCACCTCACCAAATTAGGTGGAGTAAAAAATAAACCTCACGCCCTCATGCTTATACTCAGGTCAGCACGTAGGTGGTATGTTTGGCAAACCTGGGACCAGAACAGGCTGCCCTTTGGCTCTAGAGAGCTCGCCACACCCAACCAGATACACAGACACACCTTCAGCCTCTGGCAGAAGCTTCCACTAAGTAGGTTTCATAAGGCTGGAAACCTTTTGCGGGTCCTACAGAGAGGGTCTATACTTATTTCATCTCCTTACCAGACTCTCCTTTCTCTCTTCAGGCCTAGGCATTAACACAATTTTTATCACTACATTCTGATGACTGCAGACATGAACATCACTAAGCTATTCTTTAGTGATGATCTTAAGATCTTAAGCCATGCAAGGCCATGATTACAGGTTCCTAATCTACAAAGTCAGTGGGGAAAGGATCAGTTTACCCAACATGATAAAAGATTGATTTCTTCACTAATAGTCAGAAAGGTAAATACAATCCCTAGCTAGCAGGGAGAAAGGGATATCTCTAGATATTCTTTGGATAGGTATCCCTGTAATTTACACCATAATCCTAAAGAGAGGTCTCCAGATACACTAACCAAGGGGAACTCAACTTTAGCTTTTGGGTTTCACTGAATGCCTAGGGCTTTCCAGTCTGCAGTTTTGTTTTCTCTATAAGTATAGTCTTCTTTAGGCTTACACATACAAGTAACTTTATAATGTATAAAAATAAAAACAAATGGAAAAATCACAGGTATTTAAAAATTTAAATCAGGAAATATTTTATTAATCTATTCTGTAGGGAGTGGTTTTAAACGGTCATTAGATTGAGGGTGAATAGGTTGGCCAGGCGTGGTGGCTCACACCTGTAATCCCAGCACTTTGGGAGGCTAAGGTGGGTGGATCACCTGAGGTCAGGAGTTCGAGACCAGCCTGGCAAACATGGTGAAACTCTGTCTCTACTAAAAATACAAAAATTAGCTGGGCATGGTGGCAGGTGCCTGTAATCCCAGCTACTTGGGAGGCTGAGACACGAGAATCACTTGAACCCTGGAGGCGGAGGTTGGAGTGAGCCAAGATCACATCATTGCACTCCAGCCTGGGTGACAGAGCGAGACTCCGTCTCAAGAAAAAAGAAAAAAAAAATTGAGGGTGAATAGGTCAAAGCAGCATGCCTCTAAGAGAGACAAATTGTAAAAGGCAGGGATAGTTCTCAACTAAAGACAAACGCATTTCAGCAGAGTGATACGGTTTGATGAACCAGGAGAAGGCAGTGAGGGGTGTGACCATGCTGAGGGCAGTATGAATGTCTAGTTAGTGGTTAGGACAAGGAATTAAGACACTTAAATATGCAACAAAGCATGAAGAAGCATTTGTATAGGATTCAATTATTAGGTGATTGGTTGGGCTTCACAAACATTGAAGCTTTTTCAACCAACCTGAGACTCTGATTCTGTTTGTAGATTCATTCTCAACACTGCCACTGAATTGGCCTTCCTGAAAACGCCATTTATGAAGAGACCACCAACTTCTATTCACCAAGGCACCAATACACCAAATCTGCCAAGCCTTTGAGACATAAAATTCAAACAGCAAACACCCAAGGAACTGAACAATGAACTAGCCTTTTCAAATATTTCATATATTCATTGAGTACTGGGTAATAAAATACATAAAATCTTTGGAAAAAAGTCTAGGCATTGCTTGACATTGATACTGTTATTCATTAGATACAAAATTGTCTGTGATATCCCCTTTTAGCTGATTAATGGATGTGGTCACTGTCTTAAGCTCTCTCTCTATATATATGTCTATATATATGTTCATGTATATATGTGTATATATATAGCTTTCAAAGACCAATCAGCCCTTAAACTTGGTAAAAAGGCACTCAACTTCATTTAAAAATGCATATTAAATCTACTCAGACTATCTGTCACTTAGATTGAAAAAAATCCAAGTTTGATGTATTTTGTTGTCAGCACAATGGGGAAACAGGCATTCTCTTTCATTGCTGGTGGCAAAATGGTACAACACCTATTAAGGGCAATCTGACAATATCTATAAGTACTTCAATGCATATGCCCTTAATCCACCAATTCCACTTTGTGGAACTTATTCTTGCAGATACACTTGCAAAGGAACAAAACTGCAGGTTATTCATTGCAGCATTCTTAGTAACAGCAAAAGGCTAAAAACAACTTGTTTACCAGTGCGGGACTGGTTAAATAAATTATTTAAATACTATATAGCTAAAAATGAATTTCATGAAGAACGAAGAAGCTCCCTACTGACTGAGAAATTACTTCGAGGCCAGGCGCAGTGGCTCACGCCTATAATCCCAGGACTTTGGGAAGCCAAGGTGGGCAGATCGCTTGAGCTCAGGAAGTTCAAAAGCAGCCTGGGCAACATGGAGAAACCCTATCTCTACCCAAAATACAAAAACTTAGCCAGGTGTGGTGGCTCGTGCCTGCAGTTCCAGCTACTTGAGAGGCTGGGGCAGGAGAATGGCTTGAACCCAGGAAGTGGAGGTTGCAGTGAGCCGAGATGGTGCCACTGCACTCCAGCCTGGGTGACAGAGTGAGACTCTGTCTCAAGAAAGAAAGAAAAGAAAAAACAAAAGAAACGGAAATTACTTCAAGATGTATTAAATGAAAAAGTATGCACTGTATACTCCTTTATGTATATAATAAACTCTGGAAAGATACACAGGAAAACAATAATAGTGGTTACTTTTGGGAGGCTGAGGATGGATGGAAACTGGGCAGATGGAGGCAAAGGGGTAGGCTTTTCACTAAAAACATCTACCTATCTATCTATCTATCTATCTATCTATCTATCTATCTATCTATGCATTTTAGAGGCAGGGTCTCACTCTATCATCCAGTCTGGTCTTGAACTCCTGACCTCAAGCAATCCTCCTACGTCAGCCTCCCAAAGTATTGGGATTACAGGCATGAGCCACCATGCCAGGCCTAAAAAATACTTTGAATCAAGTTTCCATATTACCAACCTTAAAAAATATTTTAAAATTAATTTTTAAAATAAGTTAAACAAAATGTAAACCAGAATTGTTTTTCATTTAAAAAGATGTTGGCTGGGCGCGGTGGCTCACGCCTGTAATCCAAGCAGTTTGGGAGGCCGAGGTGGGTGGATCACCTGAGGTCAGGAGTTTGAGACCAGCCTGACCAACATGGAGAAACCCATCTCTACTAAAAATACAAAATTAGCCAGGCGTGGTGGCGCATGCCTGTAATCCCAGGTACTAGGGAGGCTGAGGCAGGAGAATCACTTGAACCCAGGAGGCGGAGGTTGGGGTGAGCCCAGATCGCATCATTGCACTCCAGCCTAGGCAACAAGAGTGAAACTCCATCTCAAAAAAAAAAAAAAAAAAAAAAAAAGATGTAAGCCAGGTGCAGTGACTCACACCTGTAATCTCAGTACTTTGGAAGGCCACAGTAAGAGGCTTGCTTGAGCCCTGGAGTTCAAGACCAACCTGGACAACATAGTGAGACTCTTTCTCTACAAAAAATTAAAAAATTAACCAGGGATGGTGGCATGTGCCTGTAGTCCCAGCTACTTGGAAGGCTGAGGTAGCAGGATCACTTGAGCCCGGAGGTTGAGGCTGCAGTGAGCCGTGATAGTGCCACTGCACTCCAGCCTGAGTGACAGTGCCAGACATTGTCTCAAAAAAAAAAAAAAAGAAGAAGAAAAAAAAAAAAGATGTGCATGGTACATCCATACAATGGAATATTATTCAGAAATAAAAAGAAATGAGTTATCATGCCACAGAAAGACATGGAGGAAACTTAAATGCTTACTGCTAAGTTAAAGAAGCCCATCTGAAAAATTTACACACTGTATGACTCCAACTACATGATATTCTGGAAAAGGCAAAACTTTAGAGACCATAAGATCAGTGGTTGGCAAGGGCTGCAGGGGGAGGGAGAAGGATCAATAGGTGGAGCACAGGGGATTTTTCAGGACAGTGAAACTATTCTGTATGATAATGGAATGGTGAATACATGACATGCATTTATCAAAACCCACAGAACTGAACAACACAAAGAACCCTAATGTAAACTATGGACTTTAGTTAATAATATGTATCTATAATAATATATCTATATAATAATAATAATATATAATATATTATTATATATTATAAATATATATGTTTATCCATTGTAACAAATGTACCACACTAATGCAAGATGTAAATAATAGCGGAAACTGTGAGTGAGGGAGACCCAAGGTATATGGGAACTCGCCGTACTATCTGCTCAATTTTCTGTAAACTTAAAACTTCTCGCCATGTGCAGTGGCTCACGCCTGTAATCCCAACACTTTGGGAGGCCGAGGTGGGCGGATCACCTGAGGTCAGGAGTTTGAGACCAGCCTGACCAACATGGTGAAACCCCGTCTCTACTAAAAATATAAAATTAACCTGGCGTGGTGGCGCATGCCTGTAATCTCAACTACTCGGGAGGCTGAGGCAGGAGAATCGCTTGAATCCGGGAGGCAGAGGTTGCAGTGTACTCCAGCCTGGGCAACAGGAGAGAAACTCTGTCTCAAAAAACAAAACAAAACAAAACAAAACGTCTTTAAAAAAATAAAAGTCTATGAATTATTTAAAATGTGTATTGTGGCCGGGCGCGGTGGCTCACGCCTGTAATCCAAGCACTTTTGGAGGCTGAGGCGGGCAGATCACGAGGTCAGGAGATCGAGACCATCCTGGTTAACACGGTGAAACCCCGTCTCTATTAAGTATACAAAAAAGTAGCCGGGCGAGGTGGCGGGCGCCTGTAGTCCCAGCTACCCGGGAGGCGGAGCTTGCAGTGAGCCAAGATCGCGCCACTGCACTCCAGCCCGGGCGACAGAGCTAGACTCCGTCTCAAAAATAAAATAAAATAAAATGTGTATTGTGTGCATATGTGTGTGTGTGTACATATCTATGCGTGTGTGTGCCTTTTTTCATTCATTAAATGCCTTATACACTAAAGATGCTCAACAAAGTACTACATATACAGTCTTAGCTCAAGAGCCAAGTCAATATCTCAAGTTCTGTTGGAGTGGGCAAATCCGGTTCTGATCCTAGCGCTACCATTTTCTAGCTGTGTGGCCTAACTTAACGCAAGTTACCTCTTCAGCCCCAGTTTCTCCACCTGCAAAACTGGAAGAAAACACGGTAATTCCTCCTAGGGCTGTTGAGAAATTCAAATGAAGAATGATGCATGAAAAATGCTTAGCACAGTGCCTAATGAAAAAGAAAAGCTCGAAATGTTCGCTGACTGATTTGGCACTTGAGGTTCCAAGGTTATTCTTACTCCACTACCAGCATATCAATAATACCCCAACAGGGCCCCAAATCCTCAACGCCAACCTGACCCATTTGAACACAATCCACATTGCCTGAGTTCCAGCCCCTACACTTCAAACATTCTTTACTTCCCAGGTGCTTTTTTCCTTCCTGCTCGGCCTTACAGGCTCAGGCCCTGGAACCCCCGCCTCTCCGCCCCTCCCCATACCACCCGGACCCGATCCCACTCAGACCCCGCCCCCGCCTCCTCCCAGACCCTGGCCTAATTCGTCTGCACGTCTTTCCCTCCCCAAAGTTAAAGGGGGTTCCTACCCAGATACTCGTAGTCCGGTAGGGCTAGGCGCTCCGGACTCAGCATCCTTTGACCGGGGTGGCTTCAAAGCTCCAGCTCTCCGGCTTCCGGAACCCAGGTTGCCGTCTCTCTCCGTTGCCATGGCACCCACGCGGCGGAAGGGGGACGGGAGCTGGAGGAGGTGTCACACAAACAGTCTCCGTGTCGCAAAGTGGAGCTGGCCACTCAAGTTCCGGGGGCAGTCGCTTCACGATGGTCCAGGTTTCTTTGGACTCCCATTCTTGAAGACTTGGTTTTAGAGGAATCTGAGATGAAGAATTCTTTTGAATCCGTTATGTTTCCCAGTGTCGAAGAATTACTGTCAGCCGCCCATATACGCAGTTTCTGAATTTCATAACTATCCCTGCTTTTATACACTGTTTATCCTAACTCAGTAATAGCCCCCGCCCTTTGGCCCCCATAAACACTTAGTATCCCATTAGCTATTTTTATCTCTTTGGTATTTACTATCTTAAATTGCTACAAAGTGCTTACGTATGCATATACCCTGGATGCTTCTAGAGGTCAGAGATGTGTCTTTTCTGCCTATGACGGCTGGACACACAAAAGGTACTCATTAAGTCCTCTGAACTAATTGCCATTTCTTCTCAATTCTCACTCAGTCGCCCAGGCTGGAGTGCAGTAGCGTGATCTCGGTTCATTGCAACCAGCGCCTCCCGGGTTCAAGCGATTCTCCTGCCTCAGCCTCCCAAGTAGCTGGGATTACAGGCGCCCGCCACTCCGCCTGGCTAATTTTTTGTGTTTTTAGTAGAGATGGGGTTTCACCATGTTGGCGAGGCTGGTCTGCAAACTCTTGACCTCAGGTGATCCGCCGACCTCAGGTGATCCGCCTGCCTCAGGCCTCCCAAAGTGCTGGGATTACAGGCGTGAGCCACCGCGCCCAGGCTCAATTCCTTTTTATCTTTGGTTCTTCTTTCTATTCCTAGCCCTTACTATTTGGTACCTTTCCCAGGTGTCTTTCCTTTTTCCTACCAAGACATTGCTCTTCTTGAGGGAGAGGGGCTGCAGAAACGAGGACACCAGTTAGATTTTTTTCCCTATATGCCCAATTGCTCACTTCTTCTTTAAGAGAATATTCACTGGTTTTCAAGTTCCTAAATATTTCTTTTCGCCCCTCTCCACTCCTGACAACAGGTCAGAGATCTGTAGCACTAGACACAGTTCAGACATAGCAGAAAAAGCCACTCTGTCCTCACTTTTTTAGTGCCCTCCCCCTCCAACAAGGTGAGGTTTGTGAAAAAGAGACAAAGAAAACAAAATCAAGCTATCAAAGGAATGACTGGGAAACCAGTAGACCACCTACACTGGGAGGAAAAGGAAAGAGGAGGTTCTTCTCTTTGTGTTCCGAGTGGCCTATTCTTAGCGTCCTCCAGTAAGGAGCCTCAAACCTCCTAATTCTTGCTTTCCCTTAAAATTGTATATGTGTCTCAATTCTAGGCTCCTGTGAGTCACTCTAAGTTTGGATGTGGTGAGGTTAAAAGGACAGAGCCAAAGTAGGAGCAGGGCTTAGTGTCTTGAGGCAAATTTACTAATTTGGTATTTGGTGTGAAGTCCAGCAAATCTGATTTTTTTTTAATTGCCTTCTTATCTGCTTCCCCCATCTAGCTTGAGGTTATGGGAGGTTCATATGTTCCATAACTGTGGCTTTTTACTATTTTATTAATAAGGTAATACCATAGTAATTATTAAGTGATAATTTTACTTTATTCCCAAGCAACTTGTAGCTATTTGCAAATAATCTTATTTGTCCTCATAAAAACTTTCTGCTGAGGTGGGCGGATCACGAGTTCAGGAGTTCGAGACCAGCCTGGCCAATATGGAGAAACCCCATCTCTACTAAAAATACAAAAATTAGCCAGGCGTGGTGGCGCACGCCTGTAATCCCAGCTACTCAGGAGGCTGAGGCAGAAGAATCACTTGAACCGGGGAGGCAGAAGTTGCAGTGAGCCAAGATCGCACCACTGCACTCCAGCCTGGGCGACACAGCGAGACTCCGTCTCAAAAAAAAAAAAAAAAAAAAAAAAAAAACCTTTCTAAGGCACTTTTCCATTTTCTAACTAGGGAAACTGAGGCACAAGTCACAACAGTGACTTGTCTAGTGACTTGTCTAGCATCATGCAGCCACATAGTGGTAGAGCTACAACTGGATCTCAGCTATCCCAACATCCAGGCCAGTGGTCTGACCACTAAACCACACAGTCTCTTTTTTTAGGGTTTGTTGACCTGGCTTTTATTTATTTATTTTTCCTTTTGCTCTGCCCTGCTAGCAACTGGAAGCTCCCAGATAGAAGAAGATAATGTTGAGTCCAGGCTGAACATTTGACATCGTCTTATTTGTGGAGCATTATCCTGGGACTTGGCGGGTGCTGGCTGCTGGGGTCTGTGTGGTGGAGCTGGGAACCAGCCCCAAGAATATAGCTTTGTTTGGGCATTAACCCATTTGTGGTTATAATAATGATAAGTTTCAGCACCAGTGGCGCCCGACTGTTAATGACTCAAAGAAGGCTAAATAAGAACAAGATGTCATCTCTGGAGCAATTTGTAGGTTTTTCCTACAGTTCCATCCCTTCCATAAAAATCCGAAGGACCCCTGTATTCAAAGTCAGTCTTCCACTCTGAATGTCCTGAACAGTCTATTGAGGAGGAGGACTTAGAAAAGTAGGAGGTTGCTAGAGTAAGGCTTCACAAAAATTTGAAGTTTCACCGAAATAACAGGTGGCCTTACTGGTAGTGGAATTACTGACTGTTTACATTTTTCTTCTTTATATTTTTCTATAGTCTTAAACTTTCTATAATAGGCATGTATTATAACCTGAAAACAAATAATAAATGAGTGGCCTGAAAATCTTTAAAATTTTTTAAGCAGATGTGATGACCTTCCAGACAGTGTTTGTTTTTCCCAAAAAGAAGCCACTGCTAGATTTCTCTTCTGTCACAGATTACATGATAATAGATTTTTGAAACACATTGGTTATTGGTGAAATTTTTCAATGAAACATACACTACATCAGTCTTAAGAAGAGTAGAAATATATAAGAGTTGTTAAAATTAAGTGTATTTTTTGTGACTTGAATGTGAAAGAAAGAAAAAAAATGTCAGCCTTTGATTTAAATTGACTTTTCAGGTTCTTAACTTATCATAATATATTTCTTAAAAATTTACCAAAAAAAAAAATCACCGAGGTAAATCGGTAAGTCAGAAGACAACTCCATAATCCTGAAAAGAGGCAAGTGATAAGATATTGATGATAAATAGAGCATCGGATGTTAAAGGCAGTACTACAGCATGACGACTGTAAACATCAAATTCAGAACAATAAGAAAAAAACAAGAGAGAGAATATATTGAGATGGTTTTTGTTTTTGTTTGTTTGTTTTTTGAGACAGAGGCTCACTCCATCATCCAGAAAGGAGTGGAATGGTGCAATCTCTGCTTACTGCAACCTCTGTGTCCCAGGTTCAAGCCATTCTCCTGCCTCAGCCTCCCGAGTAGTTGGGACTACAGGTGTGTGCCACCACACCCGGCTAATTTTTGTATTTTCAGTAGAGACAGGGTTTCGCCATGTTGACCAGGCTGGTCTCGAACCCCTGACTTCAAGTGATCCACCCGCCTCAGTCTCCCAAAGTGCTGGGATTACAGGTGTGAGCCACTGCACCTTTTGTTTTTTGTTTGTTTGTTTGTTTTGTTTTTTAGTATATATAAGGTCTCCCTTTGTCACCCAGGCTGGAGTGCAATGGCACAATCACAACTCACTGTAGCCTGGAATTCTTGGGCTCAAGTAATCCTCCCACCTCAGCCTCCTGAGTAGCTGGGATCACTGGTGCATGCCACCACATCCAGATAATATTTTTAATTTTGTAGAGACAAGGTCTTGCTAGGTAGCCCAGGCTGGTTTCGAATTCCTGAGCTCAAGCAATCCTCCTGCCTCAGTCTCCCAAAGTGCATGAGCCACTGCACCCAGCTGAGACATCAATTTATCAGATTATAATTTCTGATTTTATAATGAGAAAATTAATAGACATCTCTGGCTCTGCAGAAGACCTATTAAGAGATTGATAGGGAAGAAAATCCTCCCTATAATTGAAGACTATAGAAAAGCAAACGGTGAATACACTAAACAGTTTTAAACTTCAAGGAAGCAATAAGGAAAGAATAAATGCAGGCTGAATTATTGCTATAAAACAGGTTCAAGAAACTAGGACAAGCTTTTATCAACTGATCAAGCAGAAAAGATGCTAAAGGCAAAGTAGCTACTAAGAAATGCAGGTCATGAAATTCATGCTGAGCTACTAGGCTCTGCATGAAAGGCTTATCTTCCACAAGAGCACAGCAGAAACTAAGTGTGATGCCACTGTCTGGGATTCATATGTTTCAATTAAAAATGCTATTTATAGAAGGTAATTTTGTACTGCCACAAGCCAATGGACCAGAGCTTTGGAGTAATTTGTAAAGAAAAGAAATGTTCACAAACTCTTGGGCAGTTAAGAATAACTAATGCATTGTAAGAAACTAGTTAAGGGGATATGGCGTAAATTGAACTGAAGTTCAAAGGTAATTATGGACTGTACTTTCTTGTTATTCTATGTTTTCAAATGCTGCAATAAGAGTTGCAAATTACACATTCATATAGTTTGAAAGGGGGGATGATTTACTGATTCTTGGTAGCCCACAAAAATTAGTTATGCCTTCTTCTGTCCTAGACTATGCAGTTTTGTTTTGTTTTGTTTTGTTTTGTTTTGTTTTGTTTTTTTGAGACAGAGACTCGCTCTTTCACCCAGGCTGGACTGCAGTGGCGTGATCTCGGCTCACTGCAACCTCCACCTCCCGGGTTCAAGAGATTTTCCTGCCTCAGCCTCCCAAGTAGCTGGGATTACAGGCATGCGCACTGCACCTGGCTGATTTTGTATTTTTAGTAGAGACGGGGTTTCTCCATTTTGGTCAGGCTGCTCTCGAACTCCTGACCTCAGGTGATCCACCCGCCTCAGCCTCCTAAAGTGCTGGGATTACAGGCGTGAGCCACCGCGCCCAGCTAGTATGCACTTTTATAACCATTTATGTCTTTTTAAAAAATTCTTCCTACTAGATTGTGAGTTCCATGAGGGCAGAGACAGTCTTCATTCATCTTTAAATTTCTGGGACCATGTGCAGTGCCTGCAGAAATCAGTTATACAATAAACGTCTGTTAAATGAATTTGTTTCCCTCTAGATTAGAAGTTTAGAAAACAAAGACCTACCAATCAATAGGATTTATGGGCGCCTCATGGCAATCAATTCATTAAAAATATTTATTAAAGAAAAAGGTGGCCAAGTGTGGTGGCTCATGCCTTTAATCCCAGCTGCTCAGGAGGCTGAGGCAAAAGGATCAGCTGAGCCTGGGGTGATCATGCCACTGCACTCCAACCTGGAGCGAGACCCTATCTCAAAAAAAAAAAAACAAAAAAACCAAAACCAAAAACCCCAAAACGGCCAGAAAAACAAAAGGCATCATTGAGAAAGACATTAAAAGTCAATCAGAAAGCACTGGCAAATGCTTCCTACACCTAAATAACCATGTATAAAATACCCAGACTGACCGGGCGCAGTGGCTCACGCCTGTAATCCCAGCACTTTGGGTGGCCGAGGTGGGCAGATCACCTGAGGTCAGGAGTTCGAGACCAGCCTGGCCAACATGGTGAAACCCTGTCTCTACTAAAAATACAAAAATTAGCTGGACACGGTGGCACGCACCTGTAATCCCAGCTACTTAGGAGGCTGAGGCACAAGAATTGCTTGAACCTGGGAGGCAGAGGCTGCAGTGAGCTGAGATCGTGCCACTGCACTCCAGCCTGGGCGACAGAGCAAGACTCCATCTCAAAAAAAAAAAAAAAAAAGTGCCCAGACTAGGCATGGTGGCTCATGCCTATAGTCCCAGGATTTTGAGAGGCCAAGGCAAGAGGATTGCTTTAGCCCAGGAATTTGAGACCAGCCTGGACAACATAGTGAGACCCATCTCTACAAAAAATATGTTTAAAAATAAATAATTAAAATAAAAACTAGCCAGGTATGATGACACACACCTAAAGTCCCAGCTACTTGGGTGGCTGAGACGGGAGGATAACTTGAGCCCAAGAGTTCAAGGCTGCAGTGAGCCATGATCATGCCACTGCATTTCAGCCTGGGTAACAGAGTGAGACCCTGTCTCAAACAAACAAATTCCCAGGAAAAAAGCAACTAACAACAAAGTGTTTAGAGAGAATGCTTCGTGTACATAACAGAATTAGTTCAGAAGGATGAGAGAGAATGTGCTAGATATCAAATTTAAGATATGAACTGGGAGTTCCCAAATTTCAGAAGCTTAGGACAAGAAGCTGGAGTCTCTGTGTCTATTTTTTCTTTCTCCCCCAAATCATCCTCTACATTGTCACAAGAGTATGTCATTCTGAAGTTCAAATTTGACCATGTTACTTCCTTATTTAAAAAGTGTTGCTAGGCAATGCACAATGACTCACACCTGTAATCCCAGCACTTTGGGAGGCTGAGGTGGGGGGATCACTTAAGGACAGGAGTTTGAGATCAGTCTGATCAACATAGCAAGACACCATATCTACATTAAAAAAAAAAAAAGGTGTTGCTGCTGACTCACCATTACTAGGAAGAAGCAAAACTTCACATGCAGACATATAAATCCTTTCACAGCTTGGTACTAACCTCTTCTTCCAGCCATCTCGCCACTCAGTCTTCTCTACAAATTTATACATACAGCCATGCTTTCCTACTCGATATCCCCCAACATATTGGGCTCTTTCACACCCTTTGCTTTGGTGTAAGCTTTCTGTCTAGAATGTACCTCTACTATATTTTCTGCTTAGTAAACTACACATCCTTTAAAACCTAGGTTACGGCCAGGCGCAGTGGCTCATGCCTGTAATCCCAGCACTTTGGTAGGCCAAGGCAGATGGATGGCTTGAGCTTAGGAGTTCAAGACCAGACTGGGCAAAATGGCAAAACCCCTTCTCTGCCAAAAATACAAAAATTAGCCAGGTGTGGTGGCATGCACCTGTAGCCCCAGCTACTCGGGAGGCTGAGGCAGGAGGATTGTTTGAGCTGGGGAGGTGGAGGTTGCAGTGAGCTGTGATTGTACCACTGCACTCCATCCTGGGTGACAGAGTCACACCTGTCTCAAACAAAAACAAAAACAAAAACGACCTAGGTTTAATGTCACCACACCCATGAGACCTTATCCAATTTCCCAAGGAGCCAGTTAGCACCTGATATGTAGCTGTATTTTAGCATTTATCATATTCTTTACTTATTTGTTTGCCTGGGTATTACTCCTCTTGGACTAAAAATTGTTCATAGCCAGGGAACATGTTTTATTTGCTGTTATAATATTTCCACTACCCAGAAAGACAGAAGAAGTATTTGTCAAAAGTCTGTATTTGTTCATTTTCATGATGCTGATAAAGACAAACCTGAAACTGGGAACAAAAAGAGGTTTAATTGGATTTACAGTTCCACATGCCTGGGGAGGCCTCACAATCATGGCAGGAGGCAAAAGGCACTTCTTACTTGGTGGTGGCAAAAGAAAATGAGGAGGAAGCAAAGTAGAAACCCCTGATAAACCCATCAGATCTCGTGAGACTTATTCACTATCAAGAGAATAGCATGGGAAAGACCGGCCCCCATGATTCAATTACCTCCCCCTGGGTCCCTCCCACAACACGTGGGAATCCTGGGAGATAAAATTCAAGTTGAGATTTGGGTGGGGACACAGCCAAACCATATCATTCTGCCTCTGGCCCCTCTAGATCTCATGTCCTCACATTTCAAAACCAATCATGCCTTCCCAACAGTCCCCCAAAGTCTTAACTCATTTCAGCATTAACCCAAAGGTCCACAGTCCAAAGTCTTATCTGAGACAAGGCAAGTCCCTTCTGCCTATGAACTTATAAAATCGAAACCAAGCTAGTTATTTCCTGGATGTAATGGGGGTACAGGTATTGGGTAAATACAGCCATTCCAAATGGGAGAAATTGGCCAAAACAAGTTACAGCATCCATGCAAGTCCAAAATCCAGTGGGGCAGTCAAATTTTAAAGCTCCAAAATGATCTCCTTTGACTGCAGGTCTCACATCCAGGTCATGCTGATGCAAAGGTGGGTTCCCATGGTCTTGGGCAGCTCTGCCCCTGTGGCTTTGCAGGGTACAGCCTCCCTCCTGGCTGCTTTCATTGGTCGGTGTTGAGTGTCTGCAGCTTTTCCAAGCACACAGTGCAAGCTGCCAGTGGATCTACTATTCTGGGGTCTGGAGAACGGTGGCACTCTTCTCACAGCTCCACTAGGCAGTGCCCCAGTAGGGACTCTGTGTGGGGGCTCCAACCCCACATTTTCCTCCTGCACTGCCCTAGCAGAGGTTTTCCATGAGGGCCCCGCTTCTGCAGCAAACTTGCCTGGGCATCCAGGCATTTCCATACATCTTCTGAAATCTAGGCAGAGGTTCCCAAACCTTAATTCTTCACTTCTGTGCACCCACAGGCTCAACACCATGTGGAAGCTGCCAAGGCTTGTGGCTTCCACCCTCTGAAGCCACAGCCCAAGCTCTATGTTAGCCCCTTTCAGCCACGGCTGGAGCAGCTGGGACACAGGGCACCAAGTCCCTAGACTGCACACAGCATGGGGACCCTGGGCCCAACCAACGAAACCACTTTTTCCTCCTGGGCCTCTGGGCCTGTGATGGGAGGGGCTGCTATAACGGTCTCTGACATGGCCTGGAGACATTTGCCCCATGGTCTTGGGGATTAACATTAGGCTTTTTGCTACTTATGCAAATTTCTGCAGCCGGCTTGAATTTCTCCTAAAAAAATGGGTTTGTCTTTTCTACTTCATTGTCAGGCTGCAAATTTTCTGAACTTTTATGCTCTGTTTCCCTTTTAAAATGGAATGCTTTTAACACACCCAAGTCACCTGTTAAATGCTTTGCTGCTTAGAAATTTCTTCTGCCAGATATCCTAAATCATATCTCTCAAGTTCAAAGTTCCACAAATCTCTAAGGCAGGGGCAAAATGCCTCCAGTCTCTTTGCTAAAACATAACAAGAGTCATCTTTGCTCCAGTTCCCAACAAGTTCCTCATCTGCATCTGAGACCACCTTAGCCTGGACTAAGCTTATGGTTCACATCACTATCAGCATTTTTGTCAAAGCCATTCAACAGGTCTCTAGGAGGTTCCAAACTTTCCCACATTTTCCTGTCTTCTTCTGAGCCCTCCAAACTGTTCCAACTTCTGCCTGTTACCCAGTTCCAAAGTCGCTTCCACATTTTCTGGTATCTTTTCAGCAATGCCCCACTCTACTGGTACCAACTTACTGTATTAGTTCGTTTTCATGCTGCTGATAAAGACATATCTGAAACTGGGAACAAAAAGAGGTTTAATTGGACTTACAGTTCCACATGGCTGGGGAGGCCTCTGAATTGTGGCAGGAGGCAAAAGGCACTTCTTACATGGTGGCGGCAAGAGAAAAATGAGGAGGAAGCAAAAGCGGAAACCCCTGATAAACCCATTAGATCTCGTGAGACTTATTCACTATCACAAGAATAGCATGGGAAAGACCAGCCCCCATGACTCAATTACCTCCCCCCTGGGTCCCTCCCACAACACGTGGGAATTCTGTGAGATACAATTCAAGTTGAGATTTGGGCGGGGACACAGGAACTTATCAAAAAGAATGAATATCCACACAGCTTCAAAATGGGTTTAGATAAATCCATTGATGATAGTTCCATATAGTCCTTAAGGGCAACTAGAATCTAGTATGTTATGGTACTGTTGTTTTGAGGGGGACATCAAAGGACAACCCTGACAAATCCATTTAGAGTCACCGTCAGAGGCATAAACCTAAACTAGATAGAATTTAGGCTCTGTCCTGACATTGTAATTATTTTGCTCTTTGGGGAATATTTTCTTAAGAATATTTAAGTTAATTTATTAAGCTTTTCTTAAGTCTCTTAGGAGACAGAGATTTTAGATTTCAGTTTTTTAAAATAAGTGCATTAATGCACATCTATAGTCCCAGTTACTCAGGAGACTGAGGCAGGAGGATCACTTGAGGTCAGGAGTTCAAGACTATAGTGTGCTGTTATTGCACCTGTGACTAGCCCCTGCTCTCCAGCCCGGGCAACATAGTGAAAGCATATCTCTAAAACAATAAAAATAATTTTAAAAAAGTAAAACCAGATGTAAACCTACTACCTAGCCCATCTCTCTCCTGGGAAAAGTATCATTTGTCTAGAGACAAAGGTATAAAAAGAATAGAAAGATGAATTTTAAAAACAGTACAATCGCTCCCTTGTAGTTTATAGAAACTCTGTCACTGCTCATTGAATAAACAGATATAAAAAATATAAAGGGCATTTAATTCAGAAACAATTTTCAGTAACAGTTGGTTATTGAGAGGTCCCCTCTCTTGGGCAGATTGCTTGAGGTCAGGAGTTCGAGACCAGCCTGGCCAACATAGCGAAACCCCATCTCTACTAAAAACACAAAAATTAGCCGGGCGTGGTGGCGCATGCCTGTAGTTCTAGCTACTCAGGAGGCTGAGGCAGGAGAATCGCTTGAACCTGGGAAGCAGAGGTTGCAGAGAGCTGAGACTGTGCCACTGCACTCCAGCCTGGGAGACAAAGCAAGACTCTGTCTCAAAAAAAAAAAAAAAAGAGGTCCCCTCTCTGCTTTCCTTAATCACCCGATGTTCTTCTAGCCACACAAGAGTATTGATCATTTTCCAAACATGGCAGCCACTTGCAAATGCCTTTGTTGATGCCATTTCTTCCATCTGGAATATGTGCCCCCTCCTCATTTTTTCCTTTACTTACCTGGTGAAATTTCCCCCACCTTTAATGCCCAGCTACTCCAAATTTAAAGGTCCTCGCTTCTCTGTTTCCGCAGTCCTTTATACATTACATCTATTGCCCTATCATTGCTTTTGAAGTCTTCCTCTCCTCTAGATTCTGAGCTTCTTAAAGTTATGAAGCCTATCTTTTTCTTTTCTTTTTTTTTTTTTTGAGACAGGGTCTCCCTCTGTTGCCCAGGCTGAAGTGCAGTGGCATGATCACAGCTCACTGCAGCCTCAATGCTCCCAGCTTAAGCCATCCTCCCATCTCAGCCTCCTGAGTATCTGGAACAACAGACACGCACCACCACATCTGGCTATTTTTTTTTTTTTTTTTGCAGAGATGGGGTCTCCTTCTCTTGCCTAAGCTGGTCTCAAACTCCAGGCCTCAAGTCATCCTCCCCGTTTGGCCTCCCAAATTGCTGGGATTACAGGCGTGAGCCACCACACCTGGCCCTATGGACCTTATCTTATTCATCTTTGTATTTCCCTGGCCCTAGCTGACTGTCTGCTTTTCATTCATTTACCAAAAATTTATTGAGCAATATGTGTTAGGCACTATTCATAGGTGCTGGAGAATTAAAAAAAAAAAAAATCCCTGCTCCATTGGAGTTCATCTAATAGTGATCAGATAGACAAATATAAATACACAACAACAAACAAGATTATTTCAAAGAATGATAAACCCTGTGGAGAAAATAAAATAGGATAAAGGCAGTAAGTGAGAATGAGGCAACTTTAGGGTGATAAGGTGAGACATCTCTGAAGGTGAGGCTTCTCTGAGGTCGTGATATTGAGCTGAGACCAGTCACAGGAAGGGTCTAGATGAACAGCATTTGACTTCTTTTTTTTTTTTTTTTTTTTAGACAGAGTCTCTCTCCCTCTGTCGCCCAGGCTGGAGGCAGTGGCAAGATCTGGGCTCACTGCAACCTCCGTCTCCCGGGCTCAAGTGATTCTACTGCCTCAGCCTCCCAAGTAGCTGGGATTATAGGTGCACATCACCACCCCTGGCTAATTTTTGTGTTTTTAGTAGAGGCGGGGTTTCACCATGTTGGCCAGGCTGGTCTCGAACTCCCGGCCTCAAGTGATCCACCCACCTCGGCCTCCCAACGTGCTGGGATTATAGGCATGAGCCACCGCACCTGGCCTAGGGGAACAGCATTTGAAGTAGAGGAGACACCACATGCACAAGTTGTAGGACAGAAACAATGGCAAGTTGCAGAACTGAAAGGGAGCCAGCGTGGAAAGTGGTCAATGAAATAAGCAGGGCCAGGCGCGGTGGCTCACGCCTGTAATCCCAGCACTGGCCAACATGGCGAGGCCCTGTCTCTACTAAAAATACAAAAATTAGCTGGGCATGGTGGTACTCGGGAGCCTGAGGCAGGAGAATTGCTTGAACTCGGGAGGCAGAGGTTGCAGTCAGCCAAGATCGCACCAATGCACTCCAGCCTTGGCAACAGAGCAAGACTTTGTCTCAAAAAAAAAAAAAAAAAGAAGTAAGCAGATGTCAGGTTATGGAGGACCTTGAAAGTCACATGAGAAGTAAGAATTTTATTCTAAGTGCAACAGGAAGGCATTGGAAAATTTTAAGCCATGATCTGAGTTTTATTTTTATTTTAATTTTATTTTTTGAGACAGGGTTTTGCTCTGTTACCTAGGCTAGAGTGCAGTAGCAGGATCATGGCTCACTGCAGTCTCAACTTCCTGGGCTCAGGTGATTCTCCCACCTCAGCTTCCTGAGTAGCTGAGACTACAGGAACATGTCACCGCGCCTGGCTAATTTTTTGTATTTTTTTGTATTATTTTTTTTTTTGGCAGAGATGAGGTTTCACCATGTTGCCCAGGCTGGTCTTGAACTCCACCAATCCTCCCACCTTGGCCTCCCAAAGTAGTAGGATTACAGGCATGAGCCACTGTGCCAGACCATGAGTTATATTTTTTAAAAAGTCACTCTGGTTGCTGTGCAGAGAACAAATTATAAAGGGGCAAGTGTGAAAACAGAGAGGCCATTTACATAGATGCTTCATTCATATTTGTTATCAAATGAGCATTTATTCATTGATCTGTTTACCCCAACATTCTGAATATATCTTTACTGTTAAAAGAAGCAAGATATACTGAGCTATTTGCTGCAGAGACTCTATATGTGCCCGGTGTGTGAATATCAGGCTTCTAGGAGATGAAAATGGGCCAGAAAGCCCCACCTATCAGGGTGTGCCCCAAGTTAGGCCAGGGATCTGAATCAGCCACATGCCCCAGATCCCGACTGGAGAACCACTGCTGAGCTGGAACATGAAAAATATTGGCACTAGAAATGATGGTGTGGGCCAGGCGCGGAGGCTCACGCCTATAATCCCAGCACTCTGGGAGGCCGAGGTGGGCGGATCACAAGGTCAAGAGATCGAGACCATCCTGGCCAACATGGTGAAACCCCGTCTCTACTAAAAATACAAAAATTAGTTGGGCGTGGTGGTGCTTGCCTGTAGTCCCAGCTACTCAGGCGACTGAGGCAGGAGACTCACTTGAACCCAGGAGGTGGAGGTTGCAGTGAGCCAAGATCGCGCCACTGCACTCCAACCTGGCAACAGAGTGAAGCTCTGTCTCAAAAAAAGAAAAAAAAGAAAAGAAATGGAGGTTTTGAGGGTTTGCAATTTAAAAAAGCACAGAAATGCAAATGACACTATTCTCTCAGGCTTTCACGCTTTCACTGTTTCTGGTCTTCAGTAGTAGCCCCCTGAACCTAGATAAAAGCAAATCTGTTGCTGAAAGTTAGTAAAACTTTTCCTTACATTCTATGAGGTCTTTCCTGGCTCAAGGCCTTTGCACACACTGTTCCTTCTGCCTGGAAGGCCTCATCCACTCCTAGCCTGATGGCTTTTACTCAGCTTAGGTGTCAGTGCCTCTGGCAGGCCTTCCTCGAACCCCCAAACCTAAGTCCAGTCTTTCCTTTCATAGAACCCTGTACTTTTCCCTCAAAGCCTCTAACATTTGTAACTTCAAATTCATTTGTGGGAGCATTTTTTAAATGCTTCTGCAAACTTGCAGCCCCCTTCAACCATCAGACTGTAAGTTCCAGGGACCCAATATATTTATTTGTTCATCATTGCCTCAGAGTGCCTGGCGCATAATATACCCTTTATAAGTAGTTACTGAGTAAGCGAATCCTGAAATTAAGCCTCTCTAAAGCAAATAGGTATAGGATTCTATTAGTCCCCTTAGCTGTGCCTTCTCTTCTAAAGTTTTAAGAACTGGCCGGGCGCAGTGGTTCACGCCTGTCATCCCAGCACTTTGGGAGGCCAAGGTGAGCGGATCACTGGAGACCAGCATGGACAACATAGTGAAACCCTGTCTCTACTAAAAATACAAAAAAAAATTAGCCAGGTGTGGTGGTACATGCCTGTAATCCCACCTACTGGAGAGGCTGAGGCACAAGAATTCCTTGAACCCAGGAGGCGGAGGTTGCAGTGAGCTGAGATCAGGCCAACCTGGGGCCCAGAGGCAGAGACTGCAGTGAACTGAGATCAGGCCAACCTGGGGCCCAGAGTGAGACTCCGTCTCAAAAAACAAAAAACAAAATAAAACAACAACAACAACAACAACAAAAACTTATCTCCATTCACATTGCCTTCAACAAGAAAGTGATTCTGGAAATAAGATAGAGTAATTCTTTGCAGTCTCATGTTTTAATCTTTTAAAGCAGTTTCTCAACCTTGGCACTATTAACATTTTGGGATGGATAATTCTTTGTTGTGGGGGATGCCCTGCTCACTGTAGAAAGTTAAGCACCATCTTTGAAAGTTAAGCACCATCTTTGGCCTCTATTCATTAGATGCCAGTAACATCAACTCCCCAAAATTGCCGGGTGCAGTGGTGCACACCTGTAGTTCTAACTACTTGGGAGGCTGAGGCAGGAGGATCACCTGAGGCCAAGAGTTCAAAGCAGCAGTGTGCTGTAGTTGTGCCTGTGAATAGTCACTGCACTCCAGCCTTGGTAACAGTGAGACCCTGTCTCTAAAAGAAAAAGCATGGTGGCTCACACCTGTAATCTCAGCACTTTGGAAGGCCGAGGTGGGCAGATCACCTGACATCAGGAGTTTGAGACCAGCCTCGTCAACATGGTGAAACCCCATCTCTACTAAAAATGCAAAAATTTGTCGGGCATGGTGGTGCATGCCTGTAATGCCAGCTACTCAGGAGGCCGAGGCAGAAGAATCGCTTGAACCCGGGAGGCAGAGGTTGCAGTAAGCCTACATTGCACCACTGCACTCCAGCCTGGGCAACAGAGTAAGACTACGTCTCAATAACATAAAACAAAATAAAATAAAATAAAAGGGAAGAAGAAAAGAAAGAGAGAAAGGGAGAAAGGGAGGGAAGGAGGAGGAAAGGAAGGAAGGAAGGAAGGAAGAAAGGAAGTCTTTAGATGTTGCCCCATGCCTGCCAATTCACCTGTGGTTGAGAACCACTGTGTTGAAGTGTGAAACTTCAGGCCTTATTCTCTTGTAGAAGAATTACATATAGAAATTCAGGTTGTTGAATGATTCCCGGGTTATAAGAGAATTCTACCAACCCAGTTGGATCAAAATAGTGCCCACCCCTATCTTGTTTCCGTAGCACTCCCTGCGTTTCCTTTGAAAAGACCATTAGTGATGGTCTAATTCAGGGAAATATTCTGATCTTGGGAAGAAAGAATGCTGGGCTGTTCTAGAAAGATGAAGGAAAGGGGTGGTGTTTCTGAGGAAACCAACGCCTCTGAGACCCCTCTGGAATTGGCAGTCCCCTACAACTTTTCTAGGGGCATGTCCCAGAGGACAGTGAAAGGGAGACAAACAGCCCATTCTGGCCTGCTTTTCAGGATCTCTCACTCCAAACAAGAAAGTCTGAGAGGCCTGGTAAAAATAAATATGGCTTAGTACTCCTGGCACAAGAGCAGTCTCTGACAGCCAAGACTTAACTCACCCTAGGGGGTGACCCAGACAGGGACTATGCACGAAGCTAGTTTCTTACCCATTGATATTCCCAGTGACTCACAGCAGCCAGGGATGACTCTGTGCACCAGAACTGTGCTGAACCGTGGAGAAGGACTTGGGATGCACATAGGAAACAGTCTCTCAAGCTGAGTCAGACAGGGACAGCCCGCCTCTCGTTTCTTCTCCAATTCCAGAAAAACAACACAAATCATGCCTCTGGAAAGGAACCTGTCCTTTGCATACAGAGTGGAAACTGTTTATAACTTCTTAATCCCCTGACATTGAAAGTATGGGGACTGCCTATCCTGGATTTCTTTGGGACAACTGTACTGGCTCTACCACAAGTCCCTAGTTTTCAGCTGGAAAAAAATATGGTCTCCAGAATCCCAAGGTCATTCCCAACAGATTTAAAAGCAAGTCTTCGGCCAGGCAGAGTGGCTCACGCCTATAATCCCAGCACTTTGGGAGGCCGAGGCGGGTGGATCACCTGAGGTCAGGAGTTCGAGACCAGCCTGACCAACATGGAGAAACTCCGTCTACGAAAAATACATTAGCCGGACGTGATGGCGCATGCCTGTAATCCCAGCTACCCTACTCGGGAGGCTGAGGCAGGAGAATCGCTTGAACCCGGGAGGCCGAGGTTGCAGTGAGCTGAGATGGCGCCATTGCACTCCAGCCTGGGCAACAAGAGTGAAACTCCGTCTCAAAAAAGAAAAAAAAAGAGCAAGTCTTCATAAGCAACATATATGAAACCCTGAGACCAACCAAACCTGCATTAGGAAATGAGAGGTGGGAAGGAGGATGCTGGGGAATCAGCCTCTACTTTTGACGTTTTTTCCTCCTTGGATTTTAGGCTGTGGTAACTGATCGAGGCCAGAAATGTTGACAGTCTTGCCTAGCCCCAAGATCATGTAAGCCTGACCTGACGCTACTGCCGCCTTCAGTCAGCAAGAAGAACTACACACCCAGAAAATGCTTCAGTAATAGTTACCATGGTGATGCTAGTTCAACCACATTGCATCTGGATAAAAATTTCAGGCAAAACGATATAGAAAACTACTGCCTAACAAGGAGTTAACACCTTACATCTTTTATGTTGTTGTTGTTGCTGTCGCAAAGTATGGTTCATGTTAGCTTTGGTAAAAGATGGTAATTTGAAGTGAAAGTACTGAAAAAAACAAGCAAGGATGAAATGTCAATGTATCCATTTAGAGAAATCTAATAACCACTTTGCACTATGCCAAATTACTTTCCCCTCAGCTAACAGGGGGCATTTGGGTCTTCCTGACTCTATTTACTGGTGAGGAAAGTGAGTTAATGAAATCCATAGATGATCCAAGCCCAAGAAATGCTGGCATATCAGCTGGGAGGGAAAAAAGCGATATACTGGGCCATCAGAAAGTTGGGCATTTGGGCAAAAGGAACAAAACAAGATTCAACCTGGAAAAATGGAAGGTGGTGAAATTAATCCGTATTATTAATATGCATTAGGGAGAGTAGACCACAAAAGGAAGGAAGACTAGAGACAAGTTTATGATTTTATGCAGTAAATCAAAAGTTAAATCTGAGGGAAGGACCTACAGACTGGGGCTGGAAGGAGGCTGAGGGCTTTGTGGGAGTGCAGCTGCCCATGAGGACTCCTTTCCTGACCCCCTCCCTTCCTTGTCAGGATCAGAAAGTCAAAGAAGGTGAAGAGGCTAACAACAGTGATTTACAAAGACAGCAAGGAGGAACTAAGTCTGTATGGGCCGAATCTGGGCCTCTGAGCTGGAGCAACAGGACCCAGACAACCATCTCAGGAAATGAGTGAATGAAAAGGGGCGGGGGGGTCGGTGAATTATTTAGCCCTAGAACAACGCTGCCTAGACCGGGGGAGGCCAGGGAGAAGAAAATCTCCGAAAAGGAATTTTGACAGTGAGAACGCCAGTTAAGATACAGCACTCCAGGCCCCCTGATGTCCCTTGTTTGATGTCAATAAAGACCCAAGAGGATTATGCATCCACAAGCCTTGCGTATTCGCAGACATCAAAAAAGTCTGGACTTGGGGCCGGTAGGCGGGGGCAGGGTCACGTCCAGGCGACTTGGGTCAGCTCAGGTGCTCGTCTGAAGCATAGAGCTGGAGTGAGCGGGGGCGAGACTTGCTGCTAGGATAATTTTTTTTTTTTAAGTTAGGGAA
Organism: Homo sapiens; assembly: GCF_000001405.40. NCBI lineage: Eukaryota > Metazoa > Chordata > Mammalia > Primates > Hominidae > Homo > Homo sapiens. The sequence continues at coordinate 46,918,808 of NC_000011.10, read as the reverse complement.
ATTTAAGCAGTAGTAATAGCGACAGGGAGGGGGCTCTCTCTCGGGCCAGGAATGTGGGGGCGGCCTGAGGAGGAGCGGGGCCCCGCGCAGGAGGCGCCGGCGGGTGGGGTCGGGGGACCAGGGAGCCGGGGCCGAGGGCGGGAAGGGGCCGGGCCGGCGCTGGGGGCGGGCCCAGGCGCGGTGGCGGTGGCCGGGGCTGCGGCGCGGGGGGCGGGGCGGTCGGGCCCGGGACACCCCCTCCCGGTCCCCTGGCGGGGCAGCGTCGGCTCTGGCAGCACTGGAGGCGGCGGCGGCCCGAGGGCGACTTGCGGGGCGCGCAGGCCGCCGTGCACCCGGGACGCTTCCCCCTCGGGGACCCTCCGCGGGCTTCTCCGCCGCGCCGTCCGGCGGGAGCCGGCGGGACCCCGGGCGAGCGGCGCGGGCGGCACCATGAGGCGGCAGTGGGGCGCGCTGCTGCTTGGCGCCCTGCTCTGCGCACACGGTAAGCGGCGCCCGCCGGGAAAGTTTGTCCCTGGGTCCGGCCGCTGCAGGACTCGCCTCCCGGGACCTGGACGGCGCGGGCCGGGGCCTGAGACCCCTCGCCCTCGCTCCTAGCCGTGGCCCTGGGGCTGCGTGCAGGGGAGAGGACCCGGAGCGGCCCCGGCTCCAGCAGTCCGAGCGGGGGCATCAGCGGAGGCGCTTCCGCGGGTTCGGGTCTGGGCCGGGGCGCGGGTCTGGGCCGGGGCGCGGGTAAGGTCCGGGGCGTTCGTTCGCTCGCCCTCCCTCGCTGCTCTTTCAAGAGCGGGGGCTGCTTCCCTTTCAGGTTAGGTCGGGGGCTCTGTGTCCTTGGTGCGAATGAATGCGTGCGAAGAAAGGGAGGCGGGTGAGGAGGGTCGCTAAACCCATAAATTGTAAATAGCCCTCCTTCCTGGGGCTGGGGGCTCGGGCGGGTTGCGGAGAGAGGCCCCGGTAGAATCTGGTACTTGGGCACCGGGATTCCTCTACTCGGAGAACGATTCCCGGACTCCAGGTCTTGCTCCCACCAAGGGGCTCTGGGGCACTGTTTGCGGGCAGCATCTCCCCTCGGCGGTGTTTCGGGGTCCCTCTCTTGGCTGCGGCCAGTCAGCTTCCAGCCCTGGATCGTCCTAAAGGGAGGTGGTTGGAAAGGGGGCTGAGGAGGAATATAGGGAAGAAACTGCTGGAAGGCTCCCGCAGATCTGCCCTGGCTGGGGTAGGGGGGCAGGGGGCCGGTAACCCTGAACCCCAGAAGGCAGCCGCCGGGCCCTCGCGGCAGGGTCCCAGCCCTCGGGGGAGCTGGACGGCTGCAGCAGGACTCCTTGGTGCCCGTACCCCCTGTTGTGTGGGACTAGGGCTCCGATGGAATCTGCTTCTCCGCGGGCTCTTAACGACCCTGGGTGCACCCCGTGATTGAGCAGCTTTCCCTAGTTTGTGCCCAGAGATCAAAGAACTTTGATCTTTGAACCCCAGCCCTATTCACCCATCGCTATTCATCGTGGCGGGAGTTCCGAGTCTCCCCATTTGCCTCGCAGCCCCGATGAAGGGAGCTGGGGCTCAGAATGGAGGGGTCTGGAGACCCTGCCTGGTCTTTTACCGGTTCTTTCTTTCACGTAGGACAGCTCGTGTGGAAAAAGTCAGTGCAGATTTCCGAACTTGCCTGGCAGGGCGTGGAGATGTCTAGGCACTCGTTTTAAAGATTGGTTTACCTCCCAAATCCAAAACAGAGTTTTCATGTCTCTTATTTAAACTACCTGTGGGTTTTCAGGGGCTTTTTTCCGCGTCCTCTCTAGCGCGGACTGAGCTCTTTCTCTCCGAAGAGCGGTAGCTTGGCCGGCCCACGTTCCGCTCCGCTCTGCGCTCTCCCCTCCCCGGCTCTCTCCTGGAAGGTTATTTGTAGCCTCTTTGGCGTGTTGGGACAGCGGCCCTACTGGGGTAGGAATGTAGCTGTTCTTCCCACCACATGGGCCCCTTAAAGGGACAGCTTTGCTTTTTGGGGGGTTTCCCCCTTCGGGTTGCAAGGAAAGGGGATGGAACTTTCCTCTCAGCCCCCTGGAGGAAGTTTTGAAAAAGATCAAGGGAAATGGCAAGGCACTGGGAAAAAAAAAAAAAATTAGGGTTAAAACGGATACCAACAAAGCCAGAGAGGAGATTGTCGCCTTCTGCCCTAGGGAAGGGGGAGCTGGAAGGTTCCGGGCTGAGACTGGCCAAGAAGATTTTACTGCTCCAGAGCTGTCAACGCTGCAAATATTACATGTGCATAGAGGATGGGGGTGAGAATGGGGGGAGAGAATTGCGTATGTCTAATGTTTCACAGAAAAAGAATGGGAGGATTCGCGGTAACGCTTTTAGGTTTCTTTCTCTTTTTTTTCTTGGAGAGGGTGTCTCACTCTGTTGCCCAGGCTGGAATGCAGTGGGGCAATCATAGCTCACTACAGCCTCGACCTCCCAAGCTCAAGTGATCTTGTCATCTCAGCCTCCTGAGTAACTGGGACTACAGGCATGCACCACCATACCCTACAAATTTTTGTTTTTTTTTCTAGAGATGGGGTTTCACCATGTTGCCAAGGCTAGTCTCCAACTCCTGGGCTCAAGTGATCCACCTGCCTCGGCCTCCCAAAGTGCTGGTATTACAGGTGTGAGCCACTGTGTCCGGCCCAGGTTTCTTTTTAAGGAAAAAAGTTTAATAGAAACGTCTAAGCATGGGAAGCTTTCTGTGCACATGTTTGTAAGGGTAGGCAGTGGGGTGAAGGTATACACATCACCTGGCCTGATACTGAGCCATCCTTGGAGGTCTGGGGGGTCAGATTCACAGTTCACCAGTAAGATTGAGCAGTTTCAGAGCCTGGAACCAGCACAACCAAAAATACCACCAAAACATCTTTTGGACTGACACTCAATTCCAGGGGCTCAGGGAGACAGCAGTTGTGATAAATGTAGTAGTAGATCCATTAGGCAGACCTGACCTCAGCAAGGCATGAATTAAAGACACTAAAGTTTAAGGTGATTTTGGGAGGCTGAGACTAGCGGATCACTTCAGGTCAGGAGTTCAAGACCAGCCTGGCCAACATGGCAAAACCCCATCTCTACTAAAAATACAAAAATTAGCCAGGCACAGTGGCACATGCCTGTAGTCCCAGCTACTCGAATGGATGAGGCAGGAGAATTGCTTGAACCTGGGAGGCAGAAGTTGCAATGAGCCAAGATCACTCCCCTGCACTCTAGCCGGGGCGACAGAGTGAGACTCTATCTTAATAAATAAATAAAGTTTAAGGTGCTTATTTGGATGCTGCTAGTCCTTGGGGCTTTTCCTAGAGCCTATTGGTTTGGACTCAGCCCACATAACTCTCCAACCTTAAAGATTTTGGAAGGAAACTTGATGGCTGGTAATAGCCCTGAGTGATTTTCATCCTGAAGTTTGAAGTAAGGGCATGGATGACAACCATTGGAAGAGTGGAAAGTGTGTTTGTTCTAGAGGTCTCATCCAGGTAAGGGAAATGTTAAAACTTCTGCCTAGGCGTGCTTGGGTAGATAGAAGGTTGTATCTGAAAATAAGTGCAGAGCAATTGAGCTGAGACTGGTCTCCTTTCCATCTCGCTGTTGTCGTGACCAGGGTTGTCATGGTGCTTGAGTGACCTTGTCCCTGATCTGTTGGGCTTGTGAAACATACTTGGCTTGTCACTGATTTTGGATTTCCTCTTCTGTACCCTGATGAATATCAGATAACATCTTTTGGACTGGCACGTGGTATTAAGAATGACAGGTGCAAGGGAACCAAGTCTGGCCATGTCTGATACAGAGCACGTTGGGTATGTCCATCTTCTGGGCCAGCAAAGAACACAGGAGGTCACAGAGGACACGGTGTTTTATAGCTCTTTGCTCACTCTTTCTACCGATTAACTGCCAGTCTTAACTGTTAGAAGGAAAATAGGAGAAATTGTTTATGTTGCTGCCCCTTTAAAGAAAAAAAAAATACTGGGGGTTCCTGAATAGGAACAGAATTTCAGGGACTACTTTAAGAAGTAATCTTGTCTTTTTTATGATTGGGTAAGATTACGAGACAGTCTGTGCCCTTGGTTGACTAGGTCTGTTAGCCTGTTCCAGCCATGGTCTCTCTACATTCCTTGATGCAGCTTAGCCACGAGTTTTGTCACAGTTGCCTGGACATGGGGCATCTGGGCCCCAGACTGTGTCTGGACTGCCATCTCATCTTCAGCAGCGGAAGCCCTCCTCCCCTCCTCAGCCTGTGAGGATTCAGTGTCCCAGGGAAGACTCAGTGCTGACTGGTTAGCTGGCAGAGCCTGAGTTTGACCTTATAAATAGTTCTGATGACTGCATGGGCTTGTCACTCTCACTCCAGCTTAGAGCTGGCAGGAATGAGTTCCTCGTACAATCGGGAGCATTCCTCAAACTAGGCTCCACACCCATTCACTTGTTCATTCATTCAGCAAACACACATATGTCAAGCATTAATATAATCACTGTATACGAAGCTCAGCAATTAAGAAGCACCCACAGACCTGGGTTTGAATCTTGGCTCTGGCAATTCTTGGTGACCCTGTGCAAAATCTCCCTGAACCTCAGGGTTGTTACCTGCAAAGGCGGGTAGGGTAGGGGAAGGGAAGTAGTAATAGATTATCACATAGGAATATCATAAAATTTACCTGAGATAATAGCATGTTCAAACTATGCAGCACAGAGCTTGGCAACTACTGTGTTACTGTAGAGCTTGATAAAAGTTAGCTGTAAGCAAAGTCACCTAAGTGGATCCGAGATGATTCTTGGCTTTAGAACATGGGAGCCAGGTAAATAATTATGCTACCGTGTTCTGTGCTAAAATTGAGACTTGGTCCTTCATTCATTGCAGCTGGTCTTTTGCTTGTCTCTTTTAAAGATCTGCCCCTTCTTTCTCCCCTTGAAAACGTGATAGAACCGAAGCATAGTTCCCACTTGTGCCCACTCCTAGAAAAGAAGTCTGCTAAGCTATAACATCAGTCTAGGGGAACTCATGTCGCCTTAGTTCTCTTGAGAGAGGTCTGGGGAAATGGAGCTTTTCCTCTGAGAGTTTCCCTTCTTAAGTGGTCAGGGATGCAGCCTAGCAACTTCTCCTGCTAAGATTCCTGTGACATGGGGTGAGAGGGGCTGGCCAGGGACTCTTGTAGCTGGAACAGTTTAGAATTCCAAGCCCTCCCTCCCATTGGCCTGAGAAAGGAGTCAGGCTCCAGAGCTCATAAGGTAGTAATTGCCCCAATTTGGGAGCTGGGCTGTTGTGGAGCCTTCGCAGCTACCATTTTCAATCAGGAAGCCTGTCAGCTTGCAGGCCTAATTGATGTGGGTCTCCAGCCCCGAATAGCCCCCAACCCCTAGTTCCTCCACCTCAAAGTTTGACCCCTGTTGTCTCTTTTGTTTCTTCTTTTTAAGTTGGTGCCAGTGATGTGATTTTTGGGAGCTGCGGAAAGTTGACCGTAACCAAGAGCAGCTGTTAAAAAGAGCCAATTCTCTAGCTTCCTGACGGTTGTCTGCCTCCATTTTCTGTTGTGCGTTTTTGATTTAGCAAGAAGCAAACATCCTAGGTGCCCTTGGGCGCCTCTTACGCCCATCCAAGCAGACTTCATTCTTTCACTGCTCGTAGGCATTCCCATTCTTGCTCACAGATGAGCGGACTGGCTGTTAGCGCTCCCTGACACCCTGTTTCCCCATGCGGAATAGGACTCCCCCATCATTCAGGTTCGAATGAGGGGAGGGGCGCTGTCTGGGACCCAACTGGGGATAGCCTGGCTGGGACTTGCTGCAAGCCCTGACTTGGCCTATGGGAGCTCCCCCTCACCTCTATGCACAGCTGAGGATCAGAGCGGCAAGCAGAGCCGGAAACAAAAGACTGGGAGCAAACCTCCCATCTAGCTGAGAGGCAGTGACACAGAGGTGCTGCTGCATAATTTATCACCGGAGGTTTTCTGGAGCCGGGAAGCTCCTGGCTCCAGGCAGTGCCTTTTTGCGGGAGAGGGACCCTCCCTCTGTCTGGGTGTAGGGCAGAGCAGGTACAGAGAAGGGTATCCAGAGAGACACCTGATTAGCATGTGAAATAAAGAAGCTGCAAGGTTGTAAGTGCCTCCAGGGATCTCTCCAAGCTCGGCAGCTCCACTTCCTGTCACGCCTTGGGGGAGGTGGGGAGGGGTAGTGGCCTGCAACCACGCGCTGGCATGGATGAGGACAAGAGACAGCTTCTCTGTTGAGTTGACTGTAGCCTCCTTCTAACCAAGTGGAGAGGCCAGGTTATGGCATCCACAAGCCTAGCAAATAGGAAAGGGGAGCCCCAGGTTTTCCACCCTCCTTCCACGGGCAGTTTAAACAATAAGTTTCAACTACAGGCTCCCAGAGCCAATAAAAGCCAACAACTCTACAATGTATCTTCCCCAAATGAGAATTTCTGCTCTTCTAGGAATGATCTCCTCCAATGACAATTTTTGCAAATTGTGGGATATGTGGATTTACAAATTGGGATATGTGGTTTAAAAAATCCAAATGTATTTCTGGAGCAGTTAGCATTTTTGAGAGCTTTGCTGTGTCCCTGGTACTGTGATAAGCATTTAGTATATGATATCATATTTATTCCTCACAATATCCTTATGAGGTAGGTAACATTAGATTCCCGTCTTACATTGGCCAGGTGCGATGGCTAACGCCTGTAATCCCAGCACTTTGGGAGGCTGGGGTGGGTGGATCACTTGACGTCAGGAGTTCGAGACCAACCTGGCCAACATGGTGAAACCCCATGTCTACTAAAAATACAAAAATTAGCTGACGTGGTGGCACATGCCTATAGTCTCAGCTACTCAGGAGGCTGAGGCTGAGGCTGAGGTGGGAGAATCGCTTGAACCTGGGAGGCAGAGGTTGCAGCGAGCCAAGACTGTGCCACTGCACTCCAGGCTGAGCGACAGAGCGAGACTCCGTCTCAAAAAAAAAAAAAAAAAAAGAAGATTCCCATCTTACAGATGGGAAACAGGCTCAGAGCAGTTTCCTGTCATACAAATAGTGAGTAACTGAGCCAGGATTCCAGGCTATCCCAGAAGATCTAGGTTGGGAAGGTCTATATTTCATCTTGGATTGACCTCTCCTCTGTTTTCAGACATCTTCTCAGGGAGTCTGAATGCATAAGGAATTACTTCTCAGGTGCTTCTTGAGGGAGAGAGACTTTATTTTTATTTATTTATTTATTTTTTTTTTTTGAGACAGGTTCTCACTCTATTGCCAAGGCTGGAGTGCAGTGGCATGATCATAGCTCACTGTAGCCTCGAACTCATGGGCTCAGGAGAAGAGAGAGACTTTAAAAGGTTTCCAGAAAAATGTGGTTTGTTGCTCCCTGAACAGCCATAAACAAATGTGGTTTGTTACTGTGTGGACCTTCTGATTTGAGATGTAGGGGGAAGGGAAAGCAATATTTTGAGCAGCCCTTCACAGAGCACAGCCATGTTTGAGCCCTGTTGGATTTGTGAAATCTGTTGACAGCTTCCAGGTAGGGCAGGTAGAATTTTGAGGATCTATACAAAGATAGCCTGGCATTGGCTACATTACTAGGTTGAGAGAGAGGACATATCCAGATGAAGATAATGGGATTAGTACAAATAACAAGAAAAACAATAACAGCTGTCTAGTATGAACCTCATACGTATTATTTCATTTAGACCTCCCAGCAACCCTATGAAATAGATACTGTTATTACTCCTGATTTACAAAAGTGGAAGCTAATCCATTTCTTAATTGCTCTGTACTTTAGTTTCTGGATTCTCTCTCCTGTCCTTGGCTCCTCAGAATTAGTTGGTGATAAATTAGGCAAAGATTTGCTGGGTGTGGTGGCTCGTGCCTGTAATCCCAGTGCTTTGGGAGGCCGAGACAGGTGGATCACTTGAGGCCAGGAGTTTGAGACCAGCCTGGTCAATGTGGAGAAACCCTGTCTCTACTCTAAAAATACAAAAATTAGCCGGGTGTGGCGGTACACACCTGTAGTCTCAGCTACCTGGGAGGCTGAGGCAGGAGAATCGCTTGAACCCGGGAGATGGAAGTTGCAGTAAGCTGAGATTGTGCCAGTGCACTGCAGTGTGGGTGACAGAACAAGACTCCACCTCAAAAAAAAAAAGGGGGCAAGGATAAAGGATACCATGTGCCTCAAGCTCTTTCAGAGAAAGGCAATAAAGCAAGACTCTGCAGTTATTCATGCCACCAACTTAACCCATGGTGGTGGTACTGCTGCCTGGTACACAGTAGGGTTTTCAAACATCTCAAGTCCTAAAATAGCAGGTCTTAATCATGGAGTGGTTGGATGTGACAGTTCTGGGGTAAGCCAAATCTTTAATAGTAATAACAAGAGCTATTATTTATTGAGCACTTAGTATGTGCCAGGCAGTAATGCTAAGTCCTTCTTATGAATTAACTAATTTATTTCTCATAACATTCCTGTAAGTTAGGGGATTTTATTATCCCAATTTTCCTGATGAGAAAATTATATATAAAGAGGTTAAATAGCTGCCCAGGGTCAGACAGCTAGGAACTTAGCAGAGTCAGGATTTTTATCCTGGGGAGTTTTGTTCCTCCGTGCTTAACATTATGTTCTTCTGCCTCATAACTTTGGAGGCTAACCATTAAGGACTTCTTTTCTGTATGTAACAGTAGCAAGAGAGGGCTGAACTTGCTTGGACCCGCAATCATGTGCCCGACATGTCCCTTTCGAAACGGGCCACTGAGGAGAAGACTTCACCTGGTAGATTTTCCAAACCAACCAAGTTAAGCTGGCCTCTAGGAATCGGGAATAAAAGGGACCATGGGACAGAAATAAGTAGAAACATGGCGTGTCAGTTTCACAGCCGGATAATACAGCTGGTGAAAGGAACTCTTGTAGGAGAAAGGAGTAAACAAAACCTGGGTAGGACAAAGAGGCTGCCTTGCAAACGAGAAGATTCCTGTTCTCTCCAGCACTGGTTAGGTAGGAAATAACTACTTTTATTTATGATATTCTGAGTCTCTTTTCCTTTGACTCCAGCTTTCACAAGATTCTAGAGGAGTGTTTCATTCATTCATTCATTCATTCAACGAACTTGTATTTATTGCTGCCAGTGGATAAAAGGAGAGAGGCATATGCTAATATGCTTTAGCATATTATAAACGAATGGTGATTCCTCCTTTTTTTTTTTTTTTTTTTTTTTTTTTTTGAGACGGAGTCTCGCTCTGTCGCCCAGGCCGGACTGCGGACTGCAGTGGCGCAATCTCGGCTCACTGCAAGCTCCGCTTCCCGGGTTCACGCCATTCTCCTGCCTCAGCCTCCCGAGTAGCTGGGACTACAGGCGCCCGCTACCGCGCCCGGCTACTTTTTGTATTTTTAGTAGAGACGGGGTTTCACCTTGTTAGCCAGGATGGTCTCGATCTCCTGACCTCATGATCCACCCGCCTCGGCCTCCCAAAGTGCTGGGATTACAGGCGTGAGCCACCGCGCCCGGCCGATTCCTCCTTTTCTCATTGTAATCCTAATAGCTTCCACACTGGGGTAGCCACCAGACTCCAGAACACTCACAGGGTACTCCTTAAGCCTTCTCATCTCTGGTTCAGCTTGAAAAAGCTGGTCTGTAGCTGTGAGTAGTCACGGTCTACCCATGTGCCTCCATGTGACAGATGTGGTCCACCTTCAGCTGTGCATTCTATGGAATGGTGGAGAGCAGTGCCGCTAGACACTTGAGTGTGCATCGGTGTCACCCGGAAAGCTTACTGAAAGTCCAGACTCTGAGATCACACTAAGAGAAGAATACTAGTTTAAGTGTCAGAATGGGGCTGCCATCCTGGCTCTCCTACTTACCTTGTGACCTTGGCCAAAGCGGGTGCCCTTACCTGTTGGATGGGCCCTGCAGTCATTGCTCAGGATTATTGTAATGATTCAATGAGAATGCAAGTGCATATGCAAAAGTAGCTCACAAACTAAAGAGAAATTGCAAAGTATAATTATTTGTTATGGGAAGCCCTGTTCCCTGGACCAACAACACTCGAGTGCTGATTCAAAAGTGCTGGGACGCCAGACTTTCCCCACTTCATTACTTTACCTTCCGGCGAGGGAAATGAATCTTTCTTTACCTTAGCAGTAACCAGAAAGAGGTCACTGTTTGAGACCCATAAACTCACTGCATATTTGCTATTGGAGAACACATAAAAGAGAGGGACCCAGAAGTTGTAAATTCCCCCTTTTGACCTTGGGGTTTTGGAGATTCTCACAACAGTAATACCATTTATTGGGAAGCAGTATAATCACCTGCCTGGGTGTGAATGCTGGCCTCAACCCTTAGTACTTGTGCAATCTATCTACAGACTTAACCTTTCTGTGGTTCATTGTCCCCAGCTGTAAAGTGGTGATAATATTAGGTTGGCGCAAAAGTAATTGCAATTTTTGTCATTAAAAGTAATGGCAAAAACCGCAATTGCTTTTGCATCAAACTAATAATAACAGTACCACCTCCTAGGGTTGTTGAGAGCCTTCAGTGATGTAGCATATGAAAAGCACTTAGAAAAGTACTCGGAGGGCACCTGGTAAGTATTTAATAAATGATGGGGCCAGGCGCAGTGGCTCACGCCTGTAATCCCAGCACTTTGGGAGGCCGAGGTGGGCGGATCATGAGGTCAGGAATTTAAGACCACCCTGGCCAACATGGTGAATCCCCGTCTCTACTAAAAATACAAAAATTGGCCAGGTGCAGTGATGGGTGCCTGTAATCCCAGCTACTCAGGAGGCTGAGGCAGGAGAATTGCTTCTCGGGAGGCGGAGGTTGCCGTAAGCTGAGATCGCGCCACTGCACTCCAGCCTGGGCAACACAGCAAGATTCCATCTCGGAAAAAAAAAAGATGGTTATATTATTATGAAGCTTTTGCTGTGTGTTAGCCCTGTGCTAAGCAGTTTATATGGGTTAATCTTTACAAAGCCCTTTGAGTTAGAACTGTTAATATTCCCATTTTATGGATGAGGAAACTGAGGCCTGGAGGGATTAACTAACTTGCTCAAAATTGCGGAATTTGTGGTAGAACCAAGATTTGAACCTTCATCTCTCTGACTTTAGAATCTATGTTGTCTACTACTAAGTTAGTGTGTCTTGTATACCAGATGGATGTTTCCCTTCTTTCCTTTATATCAGGGCTGTCCAGACTTTTGGCTTCCCTGGGCTACACTGGAAGAAGGATTGTCTTGGGCCACACATAAAATACATGAACATTAACAACAGCTGATGAGCTAAGAAAAAAGAAATCGCAAGTAATCTCATGTTTTAAGGAAGTTTACGAATTTGTGTTGGGCCACATTCAAAGCCATCCTGGGCCATGCAAGTCTCAGGTTGGACAAGCTTGCTTTATATGAAAGCCGTGAGAAAGTGGTAAGATGGCGGGAGTGGGAGAGATGAGATGTAAAAGGTAAGATTTTAGTTAACCTCTAGAGAAACATCCTATGAGCACATTAACATATATCCCAAAAGCTGGATGGCTTCATGATCAAAGATACCTTGCGGACAGACCTTTTCCATAGTGAATTGCATTAGGTGGAGGGGCTAGAGCCCAGGCCCCTGGAGGCTAAGGGAGCTTGCGATGTGGCTGGCAGCTTTCAAGGCCAGAGCATAGTGAAGTGTTCTAATTCAACACTTCTTAAAATGAAGGCTGCATTTTGCCACCCACAGTCATTTGTTTTCTTTCTTCACTCACCATTCTTTTCCTTAAAAAGGGTTAAAAGCTGCCTTTATGATCACAGCCAGGACTTGAGTGAAAAGGCAGAATTCCACCTCTGAGGACCCCAGAGGGACAGCAGTTGCCCAGAAGAGCTGGCTTTTTGGAGTATAATGTGTCTGTTTACTGTATGAATGCCCAAGTCAAGCGTTTGCCTGACCGGTGGCTGCCCGCCCTTCACTGCAGCGGACGCTGAGATGTTGATTTGACATGCAGGAAGTCGAGGCCCTTCAACTGCCTGCAACTAACTTGATGCCCACCGATGGAATGCTTTGTTCCTACAGTCTGCGCGGGGGAAATCGGGACTTCTGTTATCACTCAGCCAAAGGCGGGGGTGGGGCCCTAAAAAAACAAACGGAGCTTAAGGTTCTTCCCTACCAGTATGACTTTTCATTTGCACGCAGCCCCAGGACACTGCTCTACTTGCTCTATTCTGGTACTCTGATTCTTAATATCAAGGCCTTTTGGAAAAATTTAGCCTCCACAGCCCTGCATCTGCACAGCCCTGCATCTGCACACCCCAGCCTCCATTATTGAACATCTTTGGTGTGCCAAGGCATAAGATTAGTTTTTTCCACCTTTATTTTCTTGTCTAATCTTTGTTGCTTTTTTTTTTTTTCGAGACAGAGTCTCGCTGTGTTGCCCAGGCTGCAGTGCAGTGGCGTGATCTCTGCTCATTGCAACCTCTGCCTCCATGGTTCAAGCAATTCTTTTGCTTCAGCCTCCCAAGTAGCTGGGACTACAGGCGTGCGCCACCACGCCCAGCTAATTTTTGTATTTTTAGTAGAGACAGGTTTTCACCATGTTGGCCAGGCTGGTCTCAAACTCCTGACCTCAAGTGATCTGCCCGCCTCAGCCTCCCAAAGTGCTAGGATTATAGGCATGAGCCACCATGTTCAGCCCCTTGTGGCTTTTTTACAAACAAGAAAACTGAAGCTTAAGGGGCTACGTGACTTGCACAAGGTCAACTGGCTGGTCGATGGAACCCAAGTCTGTCTGCTCCAGGTCCAGTGCTTTGTCCTCTGCCTAACCTCCTCCTCCTATTCCCCCCTACTTCCTCTCTGTCCTTTCCACAGCTTTCATCCTGAACTCCCGTCTGGTACATCCCCACTCCCTACTGTGTGTGGTTAGCAGCATTTCTCAACCTCTGTTGATGTTTTGGGCCAGATAATTCTTTGTCATAGGGGCCTGTCTGCATGTTATAGATTTTTTTTTTTTTTTTTGAGACGGAGTTTCGCTCCTGTTGCCCAGGTTGGAGTGCAATGGCATGATCTCCCCTCACCGCAACCTCTGCCTCCTGGGTTCAAGCAATTCTCCTGCCTCAGCCTCCCAAGTAGCTGGGATTACAGGTGCCCACCACCATACCCGGCTCATTTTTGTATTTTTAGTAGAGACGGGGGTTTCACCACATTGGCCATGCTGGTCTTGAACTCCTGACCTCAGGTGATCCGCCCACCTGGGCCTCCCAAAGTGCTGGGATTACAGGCGTGTAATCCTGTATAGAATTATACACGTTATAGAGTCTTTAGCAGCATCCCTAGCTTCTACCCACCAGATGTCGGTAAGCACCGCCAAGCAGGACAACCAAAAATGTCTCCAAACATTGCTAAATGTCCTCCGGGGGACAAAATATCCCCAGTTGAGATCCTTATTAGCCTTATCCTTTTTCTTCACCATGATACCCCATGAAGGGGATCTGTGTACCGGGGAGTCCCATCACATGGAGTGGAATTAAACATCTTTGCTGTTCAATCCAGCTAGAGTTCACCAAAAGGGTGCCTACAGCTGTGCTGAGCCTGTCATACTACTGAAGTTCCTCAGGCTGTGTTGTCCAGGATCTGAGTGAGAAAAACCCTCCTCCCTTCTCAGAGTTCTCAGGCCAGAAAGGATGGAGTGGGGGCAGGGGCACCTGGGTCTTTTAGTGCTTCCTGGGGAAGAATCCTCTACCCTGCATTTGTAGAGAGACCCGAAGAGACAGGAGCACTGGGCTTGGAGCAAGGCCTTCCTGTGAGGTCTAGAGACACTGCACCTCCCAACTGGACCTCACTTGGCTTCCGCAGGAAATCCTGCATCTTTTTTTTTTTTTTTTTTTTTTTTTTTGAGACAAGGTCTCATCCTGTCACCATGGCTGGAGTGCAGTGGTGAGATCATGGCTCACTGCAGCCTCAACCTCCCGGGCTCAAGTGATTCTCCCACATCATGCTCCCAAGTAGCTGAGAGTACAGGTGTCCACCACCATGCCTGGCTAACTTTTGTAAATTTCTTTTCTGTAGAGACAGGGTTTTGCCATGTTCCCCGGGCTGGTCTCAAAACTGCTGTGCTCAAAGGATCCACCTGCCTCAGTCTCTCAAAGTGCTGATATTACAGGCATGAGCCACCGTGCCCAGCCCAATCCTGCATCTTTTCTAGAGCAGCTGATTACCATAGCATGTGGAGGGAGAGGGCCAGGCCTCAGTTGAGAATCTGGTGAAAGCTGTGATCCCTTACCCCAGAAACGTACATTATACCTGTAGCATCAGGGATTCACAGAACCCAAAAGCCATCCATCCATCCATCCATCCATCCGTCTGTCCGTCCATCCATCCATCCATCCATGCATTGCAGGCTAGGAAGTTTTACCTTATGCTTGCACTTACTCTTGGGGTTGAGATGGAGAGGGAAAGTTCTAGAGCTCTCTCCCTGCTTTTGGAGGGCATGGCAGCACACCTTTTTATCCTGGCCCTAAGCCCTAGGCTAGGCCAAGGAATTATAATGTGAGACAAGGATGTACATCAAGGAGATGAGCTGAGAGAGAAAAGCTGGACCAGGTACAGAGTATAGGAAGAGGGGTGACAATTTCGAGCTGACTCCTTCTCTGTTTCAGCCCAGCCTGAGGGCAGGGTCCAGCTGAGGGAAGGAAGAGGAGAAGAAAGGAAGGGGGAGAGATGAGCCATGCGCTGCGGCCCCCTCCTTCCCCAGCTGCGAGCAGAGCAGCCCAGCGGGTTGGATGAATGCTGGGAGGGGGGAGAGTGACCCTGGCAGAACCCTTTGTTCCAGCTGAGGCTGGAGCAGGGCACTGAGCCATTCACACGCCATCCCAGGGCATCCTGCTGGGCACGCTGGGGAGGGGGCACAGCAGCTGGTCATGGGACTTGGCCAGGCAGATAGCTCGATGCTCAATAGGGAAGCCCAGCTGCGTGCTGCTGAAGCCGGGGGAGAGGCTGCATCTGCCAGCCTTCCTCAAGGCTGTGGCCTGTGCCACAGACAGGAAGGCCCTGGCAGGTCCCAGTTACTCTGCCCTGAGGTGGCCTGGGGGACTCAGAGCAGCCCACCCTGCTTCCTGCTCCCCTGTGTGGATTCCTTATCCTAAAGAGGCTCCAGCATTTTAATTCCACCATTAGTTCTTGCCCTCCCTGGCCAACATCCCAGGGTCTGGTCCAAGACAGAGGCAGAGCGTCCATATCTCAACCTAGTTTTAGTGAGAAGGCTATGGAGGCCTCTCAACATCACCCTTTCTGTCCCTTGTTCCTCTTCTTCAAAAGCACCAAACCTCTGAGTGGCATCATTTTTTTTTGGAGGGGGTTGTTTCTTTTTTTCTTTTTTGAGACAAGGTCTTGCTCTGTTGCACCTGCTGGAGTGCAGTGGTGTGATCATAGCTCACTGCAGCCTTGACCTCCCAGGTTCAAGCAATCCTCCCACCTCAGCCTCCCAAGTAGCTGGGACTACAGGCACATGCCACTACCCTCAGCTAATTTTTTAGTTTTTTGTAGAAACAAGGTCTCACTATGTTGCCCACGATGGTCTTGAACTTCTGAGCTCAATCAATCCTCCCATCTCAGCCCCTCAAAGTGCTGTGATATAGGTATGAGCCACTGTGCCTAGCCTAGGTGGCATCATCTGTTTCTGGGCCCTTAGAGGTGCCATGCAAAAAAGCCCTGTCATAGAGCGGGTCACCTGGACTCTTTGTAAGCCCAAAGTCAGAGGGTATCTGCTGGGTCGTTTATGCCCTGGAGGAGGCATGGTTTTACTGCCTGCATCTCCCTTGAAGTGTCACTGTGACTCTCCAGGTGACAGTGCCCCTGGACTAGGCTCCTCTACTTTCCCCTCGGAATGGGCTTGGGTTGAGTGGGAGCTGAGCCCTCACTGATTCCTTTTCCCTCCGCCCAGGCCTGGCCAGCAGCCCCGAGTGTGCTTGTGGTCGGAGCCACTTCACATGTGCAGTGAGTGCTCTTGGAGAGTGTACCTGCATCCCTGCCCAGTGGCAGTGTGATGGAGACAATGACTGCGGGGACCACAGCGATGAGGATGGATGTAGTAAGTACCTCCCCAGAGGCAGTGGGAGGTGGTGGAGAGGGACCTGGGGGTGGGGGGCAAGGACAAGGCTGATGGAGTATTTTCTGCATCAACTGTGTCGGACTCAGAGAGTTGGTCTTTTGCAAGCTTGATAGATATTGACATTTGGGTAGTTTCTTCACTATATATGGCTCCAACTCTCCTGTGTTTCTTTTGGTTGGTTCATGCATATATGTCCAAGAAAACAAACTTGACAACACGTGTAAGAGAACACAACAGGGAGTTTCTTTAAATAGGTCTCTCTGTATTTATGTGAATATGTTTGTGTATATGTACCGCATATTTGTGCGTTTTAAAATTTATATACTATACACAAATGTGGATTATTTCTATGTTTCTTATTTTGGTATTTTGTACAATAAAACCTTTTTTTTTTTTTTTTTTTGATACAGAGTCTCATTCTGTTTCCCAGGCTGGAGTGCAGGGGCACAGTCTAGGCTCACTGCAACCTCCACCTCCCAGGTTCAAGTGATTCTCCTGCCTCAGCCTCCTGAGTAGCTGGGACTACAGGCATGTGCCACCATGCCCAGCTAATTTTTTGTATTTTTAGTAGAGATGAGGTTTCAACATTTTGGCCAGGCTGGTCTCGAACTCATGACTTCAAGTGATCCAGCCACCTCAGCCTCCCAAAGTGCTGGGATTACAGGCATGAACCACCACGCCCAGCCACACCTTTCTTAGTAACTTTGTAAGAAATCTTATATTTTCTTAGGCCGGGCGCAGTGGCTCATGCCTGTAATCCCAGCACTTTGGGAGGCTGAGGTGGGCAGATCACGAGGTCAGGAAATCGAGACCATCCTGGCTAATACGCTGAAACCCTGTCTCTATTAAAAATACAAAAAAATTAGCCGGGCGTGGTGGCAGGCACCTGAGGTCCCAGCTACTTGGGAGGCTGAGGCAGGAGAATGGTGTAAACCCGGGAGACAGAGCTTGCAGTGAGCCGAGATCGCGCCACTGCACTCCAGATTGGGCGACAGAGCGAGACTCCGTCTAAAAAAAAAAAAACTTATATTTTCCTTAAGTCTCCCTTTTCCCCTAGCATGGTAACATCTGCACAGTTGGCCAGGGTGACCTGTCTTGGATATATAGAAATATCCCTGCTAAGCCAATAGTCTGGATTAGAGGCGCAATCTCTGACCTACCTGTAGCATCTATGTCTGAGGGTGGCTAATTAGTCTAATGGGAACGGAGGTACAACCTGGACCTCATTAACCCTAACCAGTTCAGCTAATTGTGTTGATGATAAATGCTTCACTTTCATGTAGCATTTTCATAGGCATTATATCAAAAGGCCTCTATGAACTGAGTATAATTATCCCCATTGTACAGCCAAAAAGACTTCAGCTCAGAGAGGGTAAATGACTTGCTCAGAGTGTTACGTAATGAACTGGAAATTGAGCCCGGGTGTGTCAATCATCATTTAACAAGAGGAAAGGAGGGGAAAAAGGCGCTTCTTTCTCTTGCTCATGTTTTTCTTATGTTTTCTTAGCTCCTGTGAGTTCTTTGGGTTGTTCTTCCCCTACCCTGTGAACCCCTCACCACAATTACCTTTTGAATCTCTGTCTTAGCTGCAGTTTCTGCTTAGCTTCTCCATCAGCTGGGGATGGGCCTAGGAGTCAGTAAGGAAGGACTATAAAACAGACAAGGGGGCTGGGTGTGGTGGCTCACGCCTGTAATCCCAACAGTTTGGGAGGCCAAGGCAGGTGGATCTCTTGAGGCCAGGAGTTCGAGACTGGCCTGGCCAACATGGCGAAAACCCACCTCTACTAAAAATACACACAAAAAAAAAGATAGCTGGGTGTGGCAGCGGGCACCTGTAACACCAGCTACTCGGGAGGCTGAGGCATGAGAATTCCTTGAACCCAGGAGGCGGTGGTTGCAGTGAGCCGAGATCATACCACTGCACTCCAGCCTGGGTGACAGAGTCAGACTCTGTTTCAAAAAAAAAAAAAAGGCCAGGCGCCATGGCTCATGCCTGTAATCCCAGCACTTTGGGAGGCTGAGGCAGGCAGATCACCTGAGGTCGGGGGTTTGAGACCAGCCTGGCCAACACGACAAAACCCTGTCTCTACTAAAAATGCAAAAAACAAAAACAAAAACCAAAAAAACCTAGCCAGGTGTGGTGAAGCATGCCTGTAATCCCAGCTACTTGGGAGGCTGAGTCAGAATCGCCTGAACCAGGAGGCAGAGGTTGCAGTGAGCCAAGATTGCGCCACTGTACTCCAACCTGGGTGACAGAGTAAGACTCGGTCTCAAAAAAAGAAAAAAAGACAAGGGGATTTGGAGCAAAAGGCTATCTGGCCTAGTTGAGCCTGAGTAAGAATACCAGGTTGATTGACTTTTCTTTTCTTTTCCTGGGATTCAGTACTACCTACCTGTTCCCCTCTTGACTTTCACTGTGACAATGGCAAGTGCATCCGCCGCTCCTGGGTGTGTGACGGGGACAACGACTGTGAGGATGACTCGGATGAGCAGGACTGTCGTGAGTGTTGGCAGAGGCTGGGCGGAACTCCATTGAGTTCCACTGGGAAAGGATTTTCAATCAGAAAGCAATGCCCCAGGTCCACATGAGCCCTTGTGTTTTCAGCACTTTGTCCTGTCCTTTCACTTCCTCTCGAAGTCAGATAAGCTGCTGAGAGGCAGCCACCTCCTTCGGAGCCCTCAGGGCAGCACTGGAGCTACTTGACTGCTCCGGAGGGCTTTAAGTCAGGCTTCCAGGCACCAGACCCCCACTGCCTGCAGCAGCCTGACTGCTCTGTGCCCACAGCCCCCCGGGAGTGTGAGGAGGACGAGTTTCCCTGCCAGAATGGCTACTGCATCCGGAGTCTGTGGCACTGCGATGGTGACAATGACTGTGGCGACAACAGCGATGAGCAGTGTGGTGGGTGACCCCAACGGGGGAAGGCAGGCAAGGTGGCCAGTGGGTGGCCTGGCCATGGGAGAAGATAGCAGCAATGGCCCTAGCACTGCCAAACCTCCAACTGCCCAGATATCTGGAGCAGCTAGAGGAACGCAGAGGGGGCAGAGCCGCTCAGACCCCCCAGAAACTGTGGACCAGGAGGCTGAGGCCCAGTCTCTCCAGGGCCTCCGTTCTCCCTGGAGAGTCTGCACTGACTCTGGGGTGCCTTTCGGGGGCTAGGTCAGACCCGCCAAAGCCAGTGAGGTTGGGAGTCAGAGAGGAGGGTGAGAGGGTTGCCTGTGGGGCCCCCTCAGAACTGCTGTCCCATCGCATCCCCCCAGACATGCGCAAGTGCTCCGACAAGGAGTTCCGCTGTAGTGACGGAAGCTGCATTGCTGAGCATTGGTACTGCGACGGTGACACCGACTGCAAAGATGGCTCCGATGAGGAGAACTGTCGTGAGTGGCCCCAGACCTCAGGCTGTTGGGTTGGATGAGGGCAGACAGTTCTGCCCATTGGCTAAGGGCGAGGCTGAGGAGTGCATGTACCAAGGGCAAGGAGCATGGGTGCCTCAGCAGCAGCTCCTCCTAGGCTGAGCTAGGGAGGGAGCAAGTTCCCCAGGTGGGAAGGGAAGGCTTCCTTTGGTCCACCTGAATATGGGCGTCTATAAGGGCTGTCCCAGATGAAACCTGGTTACATCTCACTTGAAGAAGCTCTCCTGCCTGAGCATCCTGCCTGCTTGAGGAATCAGGGCCCCTCTCCTTCATCCAGGCCTGAGTGTGTGCCCCTCCCCACCCCTGCCTTCCCTCCAGCCTCAGCAGTGCCAGCGCCCCCCTGCAACCTGGAGGAGTTCCAGTGTGCCTATGGACGCTGCATCCTCGACATCTACCACTGCGATGGCGACGATGACTGTGGAGACTGGTCAGACGAGTCTGACTGCTGTGAGTACTCTGGCCAGCTGGGAGGTGGGGAGGCCAGGCTGGGAAGAACTGCTTGGGTGGCAAGGCACAGTCGCCAGCTGGGGCAGGAGTTCAGAGAGGAGTTTCTGGATTTTCTGGTCCCTCTTGGGAAGAGATGGAGGAACTGGGATTCTGGGGCTGTGGCCTTCTAGTCTGCCATGGGACACTGCACAGACTGGCTAGAGACAGAAGTCTTGTGTTTCCCTAGCCTCCCACCAGCCCTGCCGCTCTGGGGAGTTCATGTGTGACAGTGGCCTGTGCATCAATGCAGGCTGGCGCTGCGATGGTGACGCGGACTGTGATGACCAGTCTGATGAGCGCAACTGCAGTGAGTGGGGAAATGGAATTAGGTTGGGCTTGAACTAAGGAGAAGGCTTGTGGAGCCAAAGAGGCCACTACCGGCTGGGCGCGGTGGCTCATGCTTATAATGCCAGCACTTTGGGAGACCAAGGTGGGTGGATTGCTTGAGGTCAGGAGTTCAAGACCAGCCTGGGTAACATGGTTAAACCCCATCTCTACTAAAAATACAAAACTTAGCTGGGTGTGGTGGCGCATGCCTGTAATCCCAGCTACTCGGGAGGCTGAGGCAGGAGAATCGCTTGAACCTAGGAGGCAGAGGTTGCAGTGACCCGAGACGGCGTCCCTGTAGCAGAGTGAGATGACATCTCAAAAAACAAGACAATCCGGGAGGTGAGGGGCGCCTCTGCCTGGCCGCCCCTACTGGGAAGTGAGGAGCCCCTCTGCCCGGCCAGCCGCCCCATCCAGGAGGGAGGTGGGGGGGTCAGCCCCCCGCCCGGTCAGCCACCCCGTCCGGGAGGGAGGTGGGGGGGTCAGCCCCCCGCCCGGCCAGCCGCCCCGTCCGGGAGGGAGGTTGGGGGGTCAGCCCCCCGCCCGGCCAGCCGCCCCGTCCGGGAGGTGAGGGGCGCCTCTGCCCGGCCGCCCCTACTGGGAAGTGAGGAGCCCCTCTGCCAGGCCACCACCCCGTCTGGGAGGTGTACCCAACAGCTCATTGAGAACGGGCCATGATGACAATGGCGGTTTTGTGGAATAGAAAGGAGGGAAAGGTGGGGAAAAGATTGAGAAATCGGATGGTTGCCGTGTCTGTGTAGAAAGAAGTATACATGGGAGACTTTTCATTTTGTTCTGTACTAAGAAAAATTCTTCTGCCTTGGGATCCTGTTGATCTGTGACCTTACCCCCAACCCTGTGCTCTCTGAAACATGTGCTGTGTCCACTCAGGGTTAAATGGATTAAGGGCGGTGCAAGATGTGCTTTGTTAAACAGATGCTTGAAGGCCGCATGCTCGTTAAGAGTCATCACCACTCCCTAATCTCAAGTACCCAGGGACACAAACACTGCGGAAGGCCGCAGGGTCCTCTGCCTAGGAAAACCAGAGACCTTTGTTCACTTGTTTATCTGCTGACCTTCCCTCCACTATTGTCCTATGACCCTGCCAAATCCCCCTCTGCGAGAAACACCCAAGAATGATAATAAAAAAATTAAAAAATAAAAAAAAATAAAAATAAAAAAATAAAAAGAAAAAAAAAAAAAGACAAACAGGCCACTACCCATAAATCTTGAAGACACTGGGTAAGACCACCACCATGTACAGTTGTGTAGGTTGTGCACTGTGCAGAGGCAATATGTCCAAAGGGAAGCCAGTCACATAATAGATTTATATACTCATCATGGCAGTTTTCCAGCAGATGGCAGTAAAGTGTCTTGAGGAAAGGATACTTTTTTCTGATTCACACAAAGACACTATATAGACCAGCTGTGATCCCGGTGTCAAGAGTGGCATGGGTACTGATATAAGCTGCAGATTTGGGTGGCAGGGAGAATTTCAGGCTGAAATGGGGCCCACCTTTCATTAAGCCTTTGCTTTGCCCAGCCACCTCCATGTGTACGGCAGAACAGTTCCGCTGTCACTCAGGCCGCTGTGTCCGCCTGTCCTGGCGCTGTGATGGGGAGGACGACTGTGCAGACAACAGCGATGAAGAGAACTGTGAGAATACAGGTGGTGTCTCCCGGGGTGCCCCAGAACCCTTAGCCTATAGTTGGGGTGGAAGGGTGGAAAAGAGGGTGCTTTGGTATCTTTCCAGTTGGGTTGAGGTTTTACCAGTGTAAAATCCAGGTGCATCATTGACCTGCGGCCTTATGGCCTGGAGCACAGTATCAGAGCTGCGAGTTTCAATTGCCACTCCTATTCTAACTCACACACAGCCAGTGCCTTTAGCTCTGGTCTAGTGAGGAAGGACTACCCTCCATCTGGCAGCCCCCATGTGTGCTCCCCTGGCCACACCCAGTATTGAGCATGTGGTTGCACTTTTTCATTCTGTTCCATATTCCTCACCATCCCACTGTGGAGTCCTGGGGAGAAAGCAAATGCAGACATTCAGCCAGCCCTGTCTGAGCTGCTTCCTGCCCAGGACCCTCACCCTCCCACCTTGAGTCTCATCTGTCTCCAGCTTACCCTAGAAAATGACAGGCTCCCATCTCTTTGTTGGCCCAAGCCCTGCCTTGCTATGACCTGACCCTCCATCTCTCTAGGAAGCCCCCAATGTGCCTTGGACCAGTTCCTGTGTTGGAATGGGCGCTGCATTGGGCAGAGGAAGCTGTGCAACGGGGTCAACGACTGTGGTGACAACAGCGACGAAAGCCCACAGCAGAATTGCCGTGAGTGTCCCCAGTGGGCGGACCTGGCCCATGGTTTGTGGCCGAACCCCACCCATAGGGTTCAAAGGGAATCCTCCCTCAGGACTCTTGCAGCTTTGGGAGCTGTTCTTTGTGGTCCAGGTGGAATGCCAAGTTGGCTCTCTGGGGGAGGATTCTGGGCTCAACTCCCAACTCTGGCTTGGCTGGCACAGGGCCCCGGACGGGTGAGGAGAACTGCAATGTTAACAACGGTGGCTGTGCCCAGAAGTGCCAGATGGTGCGGGGGGCAGTGCAGTGTACCTGCCACACAGGCTACCGGCTCACAGAGGATGGGCACACGTGCCAAGGTGAGCTGGGGCCTGGTTTGCAGCAGAGTCGGGGTTCTGAGCAGGGGCAGCAGACAGGCAGCTGTGTTTCCTATGGGTCAGGCATTTGAACGGTGTGACCTCATTTCGTCCTCACAATAACCCTAGGAGGTGGGGATCATCCTTCCCATTTCACAGATGGGGAGACTGAAGCACAGAGAGGATAAGTAGCTTACCAAAGGCCACACAGCTGGCGAGTAGCAGAGTTGGGATTCCAGCCCAGGTCTGCATGACCTTAAAGCCCTTAACCATTTCTTCTTTTTTATTTTTTATTTTTATTTTTTTGAGATGGAGCCTCGCTCTGTCGCCCAGGCTGGAGTGCAGTGGTGCGATCTCGGCTCACTGCAGCCTCCGCCTCCTGGGTTCAAGCCATTCTCCTGCCTCAGCCTCTTGAGTAGCTGGGACTACAGGTGTGCGCCACCACGCCCGGCCGCCCTTAACCATTTCTTAGACAGCCTTCCCACTAGGCCTGGAAAGTAGATGGGGATGTGGGCAGAAAAGCAGCTCGGCAGCCTGGGAGCGGGAGTGGGAGGACGACAGAAGGGAGATCTCTTGACCTGCCTGGTGTTCCCAGATGTGAATGAATGTGCCGAGGAGGGGTATTGCAGCCAGGGCTGCACCAACAGCGAAGGGGCTTTCCAATGCTGGTGTGAAACAGGCTATGAACTACGGCCCGACCGGCGCAGCTGCAAGGCTCTGGGTAAGGGCTGTTGGCACTTGGCTGGGTGGGCAGAGGGCCGAGCATGGAGGAAGGCCAGGTACTCTGGTGCTCAGGGATTTGCAGAGAGGTAGAGAGATTTCTGTCACAGTAAAATGCAGCAACAGTTGCATTCTGAGCCCCAAGAAAAATGCTGCTGGGGTGGAGTGGGGTGGGGAGGGGTGGAGGAATATAGTTTAAAGGTTGCCACTCTTCTGGTACTGATGCTGACAGCTTGGGGCATGTCCTTGTGAGCAAGTGGCTCCATCGGTCAGCTGAAGACCTGCTGATGGGTACCAGGGGCGGCTCTGAAACCCAGTGGGTATCCCATGTTTATACTGTTTCCCAGGGCCAGAGCCTGTGCTGCTGTTCGCCAATCGCATCGACATCCGGCAGGTGCTGCCACACCGCTCTGAGTACACACTGCTGCTTAACAACCTGGAGAATGCCATTGCCCTTGATTTCCACCACCGCCGCGAGCTTGTCTTCTGGTCAGATGTCACCCTGGACCGGATCCTCCGTGCCAACCTCAACGGCAGCAACGTGGAGGAGGTTGTGTCTACTGGGCTGGAGAGCCCAGGTAGGGAACAAGGCCCCATGGAGAGGGGCAGAGCCATGCCACATGCGCAGCAACGGTGGGAGGAATAGGCCAGTGGTTTGCAAACCTTAGGCAGCAGGACATCTTTTTCTTCCAGGGAAATCTTAGTTGGAGCCCTAATATAGAAAACATTTGTTAATGTATATCAATTTTATAGGTTCAAATATAACATTTGCTCATGATTGAGCTCAATCAGTGAGAATAATGAGACCACGTTGGTGGTTGTGATCATGGGAATCAGATTTATGGATGACAGAGTTCTCCATCAGCCTTTGCATCTAGTTTATTTCTGAGTTTTGTTTCGATTGCTTAGTATTAAGAATATTCTGATTGACCTGGATAAGTATATCAAAATGTTTTATAGATTGTTAAAAAAACAGGCCAGGCACGGTGGCTCACGCCTGTAATCCCAGCACTTTGGGAGGCTGAGGTGGGCAGATCACCTGAGGTTGGGAGTTTGAGACCAGCCTGACCAACATGGAGAAACCCCATCTCTACTAAAAATACAAAAGTTAGCCGGGCGTGGTGGCGCATGCCTGTAATCCCAGCTACTTGGGAGGCTGAGGCAGGAGAATTGCTTGAACTCAGGAAGTGGAGGTTGCGGTGAGCCGAGATCACGCCATTGTACTTCAGCCTAGGCAAAACTCCGTCTCAAAAAAAAAAAAAAAATAGTTCAAGCGTGGTGGCTTACGCCTGTAATCCCAGCACTTTGGGAGGCTGAAGCAGGCGGATCACGTGAGGTCAGGAGTTTGAGACCAGCCTGGCCAACATGGCAAAACCCCATCTCTATTAAAAATACAAAAATTAGCCAGGCATGGTGGCAAATGCCTGTAATCCCAGCTACTTGGGAGGCTGAGGAAGGAGAAACTCTTGAACCCAGGAGGTGGAGGTTGCAGTGACCCGAGACTGCACCACTGCACTCCAGCCTGCGCAATGGGAGTGAGACTCCATCTCGAAACAAACAAACAAAAAACCACAGAAACAGCTCACTTGTCAATCTCAGGCTATTTTACAAATAGGTGAAGTGGTCAAATTCTAATTTGGTATCAAGCACATTGGACTCAAATGCCTAGGGAATTTCTGAAATGCCTCTGCAAAACCCCAGATGACAATTTACAAACCCCTGGGTCAGTGCAGTGGGGGACCCTGGGAATGCGTCAGGGAGACAGAATTCAGAAAGTGATGTATGGTTGACTGTGAGGAGGAAGTGCATGCCCTTGGACAGTTACTTAACTCTTTTGTGCCTCAATTTCCTCATCCTCATGGAAATTACAGTATCTAGCTCACAGAGTTGTGATGCTTAAATGAATTCATGTATCTGAAGTGATGACAATAGTGCCTGGCCCAAAAAATTGCTTCCTGTAAGAGTTTGCTCCTATTACTATGGGACATGGGGGCCTGGGTTGACTCCTTGACATTTTTTGCTGCTGCTTCTCACCAGGGGGCCTGGCTGTGGATTGGGTCCATGACAAACTCTACTGGACCGACTCAGGCACCTCGAGGATTGAGGTGGCCAATCTGGATGGGGCCCACCGGAAAGTGTTGCTGTGGCAGAACCTGGAGAAGCCCCGGGCCATTGCCTTGCATCCCATGGAGGGGTAAGTTGTATCTCAGGCTCCCGAACTTTCTTGCAACCTCTCGGGACAGCTCCCAGGCTACCTGGACTAGACATTCTGGGAGTACATCCTCAAAGTGTGGTGTAGCTGGGCGCGGTGGCTCACGCCTGTAATCCCAGCACTTTGGGAGGCCAAGGCGGGCAGATCACCTGAGGTCAGTAATTCGAGACCAGCCTGGCCAACATGGGGAAACCCCATCTCTGCAAAATACAAAAATTAGCCAGGCATGGTGGCGGGTGCTTGTAATCCCAGCTACTCGGGAGGTTGAGGCAGGAGAGTTGTTTGAACCCAGGAGGCACAGGTTACAGTGAGCTGAGATTGCGCCACTGCACTCCAGCCTGGGAGAAAGAGCAAGACTCTGTCTCGAAAAAAAAAAAAAAAAAAAGTATGATGTTAATAACATGGGCTCTGTCCCCCACACACTTGAGTCTAGGTCCTGGCTCTGTAATAACTGGCTGTGTGGCCTTGGGCCAGTTAATCTCTGTCTGCCTTGTTTACTCATTTCTAAATTGGTGATTAAAAAAAAATACCTCCATCATAGTTGTATGAAGATTAAATGAGGTGATGCATTTTAAATTGCATATAACACACATTAGATAAGTTGTAGGTGTTTCGTATTTTTATTATTAGCTCATAAGGTTGACCTAATTAATACAAATTAATAGTTATTAGTAATTCATAAGAATTGTAATTAATTATTATAGCCTAAAAATTAATAGAGGGGCCGGGCACAGTGGCTCACACCTATAATTCCAGCACTTTTGGAGACCAAGGAAGGAGGATCACTTGAGTCCAGGAGTTCAAGATCAGCCTGGGCAACATAGTGTGGCCTCATCTCTACAAAAATGTTTTCTAAATTAGCCTGGCATAGTGGCACATGCCTGTAGTCCCAGCTACGTGGGAGGCTGAGGTGCAAGGATGGCTTGAGACTGGGAGGTCGAGGTTGCAGGGAACCGTGATTGCAACAGTGACCTCCAGCCTGGGTGACAGAGTAAGACCCTGTCTCAAAAAAAGTTAAATAAATAAAATTGAGAAATCTGGTCAGGTTCAGTGGCTCATGCCTATAATCTCAGCACTTTGGGATGCTGAGGTGGGCAGATTGCTTGAGCCCAGGAGTTCAAGACCAGCTTGGGCAACATGGCAAAACCCCATCTCTATAAAAAGTACAAAAATTAGCTGGACTTATTGATGCATGCCTGTAGTCCCAACTACACAGGAGGCTGAGGTAGGAGGATCACCTGAGCCCTGGAGTTCGAGGCTGCAGTGAGCCATGATTATGGCACTGCACTCCTGGATGACAGAGTGAGACTCTGTCTCAAAAAAAATTAAATTTAAAATTCAGAAATCTGAATTAAAGAAAAACTCCTGAAATGAAGTTCTCACCTCTGGCTTTTAAAAATTCTATGCAATCAATGGAGGGAGTATCTTATAAGGTCCTACAGTATGTATCAACTGTTTTAGAAACTGTGTGTGTGTATGTGTGTGTGTCTGTGTGTGTGTGTGTGTGTGTGTGTGTGTGTGTGTGTATAAAATACAAAAGGAGCCGGGCATGGTGACTCAAGCTTGTAACCCCAGCACTTTGGGAGGCCGAGGCAGGTGGATCACTTGGGGTCAGGAGTTTGAGACCAGCCTGGCCAACATGGTGAAACCCCATCTCTACTAAAAATACAAAAATTAGCTGGGCATGGTGGCGGGTGCCTGTAATTCCAGCTACTTGGGAGGCTGAGGCAGGAGAATCACTTGGGTCCAGGAGGTGGAGGTTGCAGTGAGCTGAAATCGTGCCACTGCATTCCAGCCTGGGCAACAGAGCGAGTCTCAAAAATAAAAGAAAATAAAATACAAAAGGCAGTGGAAGAGATTGTGACAAAGAAGAAAGTGCCTGTCCTAATATTACATTATATTGTCAATTCTGTGAGACTTTTGTCTGTTTTGTTCACTGCTAGATTTCCAGTGCCTAAGATAGTATGTCCTGCCTGTTGCCAGTATGAAAAAAAAAATTATTAAATGAATAAATGCCCTGTCTAAAGACATTTAAACTCAGACACTTAAAAAGCATTCTGAGGCTGGGCATGGTGACTCATGCCTATAATCCCAGTACTTTGAAAGGACAAAGCAGGAGGATTGCTTGAGCTCAGGAGTTTGAGACCAGCTTGGGTAACATAGCAAGACCTCATCTCTACTACAAAAAAAAATTAGTTAGGTGTAGCGATACTAGCTGCTCAGAAGGCTGAAGTGGGAGGCCTTCTGAGCCCAGGAGATTGAGGCCGCAGTGAGCTGTAATCTCACCTGCCCTCCAGCCTGGGTGACAAAATGAGACCCCGTCTAAAAAAAAAATTCATTCTGTGGACCAAACATTGGAGTCCCCTGAGTTAAATGGATAAAAGCGCCCTACCTGATTATTCTCCTGGTTACCTACCTGTTTTCTGCTGCCCACTTCCCAATTTACTTTTCTCTTCCTAGTACCATTTACTGGACAGACTGGGGCAACACCCCCCGTATTGAGGCCTCCAGCATGGATGGCTCTGGACGCCGCATCATTGCCGATACCCATCTCTTCTGGCCCAATGGCCTCACCATCGACTATGCCGGGCGCCGTATGTACTGGGTGGATGCTAAGCACCATGTCATCGAGAGGGCCAATCTGGATGGGAGTCACCGTAAGGCTGTCATTAGCCAGGGTGAGCCCCTTCCTTCAGTCTCCTTCATCTCTTGTCCTCCTGCCCCCGTCCCTGCCCCCCAGGAGCCTTGGTAGAGGTTTTGTGTAGTTGCCAGGCCTGGGCCCAGGGGACATGGCAGACCACGTCCAGACTGAGGTCTTCCTGGACTTTCCCCAGGCCTCCCGCATCCCTTCGCCATCACAGTGTTTGAAGACAGCCTGTACTGGACAGACTGGCACACCAAGAGCATCAATAGCGCTAACAAATTTACGGGGAAGAACCAGGAAATCATTCGCAACAAACTCCACTTCCCTATGGACATCCACACCTTGCACCCCCAGCGCCAACCTGCAGGTAAAAAACTGCCCACCGGGTGAGCCAAAGTAGCCTCATGGTTGAGGTGGCCTCTGGTGCCTCTGAGAACCTTCCTTCCCCTTAGAGTTGCCATTTCTTCTGATGGGGAAATCCAGCAGGGCACTGACATG
Source organism: Homo sapiens (assembly GCF_000001405.40). Classification (NCBI taxonomy): domain Eukaryota; kingdom Metazoa; phylum Chordata; class Mammalia; order Primates; family Hominidae; genus Homo; species Homo sapiens. Next base: position 46,889,812 of record NC_000011.10, on the reverse strand, counting down.
GGCTAATTCCTCCCTCTGCTGGACATTCGGGGCAGTACAACAAGATTCACGAAAAGATTCATTAGACTTCACCGTTCCCATCTAATTCAGGCAGACATTTACAGGGCATCTCCTCTGTGCCGGGTACTCACTGTGCTAGCAGCAGGGGCAGATGTCAAAAATATAAGACATAGTTTCTCCCTTCAGGGAACTATCACCCTACCTAAACCCCTATTCCCTAGTCTTGGGGTCACTTTTGCAGACCTTCGCTGATCCTCTTGCCCTGGGCTCTTTGAGCAGGGAAAAACCGCTGTGGGGACAACAACGGAGGCTGCACGCACCTGTGTCTGCCCAGTGGCCAGAACTACACCTGTGCCTGCCCCACTGGCTTCCGCAAGATCAGCAGCCACGCCTGTGCCCAGAGTAAGTGGGTCTGCAACACCAGCCTCCATGGAGGCTGTTGTGAGGATGGGGAGAAGGAACAAGGGATAGGACGTGGAGGGATTGCCTGTCATGGGAAAAACCACATTCCTCAGGGAGCCCTGGAGAGGAAGAACTTAAGAGGCTGAGGGATCTTCTATCAAAGCTGAGGACTGAGGACCCAGCACTAGTGGCTGAAGGCTCAGCAATACCGCCCGGTCGAGTGTGAACACCTGCAGTGAGGCTCATGTATCATTTTACCAGGCAGGATTGCCTTCTCTATAGGCAGCAAGAGGGTTTTATGCTCTTCTAGAAAACAGGGGAATGATTTCCTACCTTTTTACCTTTAGCGTCACCCTGTTGAAGACTTTCTTTCGGCCCTTAAACCAGGAAGCCAAAATTAGAATCTCTGATGATGTTCTGTGTAAGCGGGTCCTGGATAAATATGTGTTAAACAAGTGGAAGATCATGGGATCTTCCCTGGTCTGTCCCTGAACTGCTACTTTGGCTTCCTTTGGGCTCCTTAGGAGTTATTGTTTTGAGAGGGTAACCCTGGAGAGCCCAGCACACGATGACTTTTTCTAAGAATAGTCCAGAGAGGAGCGGTCCGGGCATATGGCACGACCAGCAGGGCACCTGGGGTGATTCCTCACACATCAGCAGCTGTTCTTGTTTACTGCTGTGTACCCCACTGACCCTCTGAAATCTGGGTAAAATAAAATTCTCCTGGGACCTGGGTCCTTTCTAGAGAGTGTGGTTAGGGAAAACATTCAAAAGTTTCATTCATACACATATTAACTAAGAACCTAATTTCATTCTCTGAGTTTTCCCCTTGCATTCTTTTTTTTTTTTTTTTTTTTTTTTTGAGACAGTTTTGCTCTTGTCCAGGCTGGAGTACAATGGCACAGTCTCGGCTCACCACAACCTCCACTTCCCAGGTTCAAGCTATTCTCCTGCCTTAGCTTCCTGAATAGCTGGGATTACAAGCATGCGCCACCACACCTGGCTAATTTTGTATTTTTAGTAGGGACGGGGTTTCTCCATGTTGGTCTGGCTGGTCTCGAACTCCTGACCTCAGGTGATCCACCCACCTCAGCCTCCCAAAGTGCTGGCATTACAGGCATGAGCCACTGTGCCTGGCATTTTTTTTTTTTTTGTCCGCCTCCCGGGTTCAAGTGCTTCTCCTGCCTCAGCCTCCTGAGTAGCGGGGATTATAAGTGTGCACTACCACACCCAGCTAATTTTTGTATTTTTAGTAGAGATGAGGTTTCACCATGTTGGTCAGGCTGGTCTTGAACTCCTGACCTCATGACCTGCCCGCCTCTGCCTTCCAAAGTGTTGGGATTACAGGCATAAGCCACCGCCCCCGGCCTTTTTTTTTTTTTTTTTTTTTTTTTTTGAGACAGGGTCTTGCTCTGTCACCTAGGCTGGAGTGCAGTGGTGTAAACAGTGCTCACTGCAGCTTCGACTTCCTGGGCTTAAGCAAGCCTCCCGCCCCAGCCCCCTAAGTAGCTGGGACTACAGGCATACACTGTCACACCTGGCGAATTTTGTGGAGTTTTTTGTTTGTTTGTTTTGTTTTTGAGACAGAGTCTCACTCTGTCACCCAGGCTGGAGTGTGGCGGCATGATCTCGGCTCATTGTAACCTCCACCTCCCTGGTTCAAGCGATTCTTCTGCTTTGGGCTCCCAAGTAGCTGAGATTACAGGCACCTGCCACCATGCCTGGCTAATTTTTGTATTTTTAGTAGAGATGAGGTTTCACTATGTTGGCCAGGCTGGTCTCAAACTCCTGATCTCGTGATCTATCCACCTCAGCCTCCCAAAGTGCTGGGATTACAGGCGTGAGCCACTGTGCCCAGTGAATTTTGTATTTTTAGTAGAGACGGGGTTCCACTATGTTGCTCAGGCTGGTCTCAAACTCCTGAGCCCAAGCAATGACCCCACCTCAGCCCCTCAAAGTGCTGGGATTACAGGCATGAGCCACCATGCCTGGCCCTTTCCTCTTGCATTCTTTTGTGTCCAGCGCTTCCCCTGTTGTCTTAGTGAGATGCAAGAAGTAAAGCCCCCTGTCCCCTGACAGCTTCCCCTTAAGGATTTCCCAGCCCTAGGAAGAAGACATTTGGCAACATTAGTCAGGAAGTGCCTTTCTGGATAGAAAAGTCTACTGAGAAAGTATTCAGACTGACCAGAGGAAAGGCAGAGGATGGGGAAGAGCTGGCTGGAAGTAAACTACGTAGAGGAGTGGCCAGAGCTCTTTCTCTGGAGTCAGATCTGAGTCCTAGCTCTGGTGCTTTGTAGCCATGGGATCCTGGGCAAGTTTCTTGATCTCTATTAGCCTCAGGGTTGCTCGTCTAGAAAATGGGAATAAGAATAACACACGAGAGAGGCTTGGTGTGAGATCAAAAAAGCACCAAGCACAGTGCCTGGCAAGGAAAGTGCTCAGCTTAAGCTACTGGCTTAAAGTTGTAAAGAGGAGAGCAAGAGGAAGGGATCCAGGTGATGGAGTGGAGGGGCAGGAGCCCTGACACAGTCATGAACATCAGGGAAGTAGGGGTCAGGGGTTGGCAGTGGGCAAGCCAGGACACCAGAAGAGGTGGAGAAAAGTAAGAAGAGAGAAAAGTTGAGATGAAGCCGACAGATGCTTAAACAGCATGCACTTCTGGGACCTTAGTAGAGTCTGTTTCCATTTGATTTAGAAGTCTGATTCTGCTAGCATGGCAGTGCTTAAAAGAAGCCTGAGGTATAAAGTATAGGGGGCAAAGGGCACCAGATCCCAGGAAGTGTGATTGAACCAGATGTCACGCAGGTGAGCGTCTGTGTCTGTCACTGTTCTTGGATTTAGAGCATTAAAAGAAGACCCCTTTCGGCCTTTGATCAGGTCTTGACAAGTTCCTGCTTTTTGCCCGAAGGATGGACATCCGTCGAATCAGCTTTGACACAGAGGACCTGTCTGATGATGTCATCCCACTGGCTGACGTGCGCAGTGCTGTGGCCCTTGACTGGGACTCCCGGGATGACCACGTGTACTGGACAGATGTCAGCACTGATACCATCAGCAGGGCCAAGTGGGATGGAACAGGACAGGAGGTAGGGCCCAGCGTGGGGAGGTTGAAGGGTGGAATCCACCCTCTCCAGGGAAGGGCTTCCCATACCTTTGCCAACCTTGAGAATTGGTGGAGTTTGGGCTCCAGAACTAGAGTGGAAGTACAGTTGGTGATACAGCTTTGCTTCCTGCCCAGGTGGTAGTGGATACCAGTTTGGAGAGCCCAGCTGGCCTGGCCATTGATTGGGTCACCAACAAACTGTACTGGACAGATGCAGGTATGCATAGGGGAGCCGTGGCCTGCCTGGCTCCCTGGGATTCCTCTTGTTTAAAACCCTGGCCTCAGATAGAAGGAGCCCAGTGTCTCTCCTGGACCACTTCTGTCTTCACTTCAAGTCCTTGGTAGGTCAGAAGCCGGAGGGCTGCTGCAGAGCCGAAGTGAGAAGCTCCCACGTGAGAAGCTCACATTGTGGCAGCTGCTTCTGCTGTGTAGCTGATGCTGGGGAGTGTTTTAAGGCATTTCAGATCATGAACCTATGCCTTGTTTTCTTTCCATCGCTTTCTGGGTAAATCAGCCTTTTTTTTTTTTTTTTTTTGAGGCGGAGTCTTGCTCTGTCGCCAGGCTGGAGTGCAGTGGTGCGATCTCGGCTCACTGCAAGCTCCGCCTCCCGGGTTCATGCTGTTTTCTCCTGCCTCAGCCTCCCAAGTAGCTGGGACTACAGGCGTGCACCACCATGCCCGGCTAAGTTTTTGTATTTTAGTAGAGACGGGGTTTCACCATGTTGGCCAGGATGGTCTTGATCTCCTGACCTGGTGATCCACCCGCCTTAGCCTCCCAAAGTGCTGGGATTACAGGTGTGAGCCACCGCGCCTAGCCAAATCAGGCATTTTTAATTAGCCAGGTGGGTTTGGGAGGCAAGGGGATACCCTGAACAAGTGCTACTCAGAGCGTGGTTGCTGGACCACAGAGGCTGATGACAACCTTGCCTCCTCTGCGTGGCAGCATCAGCATCATCTGGGAAGTTGTTGGACATGCAGATTCTTGGGCCCCACCCTAGACTTACTGAATCAGGGCTGGGCATGGTGGCTCACACCTATAATCCTAGCGCTTTGGGGGACCAGGGCAAGATCTCTTGAGCTTAGGAGTTCAAGATCAGCCTGGGAAATATAGCAAGACCCCCACACGCATACACACATCCCCAATTTTTTTTTTTAATTAGCCTGGTGTAATGGCACATACCTGTAGTCCCAGCTACTTGGGAGGCTGAAGTGGGAGGATTGCTTGAATCCGGGAGTTCAAGGCTGCAGTGAGCCATGATCACACCACTGCATGCCAATCTAGGCAACAGAGCAAGAGCCTGTCTCCAAAAAACAAAAGTCAAGACTTACTGAATCAGAATCTTTGGGGGTTAGTGAGCATGAAATGGACTAGAATTTTTTTTTCTTTTTTAAATTTTGAGATGGAGTCTCGCTCTGCTGCCCAGGCTGGAGTGCAGCGGCGCAATCTCAGCTCACTGCAACCTCCACCTCCCTGGGTTCAAAGGATTCTTCTGCCTCAGCCTCCCGAGTAGCTGGGATTACAGGCGTGCACTACCACACCCAGCTAATTTTTTTTTTTTTTTTTTTTTTTTTGAGACGGAGTCTCACTCTGTCCCCCAGGCTGGAGTGCTGTGGCACGATCTCGGCTCACTGCAAGCTCCGCCTCCCAGGTTCACGCCATTCTCCTGCCTCAGCCTCCCAAGTAGCTGGGACTACAGGTGCCCGCCACGACGCCTGGCTAATTTTTTGTATTTTTTAGTAGAGACGGGGTTTCACCATGTTAGCCAGGATGGTCTCGATCTCCTAATCTCGTGATCCACCCGCCTCGGCCTCCCAAACTGCTGGGATTACAGGTGTGAGCCACTGCGCCCGGCCAATTTTTGTATTTTTAGTAGAGACGGGGTTTTACCATGTTGGTCAGGCTGGTCTTGAACTCCTGACCTCATGATCCACTTGCCTCGGCCTCTCAAAGTGCTGGGATTACAGGCGTGAGCCACCACGCCCGGCTGAATATTTTTATTTTAAAAAAAATCTTTGGGTGTTAGGTTCAGAAATCTGTGTTTTAACAAGCTCTCCTGATTCTTACGCACACTAAAGTTTGAGAATCATCGCCTTAAATTATGGTTGCCTATGTTTGGGAAGTCTTGCTCTTTCAAGAAATCCAACTGATCACATCCTTGAATTTCTTCTTGCAGTTCAAGTCACTAAATTTCCGTTGTGCATCTGTCACAAAATATCTTTTGAGCCCCTACTCTGTGCTCTGCTGGCGCATACCAGGCTCTTGTGTTGGCCATGGAAGGTAAGAGGGTGAATGAACAAGACTAGAATTAATCTCTGTATCCCTTCTTGATAGGTACAGACCGGATTGAAGTAGCCAACACAGATGGCAGCATGAGAACAGTACTCATCTGGGAGAACCTTGATCGTCCTCGGGACATCGTGGTGGAACCCATGGGCGGGTGAGTGGCTGCCCCTTGGGAATGAGCTCCATCCACCCCTCCCAAGATCTGAGCTCCAGAGAGGAGTCTAAAGATTAGGAAGAGTGACCAGATCTTATGGATATGCCCAAGGAAGCAAGAGCAGCTGTAGAAACCAGAGGCTGGTTGCCAAGACCAGCTCTGTCGGGGAGACCCTAACCCAGTGGTGCTAGAGGAATTAAAGATACACACACAGAACTATAGAGGTGTGAAGTAAGAAATCAGGGGTCTCACAGCCTTCAGAACTGAGAGCCCCCAACAGAGATTTACCCACATATTTATTAACAGCAAGCCAGTCATTAGCATTGTTTCTATAGATATTAACTAAAAGTATCCCTTATGGGAAATGAAGGGGTGGGCCGAATTAAAGAAATAGGTTGGGCTAGTTAAATGCAGCAGGAGCATGTCCTAAGGCACAGATAGCTCATGCTATTGTTTATGGCTTAAAAATGCCTTTAAGCAGTTTTCCTGCCCTGGGCAGGCCAGGTGTTCCTTGCCCTCATTCGGGTAAACCCACAACCTTCCAGTGTGGGCGTTATGGCCATCATGAACATGTCACAGTGCTGCAGAGATTTTGCTTATGGCCAGTTTTGGGGGCCAGTTTATGGCCAAATTTTGGGGGGCTTGTTCCCAACAGCTGGTGACAACTTTGTATTCTCTGTGGACAAGGAAACTTTTCAATTCTTTCTTTCCTTATCTTTTTTTTATTGTTGGTTTACTTGCAAAAGTAACTCATTGTTAAAAAAATTTAAATCTGTAGAAAGTAAAAATTCTCTGTGATCTCACTCTCCAGCAATAAGTTAACAGTTCAGGATATTTTTTTCCAGGTTTTCTTCTAAATGTATGTAAACATTTGTTGTTGGTGGTGATGGTTTTGGTTTTACAAAAATAGCATACTTTTTGTGACTTTTTTTCTGCTTGCCCTTATATCTTGTGTGTCTTTCCAGTTGAGTGTATAGATCTACCTTGTTTTTGTTGTTGTTGTTTGTTTGTTTTGAGACAGGGTCTTGCTCTGTGGCCCAGGATGGAGTGCAGTGGTGCAAATCACGGCTCACTGCAGCCTCAACCTCCTGGGCTCAAGCAATCCTCCTGCCTCAGCCTCCCAAGTAGCTGGGACTGCAGGCACAGACCACAATGCCTAGCTAATTTTTACAGTTTTTTTTTGTAGAGATGGGGTCTTGCTATGTTGTCTAGGCTGGTGTCAAACTTCTGAGCTAAAGCAATCGTCCTGCTTCAGCCTCCCAAAGTGTTGGGATTACAGGTGTGAGCCACTGCACCTGGCCTATGTTGTTCTTACTGGTTTTATAGAGTTCTGTTAACTTATTTAACCCATCCAGTCAAGAAACATTTCTCTTTTTGTTTTTTTCTTTTTTTTTTGAAACAGAGTCTCACTTGTTGCCCAGGCTGGAGTGCAGTGGCCCAGTCATGGCTCACTGCAGCCTTGACCTCCTGGATTCAAATGATCCTCCTATCTCAGCCTCTCAAGTAGCTGGGACCACAGATGTGCACCACCATATCTGGCCCTTTTTTTTTGGTAGAGATGGGATCCTACTATGTTGCCCAGGCTGGTCTCAAACTTCTGGGCTCAAGTGATACTCTCAGCCTCCCAAAGTGCTGAGATTATAGGCATGAACCATGGCGCCTGGCCAAGGAAATGTTTCTTATTCATTTTCACCCCTCCTCTTTCTTTATTCCCATGTACACTTTATTTGTGGAGTTTTGCTTAAGCTGTGGGCTCTGCTTTTATTAAGACTCTGTACCTTTTGATAGTAATAGAAGACAAGGCATTCAGAGATAGTGCTGAGCCCAGAGCTGGGCTGGACACTGATGCAGGAGGCTGAGGCTGATGAGGATCTGCTTCAGGCAGAAACCCTGAAATCCTAGGTACTCTGAGTCCCTGCTGGATATTAACTAGCTTGTAAGACCTGCCTTGCCTTGCCTTTGCCCAGGTACATGTATTGGACTGACTGGGGTGCGAGCCCCAAGATTGAACGAGCTGGCATGGATGCCTCAGGCCGCCAAGTCATTATCTCTTCTAATCTGACCTGGCCTAATGGGTTAGCTATTGATTATGGGTCCCAGCGTCTATACTGGGCTGACGCCGGCATGAAGACAATTGAATTTGCTGGACTGGATGGCAGTAAGAGGAAGGTAAGGGTGGCAGTAAGAGGAAGGTAAGGGTGGCACTAAAACATCTTCCCACAGCCTTGACAGCCTCCAGGACAGTACTTTTTGGCTGGCAGCTGATTGGAGATAAGGGGATCTGGAGGTTATGGGACCAGCATGGGGCATGTGCTGTTTCTCTGAGGCTGTAGGTGCTGTCCAGAGCTTGGGGGCAGGGGTGGGAAAGGGCTGCTGGTTGATGATGAAAAGAAACTAGGGACTTGTGTGGATTGTGAGCTGGGGGTGTAAATGCACAGAATTTCCTGTTAACCAGCACAACTAATGCTTGTTAAATTACCAGTTGCACTGTGGGCCTGTGATTCATCTCTTTTTGTTTTTGTTTTGGTATAATTTCAAACTTACAGAAAAGTTGCAAGAACAGGTAAAAAGAATAAATAAAATTTTGCCACATTTGCTTTATCATTCTGTTTCTGTACACACTCACTATTATTTTTTGGAACTGTCTGAAATTAGAGTGGAGACAGCCTGCCCTTGACTCCAGACTATTCCTGTGCACATTTCCTAAAAGCAAGGATGTTGTCTTACATCACCACAGTACAATGATCAAAATCAGGAAATCTAACATTGATCCAATATTACTGTCTTTTTTTTTTTTTTTTTTTTTTTTTTTGGTTTTTTAGAGGCAGGGTCATGCTGTGTCACCCAGGCTGGAGTGCAGTGGCACAATATTGGGTCACTGCACCCTCGACCTACTAGGATCCTGAGTAGCTGAGACTACACGCATGAGCCATAACGCCTGGCTAGTTTTTTTCTTTTTTTTTGGTAGAGACTTCCTGTATTACCCAGGCTAGTCTCAAACTTCTGGCCTCAAACGATCCTTCTGCCTCAGCCTCCCAAAGTGTTGGGATTATAGGCACGAGCCACCATGCCCGGCCCAATATTACTGTCTAATCATAGTCCTTGCCCAATTTCACTACCAATTGCCTCAGTGATGTCCTTTATAGCTCCTCCCACCCCACTTTTTTTCTTTGTTAATCTAGGATCCAATCAGGATCACCCATTGTGTTTAGTAATTACGTCTCTTTTAATTTTTATTTATTTATTTATTTTTAGACACTCACTCCGTGGCCCAGGCAGGAGTGTAGTGCCACAAACATGGCCCACTGTAACTGCGACCTCCTGGCCCAAGGGATCCTCCCACGTAGCTGGGACCACAGGCACCTACTACTGCACCCTAGCTACTCAGGAGCCTACGGGTTTGAGGCCACTCGGCTGATTTTTTTATTTTTTGTAGAGATGGGGGTCTCACTTTGTTGTCTAGGCTAGTCTTGAACTCCTAGGCTCAAGCAATCCTCCTGCTTTGACCTCCCAAAGTGTTGGGTTTATAGGCATGAGCCACCACACATAGCTTTTTTTTTTTTTTTTTTTGAGACTGCAGTCTTGGTGTGTTGCCCATGCTGACCTGGGCTCAGGTGATCCTCCCATCTGAGGCTCCTGAGTAGCTGGAGCTGTGCGCCACCGGGCCCAACTAATCTAGTCTCTTTACTCTCTAATCTGGAACATTTCCTCAGCTTTTCTGTGACTTTATTGACATTTGCATTTTTTGTTTGTTTGTTTTGTTTTGAGACAAGAGTCTTGCTCTGTCGCCCAGACTGGCGTGCAATGGTGCGATCTCAGCTCACTGCAATCTCTGTCTCCCGGGTTCAAGCAATTCTCCTGCCTCAGCCTCCCAAGTAGCTGGGATTATAGGCACCCGCTACCACGCCCAGCTAATTTTTGTATTTTTAGTAGAGACAGGGTTTCGCCATGTTGGCCAGGCTAGTCTCGAACTCCTGACCTCAGGTGATCTGCCCACCTGGACCTCCCAAAGTGGACATTTGCATTTTTAAAGAGTAAAGGCCAGTTATTTTTTATAATGTCTCTCAACTTGGATTTATCTAATGTTTCCTTGTGATTGGATTCAGAGTGTGCATTTGCAGCAGGAATACTACACTAAGTGAAGTCATGTCCTTGAGTTCTCAGTGTGTCTCATCAGTAGACACAGGTGTTGGCCTGTTCCGTTATTGTGATACTTACTGCCATTGTATGGTTAAGGTAGTGTCCACTGTAAAGTTGCTATTTTTTAATTTTGTACTTAATAAGTAATTTGTCCAGAGATACTTTGAGATGATGTGAGTAATAGATGACTTCCAACATCTTCCAATAAAACCATCACACGACCCTTAGAGCCAGGCATGATCAAGTCACAGATTGATAGAGCAAGGCTCAGAGAGATTTTATAAGTAGCTCTTACTGGAGGTCACCCAGTAGGTGTTAGTGGGAGAGCTGCTTTCTGAGTCCACAGTGAGCTCTTTGCCACTGCTCTGTACTGTCAGACTTTGTTGAAGATGACACAGTGTTGGGGCCCTGGCAGGTGCTGATTGGAAGCCAGCTCCCCCACCCATTTGGGCTGACCCTCTATGGAGAGCGCATCTATTGGACTGACTGGCAGACCAAGAGCATACAGAGCGCTGACCGGCTGACAGGGCTGGACCGGGAGACTCTGCAGGAGAACCTGGAAAACCTAATGGACATCCATGTCTTCCACCGCCGCCGGCCCCCAGGTGAGCAGCCCTTGGCTCGCATTGGCTTCTCCGTGGCCCTCCTATGCCCTAGCTCTCCCCATTGAACATCCCCTCCTCTCTACCCAGTGTCTACACCATGTGCTATGGAGAATGGCGGCTGTAGCCACCTGTGTCTTAGGTCCCCAAATCCAAGCGGATTCAGCTGTACCTGCCCCACAGGCATCAACCTGCTGTCTGATGGCAAGACCTGCTCACCAGGTGAGTGAAAGCATCACAGATCTAGATGCAGCCTCTCTGGGAGGGGGCAATGGCTCTCTTCCTTCCTTGCAGATGGGCTCCAATGTGGTCTGAGAAACCATGAGTCCTGCTGCTTCTAGAGGCCCAGGGGAGAGACTCACGGCTTTTAGAAAAGGGGACGGGCCTGGGGAGAGGCCCTGGGGAGCAAGTAGAAAGGACTGGAGGCAGGGTCCAACTAGTTCTTATGATGTCTTCATGCATATTAGATAAAGATGCTCCTTTCTCAAGACACTTTCCTCTCATCTCTTAGTACATTGTCATAATATACTGATTTGGTTGGAATAAGACACTTCTGGCTGGGCACGGTGGCTCATGCCTGTAATCCTAGCACTTTGGGAGGCCAAGGCAGGCAAATCACTAGAGGTCAGGAGTTCAAGACCAACCTGGCCAACATGGTGAAACCTCGTCTCTACTGAAAATACAAAAATTAGCCAGGCATGGTGGCGCGTAATCCCAGCTACTTGGGAGGCTAAGGCAGAAGAATTGCTTGAACCTGGGAGGTGAAGGTTGCAGTGAGCAGAGATCACGCCACTGCACTCCAGCCTGGGTGACAGAGTGAGACTCTGTCTCAAAAAAAAAAAAAAAAAAAAAAAGACACTTCTAACTGCCCAAAATTGGTATAATAAAAACAGAAATGTATGATATCTACAATGTCACAGTACCCTCCTCCTTAGATGTGCCACTTTTGTGAGTGCACAACCTATGTGACAACCTTATTGGAGGGTCCCAGAAGCAGTACCTGGCTACCCAGATGTCGGAAGTCAAGGCTTCTCCCTAGGAGATGCTGCAGGGTAGGCTGCATTTGAACTCTAACCTCCCTGGGAATTTGAGTGAGAAAGGAGCTGTGAACTGTGCCTCTCAGGTTGTGAGTAAAGCCCCCTGGGGTCCCTTTATTCCCTTTCTTTTTTTCTCTTTCTTAATCTTCATGGTAAAGGGTCCTTCAAAGAGAGCCACTTTCATAATATTAATAAAGAGGCATTATTTATGAATATGTGTGAGACCTAATGGTAAGTGCTTTATGTACATGATCTTTTAACCCTTACAGCCACCCCATTATTGTCCCCATTTTATAGATAAGAAAACTGAGGCCTAATAATTTAAGCTGAGAGTAGTGGCTCATGCCTGTAATCCCAGCACTTTAGGAGGCTGAGGTGGGCAGAGGCTTGAGCCCAGGAGTTTCAGACCAGCCTGGGCAATATGACGAAACCCCATCTCTACAAAAAAATACAAAAATTAGCTGGGCATGGTGGTGTGTGCCTGTAGTCCCAGCTACTCAGGGGGCTGAGGTGGGAGGATCGCTTGAGCTCAGGAGGTCAAGGCTGCAGTAAGCCATGATCATGCCAGTGCACTCCAGCCTGGGCGACACAGCAAGACCCTGTCTCAAAAAATAATAATAATTTAAATAACTTGCCTAGAATAACATAGCTAGAAACTAGCAGGGACAGGGCATGAGTTTCAGTTTGCCTGATTCCAAATCCATTTAATGGCTGTGCTCGAGTGATCCTCTTCCCTCCTCTCCACCTGGCAGGCATGAACAGTTTCCTCATCTTCGCCAGGAGGATAGACATTCGCATGGTCTCCCTGGACATCCCTTATTTTGCTGATGTGGTGGTACCAATCAACATTACCATGAAGAACACCATTGCCATTGGAGTAGACCCCCAGGAAGGTCTGTATGGCCCTCTCTTCCCACCTGGCCTTCTGTCCCTGCCCTTCAACAATTACTGTCTTTCCTCTCCCACCACCTTTGTCTCCTGCCAAGAGCCAGGGTGTTTGTTCCCCATTCCCTCTGGCATAGCCCCTGTCCCTGTCTCTCTAGCACTCTCTCTTTGGTTGTGAGAGCATGGTTTGGGGCCCTCTTCTCTCCGTCTCTGCCAAGAGCTATCCTGCTATGATATTTCTGCGTTTTCCTTGATTTCCTCTGCTAGAGGCTCCAGAGCTCTCTGACATGCTCTGGTGTTTCAAGACATGAATCAGCTGTGTGTGTCCCATTGTAGGCGGTGAGGGTCTAGGTTGAGCCAAGCTTTCCCTCTCCAGGAAAGGTGTACTGGTCTGACAGCACACTGCACAGGATCAGTCGTGCCAATCTGGATGGCTCACAGCATGAGGACATCATCACCACAGGTGGGCCTTCCTCCTAGCCCAGGGACCACCTGTCTGGCAACAGGGCTGGGGAAATAGCCCATCTGTTTTAAAATAGGAGCCAGTGTGCTCTTTTGACTTCCCACAGGGCTACAGACCACAGATGGGCTCGCGGTTGATGCCATTGGCCGGAAAGTATACTGGACAGACACGGGAACAAACCGGATTGAAGTGGGCAACCTGGACGGGTCCATGCGGAAAGTGTTGGTGTGGCAGAACCTTGACAGTCCCCGGGCCATCGTACTGTACCATGAGATGGGGTGAGAGCTGGCTGTATCGCACTGGGTAGTGTGGGGGGCCAGCTCAGCTGGGGTTATGACGGGGTAAAGGTGGGTAGTGGAGAGGAAGCTTGCATCACAGAAACAAGGTGACCTCCCTGGGGCTCTTCCACTCTCTTGTGACTTCTCGCAGGGTGACAGTACAGTGTAGAAGTTAAAAGCATGAGCCTTGAATCAGAATACCAGGATTGAAATGTTTTCATCATGTATTAGCTATATCACTTGGGTCCGGTATTTAACCTCTCTAATTCTCAGCTTCCTTACCTATTAAATGGAGGTGGTAGTGAAAATACATACCTTGTGGCCCTTATGAAGGTTGAGATAATGCACATGAAGTATTTTGCAAAGTACTTTGTCAAGCAAAAATTTTGCCTGACATACTGTAAGTACTCAAGTGTATCTGACATACTGTTAAGTATTCATGGTATGTGGTAGCTGCTGGAATAACTAGCTAATATAGCTAATATTCTTCCTCACTCAGGTTTATGTACTGGACAGACTGGGGGGAGAATGCCAAGTTAGAGCGGTCCGGAATGGATGGCTCAGACCGCGCGGTGCTCATCAACAACAACCTAGGATGGCCCAATGGACTGACTGTGGACAAGGCCAGCTCCCAACTGCTATGGGCCGATGCCCACACCGAGGTGAGAGCCGTGTCCCTGCTGCTTCCCAGGAGCCTGGGAAGATGGGAAAGGCCTGCCTAGGATCTCCATGGAGAGTTCCCAATCTGCTGATCACCACCCCCCACCCTCTCCTTCCTCTGCAGCGAATTGAGGCTGCTGACCTGAATGGTGCCAATCGGCATACATTGGTGTCACCGGTGCAGCACCCATATGGCCTCACCCTGCTCGACTCCTATATCTACTGGACTGACTGGCAGACTCGGAGCATCCACCGTGCTGACAAGGGTACTGGCAGCAATGTCATCCTCGTGAGGTCCAACCTGCCAGGCCTCATGGACATGCAGGCTGTGGACCGGGCACAGCCACTAGGTGAGAGTCAGAGGGCTGGGGCTGTGAGTCAGAGCCTCTGGCTTTCTGGGGCCATCTCAACATCAGAGATATATCCAGAGCACAGAGCTCCTTTACAGCCAGAAAGACGGTGACCTGTTTAAGCTCCCTTCCAGATTGGGCTGTGTTCTCTCTGGGTATGGCTGGTACTACAGCTGTCACCTTCAAAGGACTCCTGGAGATCCTCCTGCAGACCCTCCTTCTACCTCACCCTGCCAGGCACTGAATCCTGTCACTTAGAACAGCAAAGAGCCAGCCACAAACAACTGGGACCTTTGTAAGATTCAGATGATGTTCCAGGCTAGGTGTGAATACTTGTGCTTCTCATCACCAGGTTTTAACAAGTGCGGCTCGAGAAATGGCGGCTGCTCCCACCTCTGCTTGCCTCGGCCTTCTGGCTTCTCCTGTGCCTGCCCCACTGGCATCCAGCTGAAGGGAGATGGGAAGACCTGTGATCCCTCTCCTGAGACCTACCTGCTCTTCTCCAGCCGTGGCTCCATCCGGCGTATCTCACTGGACACCAGTGACCACACCGATGTGCATGTCCCTGTTCCTGAGCTCAACAATGTCATCTCCCTGGACTATGACAGCGTGGATGGAAAGGTCTATTACACAGATGTGTTCCTGGATGTTATCAGGTATGAGCAACACTGAAACCTCCAGAAGACACAGATTTGCTTCTGGTCGCCCATGGGTGAGGTTGTGTTCTGACCACTAAATGGATGAGTGATTTGGCACTTTGGATAGTGAGTTTTAATCCTGACTTGTTCACTTTGTAGTGTTGTCACTTACAGCAGAGTTTCAAACTTTCATTTGTTTAGAGATTATATGGAAGCCTAGTATGTAAAACAAACAACAACAACAAAAAAAACAGGTAAAGTCAGGGGACCTGGAGACTTTCACATCTACCATTGTGCCCTGAGGGAGCTCCAAGAATCCCCTAGGACTTACTGATGAGTAGGCCATATAACCAGTATCTGTATTGCAGTAAAGGAGCCCCAATCAAATGCCAAGTCTTATGGTGGTTTACAAAGCTGTTGTTTTTTATTTTTTCGTTGTTTTATTTTTAGTCTTTAAATTTGTGGCCCTAACACAGCTTAGGAATATGATGTCCTGCCACCAGTAAGAGTGGTTTACCATGGCAGATATTCTCACATGGAGGAACAGGGAACATTCCCCTTTGCTCTCCCCAAGGGATGTATTAGAATCTCAAACTGGGGACAGGTAGGCATATACAGTTTAGGGAAGTCCCCTAGGTGACAGTGACATGCTCCCCATTCTGAGGTAGAGTTCCCTCCTGCCCATAGGGCCTTTGCAAAAGTGCACAATTAGGGTCTGGCGTGGTAGCTCGCGCCTATAATCCCAGCACTTTGGGAGGCCAAGGCGGGAAGATTGCTTGAGCCCAGGAGTTCAAGACCAGCCTAGGCAACATAATGAAACCTCATATCTACTTGTATTTAAAATTGTTTTTAACTTTTAAAAAATGCACAGGTTGGTTTTGACAAATCTGCGTTTCTTATCATCACCACCTAGCAATCCTTGTCTCTTCCCAAAGGTATGTGGGGAATGATAAACTTGTCTTCTAGCAAGACATCCCCTGGCAACCGCCACTATGTCCAGTTAGCAGGAAATACTGTGTCCTCCTAAGAACTGGTTCCTTCATTCTGCAATTATTTTATTGAACATCTATCATGCTGGGTGCTGAGGAATGTACTCATAGATACCTGGTCTCTATCCCTGTGGAGCTTACAGTTCAGTGGGGTCCAGTTATGGGAACATGGGTTAAAGTTCTACTCTATTCTGGGTCAGTCTGGTTGCTCATCCAACACTGGGCTCTCCCCAAGGCGAGCAGACCTGAACGGCAGCAACATGGAGACAGTGATCGGGCGAGGGCTGAAGACCACTGACGGGCTGGCAGTGGACTGGGTGGCCAGGAACCTGTACTGGACAGACACAGGTCGAAATACCATTGAGGCGTCCAGGCTGGATGGTTCCTGCCGCAAAGTACTGATCAACAATAGCCTGGATGAGCCCCGGGCCATTGCTGTTTTCCCCAGGAAGGGGTAAGTTTATGGCCAGCAGAAGAGAGATCCAGGGAAGAAGGGCTGGGTGGAAAGATGGTGTTAGTGGGTCCTCTGTGTTCTCTCAACCTCTGGGTGCTGTCTTCCCATGCCTTGATGATGATGGCACTGTTGTGTCTCAGGTACCTCTTCTGGACAGACTGGGGCCACATTGCCAAGATCGAACGGGCAAACTTGGATGGTTCTGAGCGGAAGGTCCTCATCAACACAGACCTGGGTTGGCCCAATGGCCTTACCCTGGACTATGATACCCGCAGGTGGGAGTCTTGCATCAAACAGCCTCCTGGAAATCGGGTGGGCAGAAGAGAGAATGGTTGAGATTAACCTTGGAAAAATGAAAAGATAGAAAGCTTCTTGGTATGTGGGGAAGAGGAATCATTGAGAAGGATAAGGGAATATATTCTTAGAGCAGCGATTGCTAAATCCAGCCCTCAACCCTTATGTGGGTTTTGTTTGGCTGGTTTACATGTTCCTAATTTGAGTGCCTTTGGCAGAGCATGTCTTCTGGCTGGACCACAGGTCTCACACCCCTACTCATTTAAGGGCTGATTCTTATATTTGTTATAATATAACAAATCCTGATCCCTTCAGGCTCTGGAACTTTGTTGTTGTTGAGACAGCATCTTGCTCTGTTGCCCAGGCTGGAGTGCAGTGGCGCAGTCACAGCTCTCTGCAGCCTGAACCTCCCTGGCTCAAGCCATCTTCTTACCTCAGCCTCTCAAGTAGCAGGGACTATAGGCACATGCCACCATGCCCAGCTAATTTCTAAATTTTTTGTAGAGACAGCATCTCGCTATGTTGCCCAGGCTGGTCTCGAACTCCTGGACTCAAGCAATCCTACTGCCTTGGCTTCCCAAAGTGCTGGGATTTCAGGCATGAGCCACCACGCCCGACCCAGGCTCCGGAATGTACAACTCCTTGTCTAGATAAGAAATGCTAAGGGCAGGGGGAAGGGGCTCTAAAGCAGTCTGTGCCCCCTTCTGATCCAAAAGAAGGGGAAGGGAATCCAAGACTTCTGGAAAGGTGGTAGAATGCCTTCTTCTTTTAACCTCAGCAAGGTCCATGTAGACTGGGCTCACTTCCTTTTTTGTTGTTGTTGTTGAGACAGAGTCTAACTCTTTTGCCCAGGCTGGAGTGCAGTCGCACGATCTCGGCTCACTGCAACCTCCGCCTCCTGGGTTTAAGCCATTCTCGTGCCGCAGCCTCCCAAGTAGCTAGGATTACAGGCACGTGTCACCACGCCTGGCTAATTTTTGTATTTTAGCAGAGACGGGGTTTCACCATGTTGGCCAGGCTGATCTCGAACTCCTGACCTCAAGTGATCCCCCGCCTCGGCCTCCCAAAGTGCTGGGATTACAAGCGTGAGCCACCATGCCCGGCCGAGTGAGCTCTCTTCTTAAAGACCATTTGTAAGAAATTGGGCTTTGATTATTGGGTAGGAGTCAAAGGGCAATCAAATTCCTGAAGATGAGGCTGGGTGGTGGTTCCTCTGAGGTCACTAGACTTTCTATGCCTCCCCAGAGCAGCCCTGACCTCCCCACTCATGAACCACCAGCTCCCTTCTTCAGCTTTGGGACTCACAATGACCCCTCATCGAGGGTGCTTCTTGAGTTCTCATAGCATCTGCCAGTCAGCTCAGGAGGGGACAAACAGGTTCATAGGGGGAAGAGCTGGGCTCCCTGGCAAGCGTTTGGAGCAGCCACTCTTTTCATTTTCTTCGCAGGATCTACTGGGTGGATGCGCATCTGGACCGGATCGAGAGTGCTGACCTCAATGGGAAACTGCGGCAGGTCTTGGTCAGCCATGTGTCCCACCCCTTTGCCCTCACACAGGTACTGGCTCAGGAGAGAGGTAACTAAACCTCCTTGACTGGGATGTTTCTTTGGGGTTCTAAGTCAGCAGTCTCAGCTATAGCTGCTACTGAACAGACGTGCTATTGCAGCTCATTTTAGGGATTTTTCCTGTGCCCTGAAGCCTTGGTAGGTTGGTAGGGCCACCGAGTGCCTTGCTACTCTTATCCTGCCATTCCCATGTTCTAGCATTCAAAGGAGTGGCTCTCAAAGAGTGGTATACAGAATCCGATATGGTGCTTGTTAAAATGCAGGTTCCTAGGCCCTGACTATAGAGATTATAGAGAAGCTGCTTCATGAGGGCTGGGCACAGTAAAATACATTTTGACAAGTTCCCCAGTTAATCCTAATGCTGCGGTCCCAGCATCTGGGCATAGGGAGCTCACTTAGTGGCAACAGGGTGGAGTGGCTAAAAGCCAGAGTTTTGAGGCATCTAGCCAGTTTGTAAGTATTTAATGAGTACCATCAATTTGCCAGGTACCTGGATTCAAGTTCTATCTGTATTATTAAATAACTGTGTAACTTTGAACTAGAGTGACTGAACCTCTCTCAGCTTCAGTTATCTATAAAATAAATCAGCCTAATAATAGTATCCTCCTGAAATAGACACAAAGCATTAGCATAGTACCTGGCACACAGTAAGCACCACATACATGTTATCGCTACCCATTTTAATTATTATTAGCTGTCACTTTTGAGTTCTAACACAAAAAATAATTTGGGCCAGGAAAAGAAGATCTACCAAGCCTGAGGCCAACAGGAATTCTCGATCATTTAAAAATCTTGGCCAGGTGTAGTGGCTTATGCCTGTAATCACAGCACTCTGGCTGAGGCCAGAGTATCACTTGAGCCCAAGAGTTTGAGACCAGACTGGGCAACATGGCGAGACCCTATCTCTATAAAATTTTTTGTTAAATTAGCCAGGTGTGCTGGTACACACCTGTAGTCTCAGCTACTCAGGAGGCTGAGGCAGGAGGATCGCTTGAGCCCAGGAGGTCGAGCTGCAGTGAGCTACATTTGTACCACTGTGCTCCAACTTGGGCAACAGAGCAAGATGCTATCTCAGAGAGGAGAGTCAGAGAAAGAGAGACAGAAAGGAAAGAAGAAAGGAAAGAAAAGAAAGAGAAATAAATTTGACCCTTTTTTGCCAAATATTGTCAACTCTGTCTGTATTCTATATTATGTCCCACTAGCCAAAAAGCATTTTTTTTGTTTGTTTTGTTGTTGTTGTTGTTTTTAAGATGGAGTCTTGCTGTGTCGCCCAGGCTGGAGTGCGGTGGTGTGATCTCAGCTCACTGCAACCTCCGCTTCCTAGATTCAAGCAATTCTCCTGCCTCAGCCTCCCGAGTAGGTGGGATTACAGGCATGTGCCACCACACCTGGTGAATTTTTTTTTTTTTTGAGATGGAGTCTCGCTCTGTCACCCAGGCTGGAGTGCAGTGGTGCGATCTTGGCTCACTACAACCCCCACCTCCTGGGTTCAAGTGACTCTCCTGCCTCAGCCTCCTGAGTAGCTGGGATTACAGGTGCGTGCCACCATACCCAGCTAATTTTTGTATTTTTAGTAGAGACAGGGTTTCACCATGTTGGTCAGGCTGGTTTCGAACTCCTGACCTCATGATCGCCCACCTTGGCCTCCCAAAGTGCTGGGATTACAGGCATGAGCCACCGCACCTGGCCTAGCCAAAAAGATTTTATCTGGTTTTACTTAATGATAGTCTTTTTTTTTCATATTCTAAATGTAAAACTACAGGGTACTACTGCATATAGGTTTTTCAGTCTACAGGTTTCCCCACAGTTTCTGATATATACCCTTGGATGAGGATGAGAACACCTTCATTGCCCCTCCCTCCCCTTGATTGAGAATTTCACCATCATTGCTTTAGAAGAAAGCTGCCTACAGAAGTAAAGAGAGGATTTGGGGCAGTGCTCTGAGCAAAGGGCCCAGAGGAACAGGAACCTATAAGAACCTTCAAATTTCCTCCTATTTGCTAGAGAGGGAGTCATTCAATCAACTAAATGGGGACTGAGTGTTAGGTGCTAGAATTCAGAGATGAATAGAACACATTCTTGTCCTTGAAGAACTAAACTGGTAGGATGGACAGACCAGTAAACAAATTGCTTGAGTGTAAAAATGTACTTGGGCAAGTGACTATAAGGTGCAGAACTGTATAGAGGAGAGAATGGTGAAGTCTATATGGATTTGGGGAGATTTCCTTGACAATGTCATGTCTGTTGATGCACAGAAATGAGGAAGAGATGAAGAGGGCATTTCAGCAGAGGCAGTGGCACATGGTGAGGCACAGAAGCTGTACAGGAAGGAGTCTGCTTGCTGAATAATATTTACTGTTTTTGGGCTTCCCCTGTTGAGTAGCAAGACAGGTGGATCTACTGGACAGACTGGCAGACCAAGTCAATCCAGCGTGTTGACAAATACTCAGGCCGGAACAAGGAGACAGTGCTGGCAAATGTGGAAGGACTCATGGATATCATCGTGGTTTCCCCTCAGCGGCAGACAGGTGGGCTCCCGGGTACTGAGCCTGCTTCCTTAACATCTGTGGGATTGGTCGGTCAACCCAAGGACTGTTAGGGACCAAGACAGTTAGGGCCACAAGAGAGCTTCTTGGTTCACATTTTAAACGCTTAGAACTTTTTACTCCCTCGCGGTTGTATCTCTCCTCCTCCCCTGTCCCTGGGAGTAGGGTAATCCTGGATTTCCTCTGTTTTTGAGAAGCCTTAAATTGGGAGACCTGATTCTGTCCCAGATAAGACATTCATCTACTTTGCCTCCAGGGACCAATGCCTGTGGTGTGAACAATGGTGGCTGCACCCACCTCTGCTTTGCCAGAGCCTCGGACTTCGTATGTGCCTGTCCTGACGAACCTGATAGCCGGCCCTGCTCCCTTGGTGAGTTGGACTGTAT
Organism: Homo sapiens; assembly: GCF_000001405.40. Taxonomy (NCBI): domain Eukaryota; kingdom Metazoa; phylum Chordata; class Mammalia; order Primates; family Hominidae; genus Homo; species Homo sapiens. Next base: position 46,868,583 of record NC_000011.10, on the reverse strand, counting down.
GGCTGGAGCCACTCGGCAGAGCCCCTGGAAGGGCTGAGAGTCAGCAGCCTCTGATACTGGTCTGATCTGTCCTTCTGGGTGGGATCCCCATAAAGAAGGTCTTATTAGTGGAGTGATTGGTAGCAGTCTGCTTGGGTTTTGGGAATTGCTCAAACCTGGGTTTGTCTGCCCTCTGGCATTTGCAGGAACAGAATTCAGGTCTCTTGATTCCCAGGTCCCTGCTGTGGGATAATCAGTGGCCTGTGCATCACTCTCTCTTCCTGACTGGTGAGCCAGCTGTCCCATCCAGAGCTATTATTATTGAATCCAACTCCTTTTTATTGATAGTATTAAGAAGGGCTACTAATGAAGGTGCCTGGGACTAGGGCAGCTAAAAGATTGTTTTGTCAAGTTCTCCAGCTGCTACTCTTGGGCCATATGTAGATGTTTATGGTTCCAGTGGCCCACTCCAATCCTCTTTTTTGTCTAGTGCCTGGCCTGGTACCACCAGCTCCTAGGGCTACTGGCATGAGTGAAAAGAGCCCAGTGCTACCCAACACACCACCTACCACCTTGTATTCTTCAACCACCCGGACCCGCACGTCTCTGGAGGAGGTGGAAGGAAGGTAAATAGGTTCAATGCAGGATCATGGGCCCTTTGATTCAAATCACCATCCCATGACCAACTCATAGTCCCAGCTTGATAAGGCAGTTGGGAGATAGATTATGTCAGGAGCTACCAGTCCCTGTTATTTGGGACAGAAGGTGATATTCAGACTTGTAGATTGTTACAAGTGATTCCCTTTTTAGCTCTGAGGGCAAGAAGCTTTAAGAACAACTTTAAGGCTGGGTGTGGTGGCTCACGCCTGTAATCCCAGCACTTTGGGAGGCTGAGGCGGGTGGATCACTTGAGGTCGGGAGTTGGAGACCAGCCTGCCCAACATGGAGAAACCCCGTTTCCACTAAAAATACAAAATTAGCTGAGCGTGGTGGCACATGCCTGTAATCCCAGCTACTCTGGAGGCTGAGACAGGAGAATCACTTGAACCCAGGAGGCGGAGGTTGCGGTGAGCCGAGATCGCGCCATTACACTCCAGCCTGGGCAACAAAGAGCGAAACTCCATCTCAAAAACAAAACAAAACAAAATAAAACAACAAAAAAAAGAACAACTTTAAACAGAAATCACTTAGGAGGACCCTCCCACGTGGTATTCCTCCTTCTTCTCTCTGTGACATTTGCTCTCACATCATAGGTTTGGCATATTGGCTTGTCCAACAGTAGTCTCTGGGCTGTGGCTTTATGACTTGGAACAAAAAGGTTTCCCCAGAGATATGATGGCCTTAGCTTATAATGTCATGTGCACCCCCCCGCAACACACACACACACACAAACACCATTATGAAATAAGCAAGCATAAACACGAACAGTTCTCAAATCAAGTATAAAGTATCTTATTTCATTAAATTAAAGGTGCTATTCATTATAAAATGCTTCCTGATTTGAGAAATTAAACTGAAAAGATAACCAACAGCAAATGTGAAATGCTATTGATTGTAAGTCACATGCCTGTTTAAGAGATGGTAGGCCATAGAAAAAACAAACATCTTAAAATTGATTAAATATGATGTTACATTCAATTCAGAGACATTCTTTTTTTTCTTTTTTCTTTTTTTTTCTTGAGACAGGATCTCACTCTGTCACCCAGGCTGGAGTGCAGTAGCATGAACACAGCTCAAGCTCACTGCACCCTCGACCTCCTGGTTTCATGTGATCCTCCTACTTCAGCCACCCAGGTAGCCGGGACTATAAATGTGTGCCACTATGCCTGGCTAATTTTTTGTACTTTTTGTAGAGATGGGGCTTCACCATGTTGCCCAGGCTGGTTTTAAACTTCTGGGCTCAAGTGATCCACCCGCCTAGGCATCCCAAAGTGCTGGCATTACAGATGTGAGACACTGCACCTGGCAAAAAATTCTAATGACTGTGTTTTCCATTTATATTTTATAAAAAATAATCTGGGCCAGGCGCAGTGGCTCATACCTGTAATCCCAGCACTTTGGGAGGCCAAGGTGGGCAGATCACATGAGTCCAGGAATTCAAGACAAGCCTGGGTAACATAGTGAGATCCTATCTCTACAAAAAAGTTTTTTTTTAATTAGCCAGGCATGGTGGCCCATGCCTGTAGTCCCAGCTACTTGGGAGGCTGAGGTTGGGAGGATTGCTTGAGCCCAGGTTTAGGCTGCAGTGAGCTGTGATTGTGCCACTGCACACCAGCCTGGGTGACAGACTGAGACCCTGTCTCAAAAAAAAAACAAAAAACAAAAAATAAATAAATAAATAATCTGGAAATACATATGTGAATAAAGAAGAAGGGAATATCCTATACCTATATATAATTTACTCTTAATGTTTTGATGTCTATCTTTTCTAGACATTTTTCTAATTAGAACAGTTTTTTTTTTTTTCCACTGCAACATACTGGTCTCTTTATTTTTAATATCATCAGTAGCTTACAAGGTAGTTAACACTTGATTTCAATTCTGAAAGCAGAAACATAATAATGATCCCAAATAAAAACTTTAGACTCAATGTCCCTAAAGTTACAAGATTTGCACATGATCAAATTCATATGCTGTGTGCCCCCATTCTCTGTTTTTACTACAGTTTGTAAAGAAAAGGAAACACCCAGGTATAAACATGTGCCTTTCTCACTAACTTTTAAGTACTATCAGTCATTATTACTCTCGGATTTTCTTTAGGTTTATTTAGAAAACTTTTGACCCCGCTCGGACCTTTTCTTATTGTCAGAGTTCTATTTGAAAATTCAGTGCATCTTGGTTCCAAATGCTCTTGCAAGTAGCTTTCCTCTGGCTGTTTAGGAGATGCCTTTGATTGCCTGCTCATAATGTACCACAAAGAAGTCACCTTCTGAGCATTTCAAGTTAGTTATCTGAGCACTCCCTCTGGATGTCTTGCATATTCCCTTGTGAAAGAATGAAGAGAAGAAAAACATTTTTTGACCTTGGGATATTTAGCTCTTGTGATAATTTTTATCCAATCAGATTGGCTTGGCTAGCAGCTGCTTCTGACTCATCCTGGTAGTTTAAGAAAGCCTAATATTGATGTCCTTAGTATTCTTTCTGCAGACTTCCAACTCACTCCCAAACCTGCTTCTCATTTTTAAAGGTACATATTTTATAACACACTTAAACATGGTATAACGGCTTGAAAACAGTGCCTTGCACGGATTTCTCTCCATTTCCTGTTGTTGCCCTCTCCATGCTTCTGATGTCTTCCATCTTGTACATTCTCATACCTGAAAGCCCCCACTTACAGGCCTTTCCCCCTTTCCTGGAGGAAGGCATGACCTTCACTGAGTATGAGTAGGCTTCACATCCAGTTTTCTGTGCCCCACAGATGCTCTGAAAGGGATGCCAGGCTGGGCCTCTGTGCACGTTCCAATGACGCTGTTCCTGCTGCTCCAGGTAAGCCCTGAGTACCCCACTGTTCCGGAAAAGAAGATGTAATGAATCTAAGTCTCCACTGATATCTTTCATAACCTTCATTGGGACTCTGGGGTTGATGAACTCTTTTTAAACTAAGTCCATAGAAATAATAATCATAATAGCTCTCACCACTTACAGTGACAGCTTATGGTATGCTTTCCGTATGCCAGGCATGTGATAAGCCATATATATGCCACATTATATGTGTGTGCACATGCATATATACATACTCTCATGTAATTTCCTCCAGTCCTATGAGCAATTTATTATTTACATTTAACTAAAGAGAAAATGTAGGCTTACAAGTTAAGCATCTTGCCTTATGTCAGATAGCTAGGAAGTGGTCGAAATGGGATCAGAGATGCTGGCAGAGTGACAGATTTCTTCTCAGCCTCCTCCCTGCACCTCCCATTTACCTATCTGAAAAGGAGGCCCTTAGCCATCCTCAGATGGTATGGGGTCCAACACCTACAAAAGGAGCCTTTCAGCTTTCCATTCCTCACACCAGCACCGCTAGAAAGTTGTCGGTGGCCCCTGCCTAGTGTTTCTCTATTCTTCCTAGGGGAAGGACTTCATATCAGCTACGCCATTGGTGGACTCCTCAGTATTCTGCTGATTTTGGTGGTGATTGCAGCTTTGATGCTGTACAGGTAACTTCAGTCTTGCTACAGGGGCCACATGCTCATTGGTCTTCATGAGCATGTCTGGGATCTCCCGAAGCTCTGCAGTTCACTGAATCAAGCTCTGACCAGCCTTATTGCAAGGTTGGGTGCCTGGTCAGGGCAGCAGAAGGAAAGGGTGGAAACCTAAATACTTACTCTTCTCCAGTCACAGCCTAAGCATTTTCCTTATTGAATGACTGTAACAACCCTTCGGATTTTCTTTATAGACTAGGATGCTGAGTGCACAGAGGATATTACCCAAGGTCACAAAGTAAGAGGCAAATCTAAGACTGACTCTTAACATCTTTGCTTTTTCCAGTACTCCCTGCTTCAAACCACTGAAATTGGAAATGATTTTCCCCTTATACAAACACAGCCTTTTACTACAATATTGGTTTGTACATCTTTGCTCAGTAGCAATCATTCTGGAAAGGTAGAATGTGTCATTTATAATCTTTTTATGTCCCTCTTTCTTTATATTTTCCCCCAAATGCTTTAAACGTAGCTTACAGTTTGCTGCTGTTGTTCTTCATCATCATCATCGTAACAGTTACCATTAATGGATATATATCAATGTCATGACAACCTCGTAACACAGGTATTATTATTCCTCACTTTACAGATGAGGATCTGAGGCTCAGAAAGTTTATTTTTTTTAATTTTTGTCTTATTTTTTTGAGATAGAGTCTCACTCTGTTGCCCAGGCTGGAGTGCAGTGGTGCAATCTTGGCTCTCTGCAACCTCTGCCTCCTGGATTCAAGCAATTCTTGTGCCTCAGCCTCCCAAGTAGCTAGAACTACAAGCATGCACCACCATGCCCAGCTAATTTTTTTTTTTTTTTTTTTTTTTTTGTATTTTTAGTAGAGAGAGGGTTTCTTCCATGTTGGTCAGGCTGGTCTCGAACTCCTGGCCTTGTGTGATCTGCCCACCTCAGCCTCTCTAAGTGCCAAGATTACAGGTGTGAGCCACCGCACCCAGCCAGAGAGTTTAGATTATATCTATCAAGGTCCCAGCTAATAAATCACAGAGGTGGAATTGAAACAGATCTGTCTGACTCTAAAGCTCAGTGCATCAGTTCTCCATTGCTGCATAACAAATTACCCGAAAACTTAGTGACTTAAAATGACAACCATTATCTCACAGTTTCTATGGGTCAGAAATCTGGATGCAGCTTAGCTAGGTGCCTCTGCCTCAAGGTGTCTCACAGACTGCAATCCAGATATCAGCTGGGGTTACAGTCTCATCTCAAGGTTTGACCGGGGAAGGATCCCCTTCCACACTCACTCACATAGTTGTTGGTAGGATTCAGCTCCTCATAGGCTGTTGGCTGGAGGCCTTCCTCATTAGTTTCTTGCCTTGTGGGCCTCTCCATAGGACAACTTACAACATGGCAGGTTGCTTCTCCCAGAGCAAGAGCAAAAGAGAATGAGGGAGGGCAACTCAAGACCAGAACCAGTTTCTTGGTAACCTAATCTAGTAGCCATCACATTTGCATAATCTTTTCATTAGAAGTAAGTCACCAGAACAGTCCACACTCAAGGGGAGGGGATTCTTAAGGGCATGAGTACCAGGAAGTGGGAGTCACTGGGATCATCTTAGAGGCTGCCTACCAGACTCAGTTTACAGCTTTCCCAGGTATCATCCCCTTAAAGATCTCGACTAATTTCTCATCACCTTCCCTCCTAAAGACACAAAAAATCCAAGTTCACTGATCCTGGAATGGGGAACCTCACCTACAGCAACCCCTCCTACCGAACATCCACACAGGAAGTGAAGATTGAAGCAATCCCCAAACCAGCCATGTACAACCAGCTGTGCTATAAGAAAGAGGTAAAAATTGAAATTTATATTCAAGGGTCTTTTTGGCGAGGTGTGGGGAGGGATTTTACTCCAAATGCCCAAATAAGTCAGTAACGGCTGCTGAGTAATCCCATCTACCATTTTGGAAGTTATAGTGAACAGAAGAACTGAATGTAATTTGGGTTTCTGGGAAGTTCTAGAATCTCTGAGGGATTAGTTTGAGGGACCTTAGTGAGAGCCAGGTTAGAAGGCAGATCTCAGAAGATTTAGGTCTGAAAGCAGTTGCCCTGCCATGAGATATTTTTCCAAGCTTATAGGTTCTTTCCCTCCAGGAACTGTCATTCCCCTGCAAAAGGCTATGTGCTTCTGAAACAAGGGAGCTCTCCCAGACAACACCCAAAAAACCCAAGAGCTCCTGGACTCGCCCATTACTAACCTCCAGTCCAAGCTAGTAGCACCTATGGTTGGGAATGGCTTGTTTTTCACTATTCTTCCTCTTATCACAAAAATTTCTCTAGAATTCTGAAGGTTTACCTGCTTTTGCTTTTTTTTTTTTTTTTTTTTTTTGAGACAGAGTTTCGCTCTTGTTGCCCAGGCTGGAGTGCAATGGCACGATCTCAGCTCACTGCAACCTCCACCTCCCGGGTTCAAGTGATTCTCCTGCCTCAGCCTCCCGGGTAACTGGGATTACAGGCATGCGCCACCATGCCCGGCTAATTTTGTATTTTTAGTAGAGACAGGGTTTCTCCATGTTGACCAGGCTGGTCTTGAACTCCTGACCTCAGGTGATCCACCTGCCTCGGCCTCCCAAAGTGCTGGGATTACAGGCGTGAGCCACTGCGCCCAGCCTGCTTTTGTTTGTTTGTTTTTTTTTAACTTCTTTGTCACTTCAATGGAAAATTATTTGCTCAATGTGAAGGCATGAAAAATAGTCCCATTTCAATGAGCTGGTTGTGGTGGCTTGTGCCTGTAGTCCCAGCTACACAGGAGGCTGAGGTAGGAGGATCACTTGAGCTCAGGAGTTGGAGGCTGCAGTGAGCTGTGATCATGCCACTACCCTCCAGCCTGGGTGACAATGAGACCCTGTCTCAAAAAAAAAAAAAAAAAAAAAAGTCCCATTTCCACAAGGAAACTAACTATACCTGGTATTTCAGATTTTCCTAATCCAATATAAGCCTTGTTTTTTTCCTAAAATCCTGTAACTCTTCATCAGAAGTTATTCCTTATGAAGATCCTCATCAGTCTACTTCTTTGGCCTATCTAGCACAGTCAGAACCTGCTCTCACACCTGCAGGGCTCTCATGTGTAATAAACACATTTCACATAATAATCATGTGCTTTCTGGATCCATGAATTCCCGTATTTAAATAGCTTCCACTACTTCTGGTTCAAGTTGGTGTTTGAAAAAAAAAATTGAAATTAAAAATTTTTTAAAAGCTTCTACTGCAGTCAAAACAGAATGTGCAGGGATGGCTTGTAGTTCTAGGAATGGTAGACCCCTCCCCAATATCTTTGAGAGAAAGACTCTTGAAGATTCTTGGGTTCCTGGAGTATCTGATGCTCCAGAAAAGAACCACAATGAAGGCCACAGGATAGCAATGAAAATAGTGTGACCTCTTTCTTCTGTTGTGTGTTTCTTCCTCAGCAGCTCTTTCACCCCTCTGATAGTCTTTCACCTTTTCTCTTCTGATTTCCTCTTGATTTCAGGTACCTGTTGCTGTGTGTTTGTAGAGGGAGTGGTGTTTCCCAAATTGCAAGTGCCATATCCCCCACCTCTCCCTAACTTACCCAGCGTGTCTCTTAATTAAGACATTGAGTGGTCTGCATCTTATACTAATTTCATCTTGGAGGGTGTGCTGGGTGAACAGACATCTGTGTGTTTGCTTGTGTGCTATGTCCCACTCTGCATGGCTGAGGGGACTGTCACTCTCAGAGGGCAGGGACCATGTTTTATATTGTATAATCATCAAAGCACCTAGCACAGTCTTCTGCTTAACATAGGGGCTCAGTAAATATCTGTGGAATTGAATTGTTACAAAAATAGAGCCACAGCCACAGTTGCAGAACTCTTGGCAGGAATACTATCCCAGGGACAGAACCCAAGATGATCCATTTTCTTCTAGCAGTGGTGGTATGTCGGTTGGTATACCCCAGCAGCCAGGAGTGAGGCTGCTCTTTGAAGAAGCCATAAAGGGAGAGGCCCGAGCAGAACTCCAGGCTGTGCCTGGAAGAGTCCCAGGTTTTGCTTGGGAATGGTCCCAGGACTCATGGCAGCAGAGCGAGAGTAACCTCCCAAAAAAGGTTATAAGTTGCAGGACCCCACTATATTGACGTTTAGGACCCAGATAAGAAGATTTCCTTTTTTTTAGTTTTTTTTCTTTCTTTCTTTCTTTTTTTTTTTTTAATGGAATCTTGCTCTGTCACCCAGGCTGGAGTGCAGTGGCATGATCTTGGCTCACTGTAACCTCAGCCTCCGGAGTTCAAGGGATTCTCCTGCCTCAGCCTCCCAAATAGCTGGGATTACAGGCACCCGCCACCAAACCCAGCTGATTTTTGTATTTTTAGTAGAGATGGGGTTTCACCATGTTGGCCAGGCTAGTCTCGAACTCCTGAACTCAAGTGATCTGCCCGCCTGGGCCTCCCAAAGTGCTGGGATTACAGGTGTAAGCCACCACGCCCGGCCAGATAAGAGGATTTTCTAGAGTCCCCTGTCTTACCTCCCAAGTTTTCTCCTTAACAAAATTAGAAAAAAGAGATACAAACTAGCACCCGAAGTAGCTTAAAATCCTGAATAAATGTACATTTAATTGCTCTTGCCAATTGCTTTTGATGATTTATATCAGCATGATGTCCCATTAATAAACCACAGTAACAATGTAACATAGCTAACATGTTATAGTGCATCTTGTGTCAAGCTCCCTGATAACTGCATTCCATGTATCATCTCATTTAAGGTGACAGCAGTTGGTTGTGAGGTGTGGATACTGTTACTCTCCTCACACTGCAGAGTCTTAAGAGACTGAGTTTTAGAAATGTGAAATAATTTGCCTAAGGTGACAAAGCCAGTGAGTGGCTGCTGCAGGACCGGAAGCCATGGTTTTCCCTCCTCCTGTATGGTAATGGTAATAATTATCACAGCTGCCTCTCCCCTTTTAGGCTAGGCCTCATACACTTGTCTTAATCACATTTCCCCATTTGTTTGTGGGATTTTTGTGCGCTTCACTCCTACTCTTACCCCATCCACTTCCTTTTTCAGTTTACCATGGGATCCTTTGTAGAAGGCCAACTGACTGACCATATCTGCCCACTCTCCACCCTAGGGAGGGCCTGACCATAACTACACCAAGGAGAAGATCAAGATCGTAGAGGGAATCTGCCTCCTGTCTGGGGATGATGCTGAGTGGGATGACCTCAAGCAACTGCGAAGCTCACGGGGGGGCCTCCTCCGGGATCATGTATGCATGAAGACAGACACGGTGTCCATCCAGGCCAGCTCTGGCTCCCTGGATGACACAGAGACGGAGCAGCTGTTACAGGAAGAGCAGTCTGAGTGTAGCAGCGTCCATACTGCAGCCACTCCAGAAAGACGAGGCTCTCTGCCAGACACGGGCTGGAAACATGAACGCAAGCTCTCCTCAGAGAGCCAGGTCTAAATGCCCACATTCTCTTCCCTGCCTGCCTGTTCCTTCTCCTTTATGGACGTCTAGTCCTTGTGCTCGCTTACACCGCAGGCCCCGCTTCTGTGTGCTTGTCCTCCTCCTCCTCCCACCCCATAACTGTTCCTAAGCCTTCACCGGAGCTGTTTACCACGTGAGTCCATAACTACCTGTGCACAAGAAATGATGGCACATCACGAGAATTTAGACCTGGATTTTACCATGAACCTCACATCTTGTACTCCATCCTGGGCCCCCTGAAACTGCTTATTCGTGATTCCTCACCAGCGTAGAGCTCCACCTCCCCTTTCCCCAGTACCCTCAGTGCCTGCTTCTCAGTGCTGATGCAGCTGATGACCCAGGACTGCGCTCTGCCCCATCACAGCCAGCATGACTGCTTCTCTGAGAGAACTTGCCCATCAGGGGCTGGGACATGGGGGTGTGGGTAAAGACAGGGATGAAGGATAGAGGCTGAGAGAAGAAGGAAGAATCAGCCCAGCAGGTATGGGCATCTGGGAAACCTCCAGCCTCAAGTGTGTTAGTAACATGAAAAAGCTTTGGGGGGTAGTTGGATCTGGGTGTCTGGTCCATTGCTGGCAGTGGACATTATTCTTGCCCTAAGAGACACTGCCTTTTCAGCAGCAGATACTGGTGAGATGGGGGTGGCTCAGGCTGTTCTTCCTCCTCCTAGAATGTCTGGAGCTGTTTCTACATTCAGATAACTGGGTCCCCTATCACAAGGCTACTGGCTAATAGGAATTCCCTCCTGGTGCCACCACTGGCCAGTACCTTTCCTAAGTCTTTGCTCAAATTAACCAGGTTGTGAGCCAGTGGCTTGAGTGAATGTTAGGCCTTGGGGGCTGAGTCTCTGAAAAGTCTAAGAAGCTCTGCCTAGACCAAATATGGTATACCTCCTGACCCCTCTCTCCCTCATGTCCTGGGATTCTGGGGAAGAGACCTAGAAACAAGCTTTCAAAGAAAAACCAGAAGTTGTCATAAATGGTCAGAAAGAACGATCAGGTTGGAGACTTGGGAAACCCAGGGCCTAAAGAGAAGTATCCATGAGGGTCAAACTTCCTGTTGAACTTCCTATGTTCTTTCTCAAGTGCTCAGGGATCTAAGTTAGTGGACAGCAAGCCTGTGGCTACGGGGTGGTGATGTTCCTCTTCCAGCTGTCCCCTCAGCTAAGGGGCTTAGTTTCCATGTGGGATGCCATCACTTGGTTCATGCTCATTCACACAAAGGGCACGTGTCTCAGCCTGGTATCAGGGAAATTGAGACTTATTTTTGCCCTAAAACGTCTCCCTAGCTGTTCTTCGTGGGGTTTTTTTGTTTGTTTTTTTGCCTAATTTGCTTTTTCTGACCAAGCCTTGTGGCACCAGCAATCTCCAAAGTCCTGTGGTGGGAGGGCTGAATAAATAAAAATACAAAGAGGTGGGTAAGGAGTAGGAAGGTAGAGAGCACCACTGATGAGGCCCTCCTAGCCCATGGCAGACCCAGACCTCTTCTCCCCCAGGAATTAGAAGTGGCAGGAGAGAACAACAGGGGCTGGGAATGGAGGGGAGAATTTCTAGGGGAAGTTTCCTGAGTTGAAACTTCTCCTGTGGTTACTGGTATTGAGAAATCAGCTACCAAAGTGAAAAAGGACAAGATCAATTCTTTTCTAGTCAGTTCTAAGACTGCTAGAGAGAGATACCAGGCCCTTAGCCTTGCTCTCAGTAGCGTCAGCCCCAGTTCTGAGCCTCCCCACATTACACTTAACAAGCAGTAAAGGAGTGAGCACTTTGGGTCCTTAGACTCACGTCTGGGGAGGAAGAGCAAGTAGAAAAGTGGCATTTTCTTGATTGGAAAGGGGGAAGGATCTTATTGCACTTGGGCTGTTCAGAATGTAGAAAGGACATATTTGAGGAAGTATCTATTTGAGCACTGATTTACTCTGTAAAAAGCAAAATCTCTCTGTCCTAAACTAATGGAAGCGATTCTCCCATGCTCATGTGTAATGGTTTTAACGTTACTCACTGGAGAGATTGGACTTTCTGGAGTTATTTAACCACTATGTTCAGTATTTTAGGACTTTATGATAATTTAATATAAATTTAGCTTTTCTTAATCACCTTGCCTGGCTTGGAGTCATGACTAATCCTGCACCTGCTCTGTCTGGCAGACCCATGCTGTGGAAAACCTGCTTACAGACATCACTTTTAAGTCCTTTGTGGATGTGGGCACAGTGAAGAGCAATAAAGAGTGTGAGGTTCCTGCTGGAGTTTTCAGCTCATCTGGAGAAGACAGGTCGAGGCCAGAGTTCCTTGACTGATGAAACCTTTATTTCCTCTGGAAGAGGAATGGTAGATGGGTTTCCTCTTGAGTGCTGACTCTGACTGGTTGGTAGTGGCTGCCTGAGGGCCTATTCGCACCCAATGGGAAGAATGTCATATGGCTAGTGACATCTCTTCTGTGCACTGGAAGGAAATGTCATGGCATGTATACCATGTATCTTCTATTTCTGTTCTAGGTCTTTGTTACAGAACTTTACTTTGCCTTGCAGTGATGGTCACTGGCAAGACTATCTCATGTAGTAAGAAAAGTACTGGAGCTGGGGACATGGAGGGCTAATTCCAGTCCCAGATCTGCCACTAGCTCTGTTTGATCTTAGTCAACTTTCATAGTTAGTCTGAGAGTGGATCAAATTATCACTAGGATTTCATTTATTTTTAAAAGCTGTCTTTTCATAGCTCATCCACTACTTCTCAAGGCTAGAACAAGGAGCTAGGGATCCCTTCTCAGGTTCTCTGGATGTGATATCCCTCAGTGAAAACTGGGAATCATGTTAATCTCAACGCCCGATGTAGAATTTCATGTCAAGTCTCAATAGTTGATTTTCTAAACCACACACCATCTATAGGATAATATCCCCATTCATTCATTCATTCATTCATTCATTCATCTGCTATGGGCTAGGCACTGCCCATGCCTAAACAAAGACATAATCTTACAGAGCTTAGAGTCTAGCAACACCATTACCACCACCATCCCAAAAAAAGACAAAAAATGAAAGTAAGAAAGACTGAAGCTTCTTGTATTTAAGTGACCAGAGATCTGAGTATAAGCTACAGTGTATAATTTTTCTAACTGTAGTAAGGAGTAGGTGTGCCAGAACAAAAACAAGTAGAATAGCCCAAGGATAACCATCCCTCCAACCCCCACTGTTCTCTTTGGGAGGGAAAAAAAAAGCAGAAAAGGAGGACATCTTGGGATAAAACAAAGGTTGGGAATTCCTTGTCTAGTTCTCTGGTATAAAATCTGAAACTAGGGTCAGGCACAGTGGCTACACCAAAGTAATCTCACCACTTTGGGAGGCCAAGACAGAAGTAAGGAGTATTGCTTGAGGCCTGGAGTTCACGATCAGCCTGGGCAACATGACAGGACCATATCTCTACAAAAAAATTTAAAAATATTAGTCAGGTGTGGTAGCTCATGCCTGTAGTCCCAGCTGCTTGGGAGGCTGAGGCAGGAGGATTGCTTGAGCCCAGGAGTTCAAGGTTACAGTGAGCTATGATCACGCCACTGCATTCCATCCTGGGTAACAGAGCAAAACCTTGTCACTAAAAAAACAAAACAAAAAAACCCTGAAACTGATAAGTGAGCAGATGGTGGGTCAAGTTCTAACAAACTGGCCATATTTTTGCAAACTCACTCAAAATACAGTCACGGTCTGTCTATGGTGTATGAACAAACTGTGGAATCTAAAATGAAAGGATCTCTGGCCCATAGAAAGGACTCTGGATAAACTGAAGCTGTCACCAAACGTAGGCCTAAATTCAATGCATAGGAACTCAGAGGCAGCATCTACAAAAGCTGAGGGTGCACAGGTTTCTAAGTGGGTTCTAAGAGGGTTCTAAGAGGACCCAGTAATGCACTGATATCCAAGGTTATCCAGGGTCTCGCTCTGTCGCCCAGGCTGGAGTGCAGTGGCACAATCTTCTGCCTCAGCCTCCCAAGTAGCTGGGACTACAGGCGCCCACTGCCACGCCCAGCTAATTTTTTGTATTTTTAGGAGAGACGGGGTTTCACCGTGGTCTCAATCTCCTGACCTTGTGATCCGCCCGCCTCAGCCTCCCAAAGTGCTGGGATTACAGGCGTGAGCCACCGCACCTGGCCCTAAGTTGTCTGGTTTCTATTTATGGACATAATGATAAAAGAAATGTGGCTGAGTCCTTTTTATGGCTACGAAACAGTCTGTAATATATCTTTTCTTCAAATGTGAAGTTGAGTCGACTGATTCACTTAATAGGATGTGTGTTTTGGGATGTTTTTAGGCACTCTTTGTTTTGAAACATTCCCTCATCTGCCTACTTATTTTCTCTCCACACCATTCTCCCGTTAACCAGCTGCAGAGGCTAGCAGAGCTCAGCATAGGGAATAAAGTTTGATGTCTAGTCAAAGCTCCAACTCATAACTTTGGTCTCCTTGACATGGTGTTAAAACAGACCCAGACAGCCTAATTAAGGGTCATAGTTTAAACCCAAGGCTAAGTTAGCCACAAGCTACACAATCTGCTTATTTCATTTTATAAGACACAAAGAGCCAAGAACTTTCACGTATCTTGCTCTTCCTGATGGTTTTCCCTCCAGGCCCTAAAAGCCTGTTGATAGTCTTCTAATGAGGTCCCTATCTCTCCCTTCTCCCTCCTTCCTCTTTGGTGGCGCTGATGCTTCTGTGGTCAAAGTTCTTGGACAGCCTACATTTTGGGGGCTATGGAAAATGAATATGAGAAAAGAAAAAATAAAGGCTATTCATTCCTTCATTCAACCAGCACCTACTAAATGCAATCAAGTGCAAGCCAGGGTAGGCTTTGCAATCCTGGAAGACAGTTAAGGCACTAAAACCCACAGCCACTTGAAATCTGTATTAATGTCACCACTGCTATCTCCAGGGAAATAATGCAGAGGGCACCTGCATTGAAAGTTGAAGGAAGCTCATCACTGAAGCTGCTCCTTTTAGGCTGGAAATATGGATACATATCCCATGGTAGGGATGCTTCAACCAGAATTCAGCTTGTGATTACAAAAGAATGAGCACTGTCTCAACCCTAACAGGCTTTTCAGAAATGCCCAGCACAGTTATTCAGCAGCCACAGTATTTGACATTTGTTTCCTGTTTTCAGTTGCAAAAATACAGCATTCACTTTGATCTCTAATGCCCACAAGGGCTTCACTGCCCTCAGAGGGCAGTATGTTCATAAATATACTCCTTATGTAAAAGGACTACTGAGAAGACCCTGGAATAAAAGCACACGTAACTCCAATAAATACACAGATAAATGCTATTTGATGATAATCCTAGAAGGCAAAAGATGACTGGGCAAACATTTATTGAATACCTACTACGGGCAAGGTACTGTATAAGATTTCTACAAGGCCTTGTGGGATCTGCCAGTCCTCACCCCCCACTGTTATAAGATTTCTTCTGCTACTACCCCTCTACTGCATGCTACCCTGGGCCAGTGACACTAGCCTCTGTCTTCCTCAAAAACATAAGGCCTTTGCACAGTTGTTGGCCCTTGCTGGCACTTTCTTCCCCTAGATATACTCATGGCTAACTCCTTTGCCTTTAAGTCTTTGCTCAAATGTAATCTCAGTGAAACCTACCCTGACCACCCTTTCATATATAAATATTTTGTTGTTGTTTGTTTGTTTTGAGATGGAGTCTTGCTCTGTTGCCCAGGCTGGATCGTGCAATGGTGTGATCTTGGCTCACTGCACCCTCCGCCTCCCGGGTTCAAGAGATTATCCTGCCTCAGCCTCCCGAGCAGCTGGGATTACAGGCATCTGCCACCATGCCTGGCTAATTTTTGTATTTTTAGTAGAGACAGGGTTTCACCGTGTTGGCCAGGCTAGTCTCGAACTCCTGACCTCAGGTGATCCACCTGCCTCGGCCTCTCAAAGTGCTGGGATTATAGGCATGAGCCACTGCCCCTGGCCTCCTTTTATAT
Source organism: Homo sapiens (assembly GCF_000001405.40). Lineage (NCBI taxonomy): Eukaryota > Metazoa > Chordata > Mammalia > Primates > Hominidae > Homo > Homo sapiens. The sequence continues at coordinate 46,852,987 of NC_000011.10, read as the reverse complement.
ACATATATATATTATAGTCAGCTGGGTGTGGTGGCTCATACCTGTAATCCCAGCACTTTGGGAGGCTGATGCAGGAGAATTGCTTGAGTCCATGGGTTTGAGATCATCCTGGGTAACATAATGAGATCCTGTGTCTCTACAAAAAAAAAAAAAAAAAAAAGGTGTTTTCATGCATGCCTATAGTCTCAGCTACTCGAGAGGCTGAAGTGGGACAATCACTTGAGCCCAGGAGGTCAAGGCTGCAGTTGAGCTGTGATCACGCCATTGCACTCCAGCCTGGGTGACAGAGCAAGACCCTGTCTCAAAAAAAAAAAAAAAACAAAAAAAAAAACCAACAACAGAAAGAAAACACAGCCTTTCCCTTGAAATATAAAAATCCTAGAAGAAAACCTAGGAAATACCCTTCTCATTATCAGCTTTGGCAAAGAATTTATGGCTAAGTTGTCAAAAGCAATTGCAACAAAAACAAAAAATGATAAATGGATAAATGGGACCTACCAAAAGTAGAGAGCTTCTGCACAGCAAGAGAAACTATCAAGGGAGTAATAGACAAGCTACAGAATGGGAGAAAATATTTGCAAGCTATGCATCCAACAAAGGTCTAATATCCAGAATCCATAAAGAACTTAAATCAACAAGTGAAAAACAACCCCATTTAAAAAGTGGGCAAGCCGGGTGCAGTGGCTCATGCCTGTAATCCCAGCACTTTGGGAGGCTGAGGTGGGTGGATCACCTGAGGTCAGGAGTTCGAGACCAGCCTGACCAACATGGCGAAACCCCATCTCGACTAAAAATACAAAAATTAGCCAAGCATGGTGGTGGGTGTCTGTAATCCCAACTACTCAGGAGGCTGAGGCAGGAGAACCTGGGAGGCACAGGTTGCAGTGAGCTGAGATTGTGCCATTGTACTCCGGCCTGGGCAACAGAGTAAGACTCTGTCTCTAAATAAATAAATAAATAAATAAATAGTGGGCAAAGGACATGAACAAACACTTTCAAAAGAGATACAAGTGACCAATAAACATATGAAGAAATGCTCATCATCACTAATCATCAGAGAAATGCAAATCAAAACCATGAGATACCACCTTATACGAGTCAGAGTGGCTTTTGTTAAAAGGTAAAAATTTAATAGATGCTAGCAAGGCTGCAGAGGAAAGGGGACACTTGTACACTGTGGTGGGAATGTAAATTAATTCAGCCACTGTGGAAAGCAGTTTGGAGATTTTTCAAAGAACTAAAAGTTGAACTACCATTCGACCCAGTAATCCTATTACTGGGTATATACTCAAAGGATAAAAAATCATTCTACCAAAAGGACACATGTACCCATATATTCATTGCAGCACTATTCACAATAGCAAAAACATGGAATCAACCCTTGTGCCCATCAATGGTGGATTAAAGAAATGTGGTACATATATCATGTAAAACTATGCAGCCATAAAAAAAGAATGAAATAATGTCCTTAGCAGCAGCCTGGATGCAGCTGGAGGCCATTATCCGAAACAAACTAATGCTGAAACAGATAACCAAAGGTTGCACGTTCTCACTTAGAAACAGGGGCTAAACATTGGGTACACAAGGACATAAAGAAGGGAACGATAGACACTTGGGACTACTAGAGATGGGAGAGTGGGAGATGAGCAAGTGTGGGAGTTCAGTCAGGCTGGTGGGAAAATTTTAAGATGAAGTTATAAAATATAGACACAAATCTTCTTGGAAGGCCGGAAGGTTTTGCAAAAGTCTCAGGATAGGGTTATGGCTGAAAGCCGCCTAATCCTTACTTTGAGTAAATAGCTTAAAGTAGATACAAAGGAATGTAGAGTAGTTTATCTGAATAGCTTGTTTACTCATGTGGTCTTAAGACCAATCTTTGATCAACCGGGTGCACAACCGCAGGGGGTGGGGGCGGGGTTGTTGGCAACCAGGTCAATTACCCTCTAGCAGTGTTTACTCAAAACCTTTGTCATTTAATCTATACTGAATAAATGCAAGCTTCGCTGGCTGATGGGGCCGGCTGCTACTCTTTACAGCACCTTCCTTGGTGTCTGTGAGGGGCCCAGACCCTTAGCTGGAGTGACAGGCAGAATATCTGTGTTAGTGTACGTTATTCAACCGTTGTTGGGTCAAGGTCTGTGGGACAGACCCCGGCAAGCAGGGACTGATAAACTACTTACTGTTAGGTACTATGCTCACTACCTAGGTTCAATCATACCCCAAACCTCAGCATCACACAATATACCTTTATCACAAATCTGCACATGTATCCTCGATTCTAAAATAGAAGTTGAAAAATAAAATAAAATTACGGTCTTTCCAACCCCACTTCCCTATCCCTTTACCTAGTTTTATTCTTTTTCTTTTCCCACTGGACATATTGTCTAATAACATACTATATAATTTATTTATGTGTTGATTGTCTACGTTTCCTCACTATAGTGTGAGCACCACAAAGGGAGGAAATTTTGGGGAGTCTATTTTATCTACTGATCATTGCAGTGCCTAGAAGAGTCCCTCCACATAATAGGTGCTGATAAATATTTGTTGAATGAATAAATGAGTAGCATCAGACATCTAATACTCACCTTAAAGTAGGGCTGCACCTAAGTCATCCAAGACAAAAAGGGATTTTGTCATCTTGTTCTAAAACTCTCCAGGACCCGGACTGCACAAACATCCTTTGTTAAGCCAATTCCTGATTACCATCACACCCTCTCCTTAAATGTAATCTTCAGTTTATTTCTGGTAATATTTAAATAAAGTAAATATGCCAATGACCAATGACTGAAGAAAACTATTTCTGTATATCCTCACCAATTTATCCAAGGTTACCATGACCATATTGCTTTCATTCCTTTCTTCTTCTCCTACATGTGGATCTGTCTTCATTGGCCATCCTTTCACTCTCTCCAATCCCCCAATCTGCAGTCTCATTCACTCTATCAATGTGATTCCCAAATCTATATCATTGATTCTGCATCTATTCTTCCAGCTTCCATCGTGTATTTTCTAGGCCTACTCAGATGATTCCATTAGAATGCCTTATTGGTACCTAAAAGTGAACAGGTTGCAATTTAAATGCCTCACCTTCCCCTTGAGACTGGCTTCTCCTGACTTCCTACTTCCATTGGGCAATCAAATCCTGGAATTCTCTTTGACTCACCTCCCTAAATGGGACCCACCCTTGCCTTTGCACCTAATCTAGTCAGTTGCCAAATCTTTCATTCTTTCTTGAATCTGCTCTCATCCTCTCCACTGCTAACACCTCATATCATACTCCTAGCTGGGTTCCCAACTCTAAACCATTTTAGACAATCAAGCTAATTAATTTTCCTAAAGTACAACTCTGATTTTGCCACCCTCTTGCTCAGGTACCTTTAATAGCCCCCCCATTATCTACTTAATAAAGTACCAATTCCATACCCTGGGATTCAAGATCCTTTAGGAATCATTCCTGGCCGGGCACAGTGGCTCACATGTGTAATCCCAGCATTTTGGGAGGCTGAGGCGGGCGGATGGCCTGAGCTCAGGAGTTTGCGACCAGCCTGGGCAACAAGGTGAAACCCCATCTCTGCTAAAATACAAAAAAATCAGCCAGGTATGGCGGCTTGTGCCTGTAGTCCCAACTACTTGGGAGGCTGAGGCAGGAGAATTGCTTGAACCCAGGAGGTGGAGGTGGCAGTGAGCTGAGATCACGCCACTGCACTCCAGCCTGGGCGACAGGTGAGACTCCGTCTCAAAAAAAAAAGAAAAAGAATTGTTCTTAACCTTCTGTGTCAATCTTGTGTTCCACTACTTCCCAACAAAATTTCAGTCCTAAAATCAACCCCACATGTTCAGTCCCATACATACGATGCACTTTGCTGTTTCTGCGCCCTGACTCACACTTTCCCCACTACTCTCTGCTCCTTCTATGAAAGAAAAAAGAAACACACCACGTTAACAGTAAAAATTCATTTCCCTCCCAAGTCCCACTCCTATTAAGTTTCTTATAATTCCAGGAATGTTCTAACCATTTTCAGGCATGCCCTCAAACACACATACGTTTATAACCATATATAATAAAATCATTCCACAAGTTCTGCAACTTGCCTTTTTTTCAATTAATAAAATTTGTGCATGTTTCTGTTCCAGCACATAGATTAACCGCATTCTTTTTAACAGTTTCATAGTGTTCTATTGAATGGATATGTCATAATTTATGTAAAAGGTTCCCTGTTGATGAACATGTAATTTCCAGATTTTTTATTTTTTTTAGAGACAGCGTCTCACTCTGTCACGCAGGCTGGAGTACAGTGGCGTGATCATAGCTCACTGCAGCCTTGACCTCCCACACTCCAGCAATCCTCCACCTCAGCCTCCCAAAGCACTGGGATTACAGGCATGAGCCACCATGCCTGGCCTCCAGATTTATTTTTTTATTTTATTTTATTTTTATCTTAAGCAGTGCTGGCTGGGCACAGTGGCTCACAGCTATAATCCCAACAGTTTGGGAGGCCGAGGCGGGTGGATCACTTGAGGTCAGGAGTTCAAGACCAGCCTGGCCAACAGGTGAAACCCCGTCTCTACCAAAAATACAAAAAATTAGCTGGGCTTGGTGGCACATGCCTGTAATCCCAGCCACTTGGGAGGCTGAGATAGGAGAATCGCTTGATCCTGGGAGGTGGAGGTTGCAGTGAGCTGAGATGGTGCCATCGCACTCCAGCCTGGGCGAGAGAGCGAGACTTCATCTCAAAAGAAAAAAAAAGAAAAAAAAAAAAGGGCCGGGCACAGTGGCTCACGCCTGTAATCTCGGCACTTTGGGAGGCTGAGGCAGGTGGATGACCTGAAGTCAGGAGTTTGAAACCAGCTTGACCAACATGGTGAAACCCCATCTCTGTTAAAAATACAATAAAAAATAATTAGCCGGGCGTGGTGGCAGGTGCCTGTAATCCCAGCTACTTGGGAGCCTGAGGCAGGAGAATTGCTTGAACCCGGGAGATGGAGGTTGCAGTGAGCCAAGATCACGCCATTGCACTACAGCCCGGGTGACATGAGAGAGACTCTGTCAGAAAAAAAAAAAAAAAAAGCCGGGTGCAGTGGCTCACGCCTGTAATCCCAGCACTTTGGGAGGCCCAGGCGGGAGGATCACGAGGTCAGCAGATCAAGACCAGCCTGGCTAACACAGTGCAACTCCGTCTCTACTAAAACTACAAAAAATTAGCCAGGTGTGATGGCACGTGCCTGTAGTCCCAGCTACTCAGGAGGCTGAGGCAGGAGAATCGCTTGAACACGGGAGGCGGAGGTTGCAGTGAGCTGAGATTGCGCCACTGCACTCCAGCCTGGGCGACAGAGCGAGACTGTCTCAAAAAAAAAAAAAAAAAAAGCAGTATTGCAGTAAACATCCTTGTACATTTTTCTTTGCATACTTGCACAGATCTGTACGATAAATTCCTCATAGTGGATTACTGGGCCAGAACTAGATTATGTACATTTTAGTAACTGTCAAATTGTCCTCCTAAAGGTTTGTACCAATTATACTCTTACCAATATTGACTTTGAGTGTCCATTTTTCCAAATCTCTTTATATTTTTAAAAACAGAGATGGGGTCTTGATAGCAAGACCCAGGTTGGTCTTGAACTCCTGGCCTCAAGCAATCCTCCTGCCTCGGCCTCCCAAAGCGCTAGGATTACAGGCATAAGCCATTGCACCCAGCCTGTTTTTCCAAATCTTGACCAACCAAAGGCTGTTGAACTTTTTCATCTCTGCCAACTTGACAATGAAAAAACATGTAATTGTTTCATTTACTTTTATCCATCCTCTCTCCATCTTTTAGCCTGTTGGGAATCTACACATTCTTTAAATCCTAGGTTAAAAATTCATCTTCCTCACAGATCCTCCCCCATCAAATTTCTCCTGTCTCTAAGCATTTATAGCTTTTCATTTATACAGTTATTACACTGCTTTGAATTTTAGTGACTAGTCTGTATGTTATATTCCTCCAACCACTGTAGATTACAAATTCCTTGGAAGTAAGGACCTGAACTCATTCACAGAAACACTGAATGTAGAGCTAAGCTAAAATTCTGGAGATCATGTTAACCAAGCCTCTCGTTTTTATAAGGGAATATTAAGCATTTGCAGGATGCGTTACAGTTCACAAAGGCTTTTCTCAGACATTCTATTAGTTATATTAACTCCTCCATTAAATTGTAAGGGAAACATCGTTATCCCATTTTACAGATAAGGAAACAACTCCAGAAGATTTACTGAGAAAAGTGATTTACTCAGAACAGTTCCAAGGTCAGAATCCAGCATCCTGGCTTCATTCGCTGTTACTTCCACGACATCTCAGCTGCCTCTGGTTTCCCTCACAGCACTTAGCTTCACAATCTCTAGGGAATGAAATGACCAAAAAAAATTGTCGGGTGTTGACAGCAGCCTGAACATCTGTAATTAAATAAAGCAAACATGCTGACGACCAAGGATGCCCGGGTCTACACACATTCTTTCGCCTTTCTTTCTGGAGTCGGCAGACTTGCCCCCGGCAGCGACCAGCGTCCCCACCCGTGCAGGCGGCGTCTGGTCCAGAGGGAAACACGGCTGCGCGCGGCCCCTTTAAGGCTGCGGGCGGCGCGTGCCCACAGGCCTTTCAAATGGACCAATAAAAGTCCGATGGGCGGTCCGTCGAGGACCAATAAAGAACGAGGACACTGCGGGGTGTGCGGCGGCCCAAGCGGTTTCAAACGGCTTAGAGCAGGCCGCTTGGTTCTGACCCAGCTGAGGTGAGTGGTCGGTGGGCCTGCCCCACCCGCGAGGCCCTCGAGTGCAGGCATCGCGCGCGCAGAGGAGCCCCTGAATCCTGGGCGGCTGGAGGTCTCCAGACGCGCGCCCCACTTGCCCCACGAACCCGGCAGGTCTGAGGCGGCGAAGCGAGCCGGAGGCCGGGGGACCTGCGGCGGGCAGGGCCGGGGGCGTGGGCGCTCGTGTGCGGCGGAGGCCGGGGTTGGGCTCCAGGTGGCCAGAGCGCGCCGCAGCGTGGCGCGGGTGGCAGCGTCCGCGGGGCGCGGGCGGTGCAGGGCCGCGCCTGGCGGCAGCGATTTACCAAGACTAGGGCGGGGGCCCCGAGAGCCGGCCCTGCTAGAGTGCCTCTCGCGTAATTGTCAAGTGAATGAATAAGTAAGCGCCTACGAGGGCTGTGGTGGTTGCGAAGGGCCTTGTCGCCCTGGAGCAAGGACAGCGGCACCGGGGCCTGGCCGCACACCTGTGTCCCTGCTGGCTTGCTGCGATGTGAACGATTCCGATCATCCACCACCCCGCCCTTAACGACTGGCTTTCTCTCTCTCAACGTGTCGGGAGCGTTCTGGTGTCCTTCCAGCCCTGGAGGTGTTGGGGAACCAATACAATAGCCAGCAGTGTGGGTTGGGCCTTGCTACTTTAAGGTCGGGCTCGGTGAACTAGATTCTTACTTTTGAGCTCTCCCCTCTACTTGTAATCGTGGTAATTGTTGAGCAGGATTGAAATGCATTCCGTTGTGTTTCTTGGATAGAAAATGATGAAAGGGTTGTTGCCAGAGTGGCTAGTGTGTGTTAGAAAATATATTCGTGTTGATGAATCTTAACAATGAGTTTTTTATTCAGCATCAATAGAGGTTGAAGTGGTTTTTGCAGAACTTGCCCCAAATTTATGCGTGGCTCTAATTTAATTCTCATGGGACCAAGGCATCAAATCTTGGCCCAGAAATGCTGCCTGTCTTATGCATAATTATAGTAATTGAAAACTCATTTTTAGAAAGGTGAGCTCCTCCTTCCTCCATTTTCATCACCCTGAAAAGTCCTTCTTTTGACCTAAAGAGCCAATAAATTAAGCTAAGAATCTTTTGAAACTTTAAGAAATTGTAGAAGACTTTGACTTCTCTGAAGTGACTGGACAAACTGTAATGCTTTTACCAAATTTAATGATATAGATAAAGGTGAAATCAATTTATTTTGCAACCATAAGTTAAATCTAGTTGGTAAACTCATGTAAAAAAATTTTTAAATAAGATTTTAGGCTGGGCGCGGTGGCTGACGCCTGTAATCCCAACACTTTGGGAGGCCGAGGCGGGCGGATCACGAGGTCAGGAGTTTGAGACCAGTCGGGCCAACATGGTGAAACCCCGTCTCTCTCTCTCTCTCTCTACTAAAAATACAAAAAATGGCTGGGCGTGATGGCGGGCGCCTGTAATCCTAGCTACTCGGGAGGCCGAGGCAAGAGAATCATTTGAACCCGGGAGACAGAGGTTGCAGTGAGCCAAGATCCCGCCATTGCACTCTAGCCTGGGTGACAGAGCGACCCTCTGTCTCAAAAAAAAGAAAAAAAATTTTTTAAAAGGCTGTTCACTGAGGCAATGGCAAGCAAAGGTATTCCGTAACAATTAACATGCCTTTTACTTTATTCTCCATTACTTTAAAGTCTTGATCAGTTTTGAATTATGTTTGAATTATGAACAGTGGGTGTGGTAATTCCATCGCAGTCTTCTACTACTGACAGTTCAGTTTTAGCAGCACCTGTTTTTTTGGTGTTTTTTGTTTGTTTGTTTGTTTGTTTTTTACCTTCACGGTTTATTGTAAAGGATGCTACAAAGCATACAGATGAAGAGAGGCGTAGGGCTTGTAGGTATGGGAGAAGGGTGTGGAGCTCTTATGCTCTCATATGAAGTGTGTTTGAATATACCAACTCTCCTGTAAACTTTTATCTTAATTCCATCAACACTCACTTTCTTTTCCTTTTTTTTTTTTTTTAAGACAGAGTCTTGCTCTTTCGCCCAGGCTAGAGTGCAGTGGTGCGATCTCAGCTGACTGCAACCTCTGCCTCCTGGGTTCAAGCGATTCTGCCACCTCAGCCTCCCAAGTAGCTGGGACTTCTTGTGTGCACCACAATGCCCAGCTAATTTTTTGTATTTTTAGTAGAGACAGGGTTTCACTATGTTGGCCAGGCTGGTCTCGAACTCCTGACCTCAAATGATCCACCCGCCTCAGCTTCCCAAAGTGTTGGGATTACAGGTGTGAGCCACCACACCTGGCTAACCCTCACTTTTCTAACTGTAGCTTCTATTAGGACTTTATCAACAGGTTTTGTTTTTGCAATACTAGGTAGGGGAAGTGTTCCCCAGCCAGACATAATATCCATTCCTAATAAAACACATTTACATATAGGAGACACAGCTTCCAACTTTCATAGTTCTGTCAACACTTACATCTTTGTGTTCTCTCAATTTTTTTTTTTTTTTTTTTTCAATCAGATCTCACTCTTTCGCCCTGGCTGGAGTGCAGTGCTGCTATTATGGGTCACTGCAGCCTCCACCTCCAGGGCTCAGGTGATCCTCCCATCTCAGCCTTCCGGTAGCTGGGACTACAGACGTGCATCACCATGCCTGGCAAATTTTTTTAGTTTTTGTAGCGATGGGGTTTTGCCTTGTTGCCCAGGCTGGTCTCGAACTCCTGGGCTCAAGGGATCCTTTTGTCTCGGCCTCCCAAAATGCTGGGATTACAGGCGTGAACCACTACGCCTGGCCTTCTCTTAATCTAACTGTAGCCCTGTTCGGGGCTTCACCAATGGCTCTTGGTACTACTGTACCTGGGGCTTCCATATGAAGGAGTCCCAGGAATTTCTTTTTGCCACTCCCTGACCATTTTACCTACTTATATACAGAAGGCTTGGGGTCCCCAGCAGGTGGTTGAGCCAAGAGACCCTTGCCCATTTGCCAGTCTTTATCTTGACTCATCTACCTATTGTTTCCACAATTTCAGATCAGATTTCTCATTGTAATCTGCCTCCTGACTTACAATTTCTCCAAACTGGGGTAAATATAGCAAACTTGTTTGGAACCCCTTAATGGTGGGAGACCAGCAGGGTCTCCCTTTGGCTCCCAGGCTAGTCTTGAACTCCTGGGCTCAAGTGATCATCCTGTCTTGGCCTCCCAAAGTGCTGGGATTATAGGCATGAGCCACCACACCCTGCTACCTTACTTCTTTTTTTTTTTTTTTTTTTTTTTTTGAGACGGAGTCTTGCTCTGTCACCCAGGCTGGAGTGCGGTGGCGCGATCTCGGCTCACTGCAAGCTCCGCCTCCCAGGTTCACGCCATTCTCCTGCCTCAGCCTCCCAAGTAGCTGGGACTACAGGCGCCCGCTACCAAGCCCGGCTAATTTTCTGTATTTTCAGTAGAGATGGGGTTTCACCTTGTTAGCCAGGATGGTCTCGATCTCCTGACCTCGTGATCCGCCCGCCTCGGCCTCCCAAAGTGCTGGGATTACAGGCGTGAGCCACCGCGCCCGGCCTACCTTACTTCTTAATAACCATTTAAAAATTTCCACCTTCCGGGTTGAATCCATTTGCCCTCTGTCTCACCATTCTCTTAACCTAATGGTTTTATTAGCATCTGTAAGACCCACGAGAGGAAACTGAGACAGCACATTTGATAAGGCTTCTCGAACTGTCTTTTGATTTTGCAACAGTAAGGTTATCCACATTAAGGGGTCACCCTTAACCACAGCATTTACCATGACTGGGTAGTGGGCATATTCAGAGGGTAAATGTCCTAGTCATCATAAAGCCAGTTTCACATGGCTTGCATATGAAGTATATCAGTGGCTCTATCTGGATCTGGGGTGTTCCACTTGGCATTTATGGAATCAGACTGTCCCCTTCAGGAAGCTTATGATACTAATGTACAAAGTGAAACAATTCCTTCACATTGTACCCCCTGGTTTCAATAGTTCTTTGATTTTTGCAGACCACCTTCTTTGTTACCAGAGGTCTTAGAAGCACTTTCTGTTGTCCCGGCATACATTTTTCCCTTGAGGGACAGCTTTGAGGTTAGTGGCCTAAGCTCTCACATTCACTGAAAGCTGAGCTTGGTCTAGCGGGAAGGTCCAACCCACCACTTTCTTTTAATTTCATTTTAGCTGTTACAGATAACAATAACCAAGGGATTTAACATTTCGCTTTTTTTTTTTTTTTTTTTTTGAACCAAAGTCTTACTCTTTCTCCAGGGCTGGAGTGCAATGGCACGATCTCGGCTCACTGCAACCTCTGCCTCCCAGGCTCAAGTGATTCTCCTGCCTCAGCCTCCTGAGTAGCTGGGATTACAGGCGTGAGCCACAGCACCCGCCTAAATTTTTTGTATTTTTAGTAGAGATGGAGTTTCACTGTTAGCCAGATGGTCTCAATCTCCTAACCTCGTGATCCTCCTGCCTTGGCCTCCCAAAGTGCTGGGATTACAGGCGTGAGCCACCGTGCCGAGCCAGCATATCACTTTTTTAATACTAGTTTGCATTTCCTTGTGCATCCTGTGAACCAACTCCCAGGCAGTTGGATCCATCTCTGGATTCCATGGATAACTTTTACCTTTAGTAATTGATGACAGCACAGCTTCAGCTCTTTACCATGGGTGACCACTTGGCCACCTAAGAATCAAAGTTCTTTATCCCTATCCTTTTATCCTTTTTCTTCCCAAACCATATGTGTCTGTGAGCCAAGTCATTCTAGCAAATCCCAATTCTGACGCCAATTCTGAGAATATAGAATAAGAAACTTTAATAAGTTTATCTTATACTCTCACAATACAGAAAACTTCTGTGACCTCAGATGTGTGAGATTTTTTTCCCCACACACCAAGCAAGTAGTTCTTCAGCAGTGGACACTAGCTGTGTGTCCTCTAATTCAGTTCAATTCTGACACCTTTTTTTTTTTTTTTGAGACAGAATTGCTCTGTTGCCCAGGCTGGAGTGCGGTGGCGCAGTCTTGGCTGACTGCAACCTCTGTCTCCCGGGTTCAAGAGATTCTCCTTCCTCAGCCTCCCGAGTAGCTGGGATTACAAGAACCCACCACAACACCCATCTAATTTTTTGTATTTTTAGTAGAGACGGGGTTTCTCCATTTTGGCCAGGCTGGTCTTGAACTCCTGGCCTCAAGTGATCCGCCCGCCTCAGCCTCCCAAAGTGCTGGGATTACAGGCATGAGCCACCTCACCTGGCCAATTCTGACACTTTCTATCTGGAGGTAGTGTCAGATCCCACAGGTTGAGGGTTTAGTCCCAGAAGACTGCCCCCAACTCAGATGCCAATCTGAAGCCCCAGGTTTTTTTTTACCTGTGCTTCTGTAGGCTGACTATAAAAATGGGCATTCCTAATACCGCCCCCCATTCCCTGCCTTGGGTTTGATTAATTTGCTAGACCTGTTCATAGAACTCAGGAAAACACATTTTCCAGCCAGTTTATTATAAAGGATATTGCAAAGGATACAAAGAGCTATATAGGGTGAGGTATAGGGGAAGAGGCATGGAGCTTCCATGCCCTCTCTGGGCACACCACGCTCCAGGGACCACCATGTGTTCAGCTCTCAGCTTCTCCAGCAGCAAAGTTTTAATTGCAATAAATTTGAGTACCTTAATATTATGAACACTGTTCTAGGTTTTTGGTAAGCAATTAAAAATAATAAACAACTTTAACAGTGCCTTAGGATAAGTGTTAAAAATTTTGACAGGGAATGAGTATGTTAAGGTAAAGCCAGGCTCTCTTATGCTCCTTTAATGGGGTCTTATTCATTCATTGAACAGATATTGAGATTGATGCTTAATGTCTGTCACACATTGTTCTAGATTCAGGGAATACACTGGTGAACCAGAAAAAGACAAAGGCCCTGACCTAAGGGAGTTTGACAGTTTTATCTGTCAAACAATTTACTGTAGCAAATTATAGTTTCTGTAATCCCTCTGGGGTCAGCTCTGGTCCTTGAATAAAATACATGCCCAGATACTTTTACTAGCAGTAGCTAACATGTATTGAATGCCTACTGGGTCCCACATTTTGTTTAATTAATTAATTAATTAATTTTTTTGAGACAGGATCTCACTCTGTCGCCCAGGCTGGAGTGTAGTGGTGTGATCATGGCTCACTGTAGACTCAACCTCCTGGGCTCAATCTGTCCTCCCACCTCAGCCTCCCAAGTAGGTGGGCCTACAGGCACATGCTAATTTTTGTATTTTTTGTAGAGATGGGGTTTTGCCATGTTACTCAGGCTGGTCTCAAACTCCTGGGCTTAAGCAATCTGCCCTCCTTACCCTCCCAAATTGCTGGGGTTACAAGCATGAGCCAACATGTCCCGCTACATTTTATCTTTTTTTATCCTCACAATGTTTTACAGATGAGGAAACTGAGTCTTTAAAAGGCTGTGCAACATGCTCAAAATCATAGAACTAAGTGATAGAATCTGAATTCAAACCCAAGTCAGTCTGTCTCCAGGGCCTTTGCTCTTAACCTATGATTGTACTACGTGAAGTAGGGATCTGTAGGAGAATTCAGGAGCAATTTCTGGGTAGAATTCCCCCAGCCCCTTTTAAAAAAGTACTTCTATCGGAGATGTGATGAAATATGAATGACAGGCATGATAGTTTTTAGAGGAAAGATGGCATTTACCATATGGAAGATGGACAACTGTGACAGTGGTGGCGGTGGGTAGCTAAAGGGACGCATAAAAATTGAGTTCTTAATCTAATTAGGATTCTTGGTAGTCAATGTTGGAGAGTTTTAAGGTTTTTAAATGATTTTCCTATTCTTGCCTCTGGAGTTTAGAATACATTACTTAGCTCATTTCTATCAGGGCAGTTACTCTACCTACTTGATGTGTATAACTCCAACACATTACGCTTATTCTTTTCGGTCTTTGCATTCTGTTCTGGAACTTCTCACTTCACTCTACCCCTACCCCCAGCCTGTATTACTGGCACTCTCAGGCTTCAACTTAAATGTCATCTCCTTAAAGAGACACTTTTCTGAGCTCTGAATTAGAGGAGCCCTCTTGGTCACTTTTACTTCACTTTTCCTTATTTACTTCATAGCATATATTGTTATGTAATTGTTTATTGTTTGTCTATATATTGTTAGATTTTCTCATAAAAATGAAAGCAGAACATAGATTTTTTTTTTCCTTTGAGGTTACCTCAGTGACTCAACAATGCCTGCAACAAACTAGGTGGTCAAAAATATTTGTTGAACAAAATTGGCCAAAACTGGCATCATCTTCTCTGAACAAAAAAGTGATAAAAACAGTATCTGACTATTCAGTTGGCTGTGTTTCTGTGTCTTTATTTATTTTTTTTTATTTTTATATTCTAAAAATGTTGCGACAATGGTGGCTCAGCAATTTTTTTTTTTTTTTTTTTTTTTTTTTGAGATGGGGTCCCACTCTGTCTCCTAGGCTGGAGTGTGTTGGCCTGATCTCTGCTTACTGCAACCTTCACCTCCCGGGCTCAAGGGATCCTCTCACCTCAGCCTCTAGTGGCTGGGACTACAGGCGAGTGCCACCACACCCGGCTAATTTTTTTTTTTTTTTTTTTTTTTTTTTTTGAAGAGGCAAGGTATTACTATGTTGCCCAGGATGGTCTTGAACTCTTGGACTCAAGTGATCTGCCTGCCTCGGCCTCCCAAAGTGCTAAAGTGCTAGGATTACAGGCGTGAGCCACCGTGTCTGGCTGTCATTTTTTTCTTTTTGTGGAGACACAGTCTCAGTATGTTGCCTAAGCTGGTCTTGAACTCCTGGCCTCAAACAATCCTCTCGCTCCAGCATCCAAAGTGCTGGGATTACTGGTGTGAGCCACTGCACCAGGCTTGTTCCTGTGTTTTTGGGTGTAAGCAGTATCTTAACAGTCTCAATTAGTCTTAAAATTATTTTAGACTAGTTCAGAAAGTCTTTAAGAAAGCTAGAAAAATTATACATCTGAATTTTTTAAAAAAATTTTAATCTGTTTTGAGAGGTACTAGTCAAATACATTGTAAGATGTCCTTCTATTGGAATTTGTCTGATGTTTTTCTCATTAGACTGGAGTTACAGGTTTTGGGCAGGAAGACCACAGAGGTAAAGTGCCATTTTCATCACATCATATCAAGGGTACATGCTATCAACATGATTTATGACTTAATATTGACCTTGACTGTTCATATTGACCTGAAATAGTGTTTGTGAGGTTTCTACAGTGAATTTACTTTTTTTTCCCCTCCTTTTCTATACTGTATTCTTTGAAGGGAAGTCACTGTTTGCAGCCCACACTTAAGGAATGGGGAGTTCCTTGATCTTAGGGTGGAGTACCTACTTAATTTATTTGAAATTCTTGTCTCTCCTTTCCCATTTATTAGTTTAGTCAAGTATTTACTGATAATAGTGTGGACTCAAGTATATTTATTTTATATTTTAGGTTACACTCCAATATTACATTATTTTGTTGTTCAGGTTGTTCCAGCTTTGTCCTTTGGGAGCTTCCTGTATTCCTTTAACATACATGTGTGTGTGTGTGCGCGTATTTGTATTGATCTTTGAGTACTTCCTTACTATCTGGAAATGTTCCAGGCTCATCTTGTGTATTTCTTGTCCCAGTGCTAGAATCAGCCATTTCCCCAAGGTGCCCTGGTTCCCTTATTGGAGAATGCTATTAGAAACAAGACCTGGGTACTGAGTGTTCTCTTTGCTACTGGGGTGTCATTTCTTTTAGGTCCTTTCAACTGTTAGAGCAAAGAAATATATGAATGTATGCTAACCCCATGTATATAGACATATCTATAAATATTTCTCTATGTAGCCATCTGTGTCTATATTAAGTTAAACGAGTTCCATAGATCACTTTCAGTAGTATGGGCGGGGGGGAAAAACATGAGTTCCTACTGGTGTCTCCAATTCTGATCCATTATCACATAGATCATTCTAGCCTCCTCCCCTTGCTGATCTTTGAATTTCCATTCACAATAGTGAAAAACCTAATTTCCACCATCCATTTATTTAATTGTCCAGTTCCATTATATATGGATATACATACATGGATAGCAGTATCAGAATTGCTAACCCATACTCCATGAAAAAAACTTTATCAACTAGAGTACATACTTCTGTGCAGTTCCTTTTGCCCTTAATCTTTCAGACTCCACTCATTACCAAAGCTACTTAGGTCAGAACCTTTTTCCCACCCCCTTTGGTGAAGTTGTTTCACACATCTGTAATATAGATTCCCTTGTCATAGTCTTCATTCTTTTCTGCAATCTCCCAGTCTCCTAAATGACTTTTTAAAATTTGCATACATTAAAGTTCACTCTTTATGTCATAAAAGTCTCGAACTCCTGCCTTGGCCTCCCAAAAGTGCTGGGATTAACAGTACAACCCACTGTGCCCAGCTGACATAAATTTTTAATTCAGTTGGATAAATACCTAGAAGCAGGTTGCTGGATCATATGGTAAGACTAGTTATAGTTTTGTAAGAAACTGCCAAACTCTATTCCAGAGTGGCTGTACCATTTTGCATTCCTATTAGCAATGAATGAGAGTTCCTCTTGCTCCACGTTCTTAACAGCACTTAGTTCTATCTGGTTTTTGGATTTTAGCCCTTCTGGTAGGTATGTAGTGTCCCCACTTTATTATTATTATTATTTTAAAGAGATGGGGTCTCACTGTGTTGACCAGGCTGGTCTCAAACTCCTGGCCTCAAGCAATCCTCCCATCTCAGCCTCCTGAAATGCTAGGATTATAGGTTTGAGCCACTGTGCCTGACCTAGTGTTCTCACTTTTTAAAATTATTCGTTTTCACGACATTACCTTTTTTGAAAATAAATGTTAGTTTTTTAAGAGGAAACTTTTTAAAAATTAACTTTATTTTGGAATAATTATAGATTGTTCCAACAGAAAAGTTGCAAAGATGATGTGTAGGATTCCTGCATACCTCTCACCCAGTGTGCCCTGTTATTAACATCGTTTAAACAAACTCCAGATTCTGTTTGTGTTTCAACAGTTTTTCTATTCATGTGCCCATTCTGTTTCAGGATCCAATTCAGGGTAACATATTGCACTTCGTGGTCATCTCTATTAGCCTTCTCTGGTCTTTGGCAATTTCTCAGTCCTTCCTTGTTTTCATGACCATGACCATTTTGAGGAGTACTAGTCAGTTGTTTTGTAGACTGCCCTTCTCTTTGTCTTTGTCTGATATTTTTCTCATGATTAGTCAAGAATTACGTGTTTTTGGAAAGAATACCATAGAATACCATATCATATCAGGGGTTTTGTGATATCCATGTGACATCATTAGTGATATTAACCATGATCACTTGATTAAGTTAGTGTTTGCTAGGTTAAGTATTAAAGTTAGTATTTTTCCCTTTCTATAGCTATTCTTATGAAAATGAGTAGCCAGGTCTAGCCCACCCCCAAAGTGGGTGAAGGGATTAGATTCCACTTCCCGGAGTTAAGGGTATCTACATATATTCGGAATTTTGTAAGGAAGATTTGTCTCTTTTCACCCATTTATTGCTTTATTCCACTGTTTGTATCTTATGGACTAGTGTGTATGTGTGAGTGTGTATTGGCTTGTGTATATTTATTCTGTACTTTGAGATTTTATAATCTATTTTTTTCCGTCGAATAATTCCAGCTTTGACTGTTGGGAGCTCTTTTTGGTTGGCTCCTGTGTCCCTTTGACATGCCCCCATCTTTTTAATTTTTTTTTTCTTTTTGAACACTTTCTTATTTTCTGGTACTTTAATATGCTCCAGGCTCATCTTTTATTTTCTCTGCTCTAACCCTAGAATTAGACATTTCTCCAAAGATTTCTGGTTCCTTTTGCTTGGTATTTAGAAACCGAGATCTGGATACTCTGCCGTCTGCTCCTTGCTAGTGGGGTGTCAGTGTTTCTAGGCCTTCTCAGCCAAAACAGCCAGGTAATATATATATGTATTTTAAAGGATAATGGTGGATGATTATTCATTTATACTTTATTTTTATTTTTTTAGTTGATATTTTATTTTATTGACTTCTCTCAAACAGATTCTATTCACTCTTCTATGCACAATTTCAGCCTGCTTGGTTCTTTAAATCAATTGCTAAATTAGAAAGAAGGCACTGCTACAAGATAACTAGAAGTGTTAGCTTGATCACAAAGGTCGCGAAACGAAAGCTGTAAAATATAAAGCCAGCCTGAGCAACATAGACAGACCTCATATCTAGGAAAAAAAAAAAAAATTAGCTGGGAGTGGTGGTGCATGCCTGTGGCCCAGCTACTTGGGAGGCAGAGGTGGGAGGATTACTTGGGCCTGGGAGGTGGAGGCAGCAGTGAGCCATGTTTGTGCCACTGTATTCCAGCCCAGACGACAGAGTGAGACCCTGTCTAAAAAAGAAAAGAAAAATCTCTATCCAGTACATAAAAATATTTTTATGCTTTAGAGGGCTGCCTACAAATTTTGAGCAATGTTTAATATGGGAGATTCCTCCAAACCTATGGATAGTCCCCTTGAATATCACCAAATAGCATATAATTTTTTAATAGTGAATCTGCTTTCTATAGGATGAAAAGGAATAGATTGCTTGTACACCCAGAGAAGCAGTTTGTTTTAGACCAGAGAGGACTTGCCTTACTTGGTCCTAAGGGCTGTAACCCGACTTAGGCTTCTCTTTTTTTTTTTTTTTTTTTTTTTGAGATGGAGTTTTGCTCTTGTTGCCCAGGCTGGAGTGCGGTGGTGCAATCTCAGCTCACTGCAACCACCGCCTCCCAGGTTCAAGCGTTTCTCCTGCCTCAGTCTTCTCAGTAGCTGGGACTGCAGGCATGTACCACCATGCCTGGCTAATTTTTGTATTTTTAGTAGAGATAGGGTTTCACTATGTTGGCCAGGCTGGTTTTGAACTCCTGATCTCAAGTGATCTGCCCGTCTTGGCCTCCCAAAGTGCTGGGATTACAAGTGTGAGCCACCGCACCAGGCCAAGTTAGCCCACTCTTATATCAAAGGACTGAAATATAGGTTTGTTTAAGTCTGAAATCAACCTAAAATCTCTCAATGACACTGGGATGATGCTTATAATGATATAGTAAAAGGCCAAGCCGGGTGGATCACCTGAGGTTAGGCTTTCAGGACCAGCCTGGCCAACATGGTGAAACACCATCTCTACTAATAATATCAAAATTAGCTGGACGTGGTGGCACACGCCTGTAATCCCAGCTACTCAGGAGGCTGAGGCAGGAAAATCACTTGAACCCAGGAGGCAGAGGTTGCAGTGAGCCAAGATTGTGCCATTGCACTCCAGCCTGGGCAACAAGAGCAAAACTCCATCTCAATAATGATGATGATAATAATAATAATATAATAATAATATAGTAATGATAGCTGTGGTTTACTGAGTGCTTGGTATTTGCCATGAAATCTGTTAATACTACTACTTACTTAGCTGGGCCCAGTGGCTCACACCTGTAATCCCAGCAGTTTGGGAGGACGAGGCGGGCGGATCACAAGGTCAGGAGATTAAGCCCATCCTGGCTAGCACGGTGAAACCCCATCTTTACTAAAAATACAAAAATTAGCCGGGCATGGTGGCAGACGCCTGTAGTCCCAGCTACTTGGGAGGCTGAGGCAGGAGAATGGCGTGAACCCGGGAGGCAGAGCTTGCAGTGAGCCGAGATCCGCCAGTGCACTCCAGCCTGGGCGACAGAGCCAGACTCCGTCTCAAAACAAAAAAAAAATTAATAATAATAACAATAATATAGTAATGATAGCTGTGGTTTACTGAGTGCTTGGTGTTTGCCATGAAATCTGTTAATACTACTACTTACTTGCATAAAATCCACTGGATTTGTTTAATTTGACCCTTTCCAATCAGCCTTTCTCTTATTTGGTCACATGGGTCATATTTTTGTTCTTTACTCTTGCCTGCATCTTTTAGAGATCCACACACATGCCTGAAACATTCTCTGTTGTCCCTACTTTTTGCCTTTGCTTGGATAACCCCTATTAATTTCATTTAGTTTTCAGCCTGAGTATCACTTTCACAGGGAGACCTTCCCTGAACCCCGCTGCCCCAGTCTAGATTAGATTCCTCCGTCATACTCTCTTATTGTACTTTGCCTCAGGGCTATTGTGGTGCACAGCCTATACTCAGCATCTAGATGAGCATCTAACACCGAATAGCCTCACACTATCTGACAAGCACAGTTGTCAGGACAGGAGAATAATGTGAATATTTGTGGGAAAAAAAATTTTTTTTTTTTTGAGATAAACTCTTGCTGTGTCACCCAGGCCACAGTGCAGTGGCTCAATCATGGCTTACTATAGTTTCAACCTCCTGGGTTCAAGCAGTCCTCCCACCTCAGCCTCTTGAGTAACTGAGACTACAGGCGCATGCCACTACACCTGGCTATGGAGGGAATTCTTAACATGTAAAAGGCAAAATCTCATTTAATCTTTACAACAATGATTAGATGAGTCATGTTAGGCAAGTTACTCTGTTTGCCTCAATTGCCTCATTATTAAATAGGGATAATAATATCAACTTCAAGGTTTTAAGGATTAAATGAGTAAATACATGTGAAGTGCTTAGGATAGTGCCTGGCACATAATACGTGTTCAAGAAGTGTGTGTTAAATAGGGAGCAACATGAAGATGGTATTGTTATGATGATTGATAAAACTGAGGATCAGCTGGTTTGTGGCAGAGCAAGGTTTACAACTCAATCTGTCTACCTCCAGAGCTCAACATGACTCCAGGTTTGCACTAAATTTAATCTAGAGTAGAGCTTTCTACAGTAAGATTTCTTTCAAGCAACTGTTTTACTGCCATGGCTTTGCCAAAGTGAAAGATTCTAAAAATGAAATTACCCTCTTTTAGTGGATCTTATAATAAAAAAGTAACTAACTAGGAAAATAGTGGCAAAAATCTTAGAAAATTTCAAAATAATATTACTGAGTGATTTTTTTCACTTTGAAAAGGGTTTACTTCAGAATTTTATTAAATATATATTGTTTTCTCAACACATTTGAAATACACATTCTACAAAATTTTCTTTATAAGACCAGGCGCAGTGGTTCATGCCTGTAATCCCAGCACTTTGGGAGGCTGAGGCAGGCAGTTCACTTGAGTCCAGGAGTTCAAAACCAGCCTGGGCAAGTGGTGAGACCCCATCTCTACAAAAAGTAAAAAAGTTGGGCATGGTGGCAAACACCTGTGGTCCCAGCCACATGAGATGCTGAGGCAGAAGTTTTGCCAGAGCCCCGGAAGTCGAGGCTGCAGTGAGCCATGTTCCTGCTACTGCACGCCAGCCTCAGTAACAAAGCAAGACCCTGTCTCAGAAAAAAAAAAAAAAAAAAAGGATAAGTTTATTGTATATTTAAGACTTCTGACTGGGTGGGGTGGCTCGCAAGTGTAATATCAACTCTTTGGGAGGCTGAGGCAGGAGGACTGCTTGAGCCTGGGAGTTCGAGACCAGCCTGGGCCACATAGTGAGACCCTGTCTCTACAAAAAAATTTAAAAATTAGACAGATGTGGTGGTGCATGCCCCAGTAGTCCTAGCTACTCAGGAGGCTGAGGCAGGAGGCTCACATGAGGCTGGGAGGATGAGACTAGAGTGAGCAGTTATTGCACCACCATACTCCAGCCTGGGCAATGGAGCAATACCCTGTCTCAAAAAACAAAAAACAGAAAGACTTCTGTGACTTGATGAAATGGTGCCATTTTAGAAATTTTACACTAGAGCACAAAGCACTATGCAATGCTGGGATAATGAATAAGACTCAGTTCCTTCTTTCAAAGGAGATATCATGTATACAAAAAATGTTAAGAGAGAGAGTGAAGTGTAGCCTATGGGATGAGTATAGGCAGATGATCCAACTTCAAGCCTCTAAGTGGGAATTTTAAAGTTTTAAAGCTTTTAAAAGCATTATTTATCATCTAAGCGGGAGTTAAATAAAGAAAAAGTAAATGAAAAAAATTTAATAATATAAAAAATACAAAAACATTATTATAAAAGATGCTGAAGCTCATTATTAAAAATCAGAAGGCATGGATGGGTATTAAAGTTCAAAGTAAAAGTTTTTTCAAAAAAATTTCTTTGCTTAACCCTTAGACACACTCTCAGAAGTCATGGTTAACAATTTTTTTCTTTTTTGAGACTGATTCTCACTTTGTTGCCCAGCCTGGAGTGCAGTGACGCGATCTCGGCTCACTGCAAGCTCCGCCTCCCAGATTCACGCCATTCTCCTGCCTCAGCCTCCCGAGTAGCTGGGACTACAGGCACCCGCCACCATGCCCGGCTAATTTTTTTGTATTTTTAGTAGATACATGGTTTCATCCTGTTAGCCAGGATGGTCTCGATCTCCTGACCTCGTGATCCGCCCCCACCTTGGCCTCCCAAAGTGCTGGGATTACAGGCAAGAGCCACCACCCCGGCCCATGGTTAATAATTTTCTACAGATCCTTCCAGAAAATGTTTATGTGCATTCAAACATGTACAATGATGTCCTAGTTTTCTATGGCTGCTGTAACAAATGACCACAAACTTGGTGGCTTAAAAAAACAGGATTTATTCTCTCACAGTATGGAGGCCAGAAATCCAAAATGAGTCTTATGGACCTACATCAGGGTGTCAGTCAGCAGGGCCACACTCCCTCCAGAGCCCCTAGGAAAGAATCTGTTCCTTGCCTCTTCCAGCTTCTGGTGGCTGCTGGCACTCCTAGGCCTGTGGCCATCTTTCTCTACTCTATTCTAATTTTTTTTTTTTTTTTTTTTTTTTGAGACGGAGTCTTGCTCTGTTGCCCAGGCTGGAGTGCGGTGGTGCCATCTCGGCTCACTGCAAGCTCTGCCTCCCAGGTTCATGCCATTCTCTTGCCTCAGCCTCCCGAGTAGCTGGGACTACAGGTGCCTGCCACCACGCCCGGCTAATTTTTTGTATTTTTAGTAGAGACGGGGTTTCACCGTGTTAGCCAGGATGGTTTCGACCTCCTGACCTTGTGATCTGCCTGCCTTGGACTCCCAAAGTTCTGGGATTGCAGGCGTGAGCCACCGTGCCCGGCCTACTCTATTCTAATCTTTCTCTGATCCCTCTTCATATCACTTTCTCCATTGGGTCAAATCTCCCTCCGTCTTGCCCATAATGATATATGTGATTGCCTTTACCCACCCAAACAATCCAGGGTAATCCCCCCATCTCAAGATCCTTAATTTAATCACATCTGCAAAGACCCTTTTTCCAAATAAAGTAACATTTACAAGTCCCAGGGATTACAACGTGATTTCTTTGGGGGTCATTATCAGCCTACACAAATGCATATGTAAATGTGTATGTGAGATACACACACACACACACACACACACACACACACACACACACACACATACAAAAAAGGAATTAGACTTCATATACTGTCTTGCAAATTTCTTCTTAAAACTTAATGGATTTCTTCCACATAGGCACATTTGACCCTTGAGCAATGCCAACGTTAGGGATCCCCCTGTGCAGTGGGAACTTCACATATAATTTTAGACACCCCCAAAACTTTACTAATAGCCTACTGTTGACCAGAAGCCTTATTGATAACATAATTGTTTAACACATATTTTGTATATGTATTATATATTGTATTCTTACAGTAAAGTAAGCTAGAGAAAAGAAAATGTTAAGAAAATCAGAAGGAGGAAAAATATTTTTTCTCGCTCCATCGTTCAGGGTGGAGTGTTGTGGTCCCCTCTTGGCTCACTCTTTCTGGGCTCAGGCAATCCTTCTACCTTAGCCTCCCGAGTAGCTGGGACTAACAGGCATGTGCCACCAGGCCCAGATAATTTTTTGTATTTATTTTTAGAGACAGTAAGTAGACTGTCTTTTAAGTAAAGTAAGACTTTATTGCCCAGTAAGTAGAAAATATATTTACTATTCATTAAATGGAAGTGGATCATCATAAAGGTCTTCATCCTTGTCATCCTCATGTCGAATAGGCTGAGGAAGAGGAGGGGTTGGTCTTGCTGTCTTAAGGGTGACAGGGGCAGAAGAAAATTCACATGCAAGTCAACCCGTGCAGTTCAAATCCATGTTGTTCAAGGGTCAACTGTATTTATATATTTACTTCTGTCTTCCATATCATCTTTTGTTTACTTTAAATATTTGCAAAGCAATTTTTGTATAGACGAATGTCTCATTTTTTGTGTATGGTAAAAAACAATAGTATAAAATTTACCATCTTAACCATTTTTAAGTGTACAGTTCAATAGTGTTAAGTATATTCACATCGTTATGAAACAGATCTCCAGAACTTTCTCATCTTGCTAATCTGAAACTCTGTATCTAAATATTTCTCTTATCCCCCTCCCAAGCCACACCCCCACCCCATCTTTGGTTACTACCATTCTACTTTCTGGTTCTATGAATTCATGAATTTGACTGCATACCTCATAAAAGTGGGTTCATACAGTATTTGACTTTTTTTGTGACTGTTAGTAGATTTTTTTCTCTAATTTTTAAAATGTTTAATTCGCTCATAAGCACAGCACAGGGTATTATCCATTTGTGTGTGCATACACACATACACTCATTGTACTATGTTTATTGCAGTTAACTGAAGTCCTATGTCACTAGAATGCTATGTAACAGAAAATGTTGGTCATACCTCTTGTGATAAATATTTGTTGGGTACTTATTTTGTATCACACATTGGAAGAAAAAGATAATTAAGATACATTCCAGCCCTTGCCCTTGAGGAACTCACAATCTGATGAGAAAGGCTGATCTGCAAACCATTACCCTCAGAACAGTTAAGCTTGATGGGAATATAATGAATGAAGGTCTTAATTACCTAATTCAGAGGTATTCTTTACAGTTAAATGCATTGTAGAATGAGACTGTCTTGGCAGTTCAAAAATCAGACTGTTTTAATCTGAATCCATTTTTTACTTGGCAACTTTATTTATTTATCTACCCCGCCCCCACCCAAGTAAGGAAAAGATACTTGGCAACTTTAGCTTAGGGTTCTCTAAAACCTTCAGAATAAGAGTAACCTGAGTCTGCTCCCTGGTGGAGCAATCTTCATAACTGTTCTTTGGATTCTTAAATTTCTGCTTTATTCCTGTTGTGGATAGGAGAAATTGGGTTACTTACAAATGGTCTTTAAGCTTACTACATTGATTCCTGTACTGATCTGATGATGGCCCAAGGCTTTAAGGAGGTGTGTTGATTCATCTAAATTAGGTGGAGTAATATGGACTTAAAAAAAGCACATATCTTTCCTGTTGGTATGATGGGAGACACAAAATGCAGTCAAACCTTGTAAACTAGGATTCAGGACAAACTCCTCCTACAAAAAGAAAATTAAAACTAGTTGCTAACCTTTGGAGATCTCAGAGACTAGGACTTAACTCCTTGAAATATTAATGCCGTTTCTACTACAATTTTCTTAAGAACTCTTCATATTAAATTAGATGATTGCACATTACAATTGTATTGGCATGCAAGATTACTTACATAGACTTGTACATTTATTTACGTTGACTTTTAGGTCAATTTTTGAAAGATCACATTTTACACACAAGATGGGGAAGGTTATTTTTCTTTTTTTCTTTTATAGAGGTATGGTTTTGGTTAGTTGTTCAGGGTGGAGTGCTGTGGTGCAGTCTGGCTCACTGCAGCCTAGTCCTGGGCTCAGGATCCTCCCACCTCAGCCTCCGGAGTAGCTGGGACTAGTCTTGTACCACCATGCCCAGCTAATTTTTTATTTTTTGTAGAGATGGGGTCTCACTTTGTTGCCCAGGCTGGTATTTTTCTATTTCACCTTCTATTACCTTCCTGCCCATCTTGTATCATTGTCCAGGATTCCTCCAGTTTTGTAAAGAACGAATTCCGTGAAAAGGTGAGGTGGAGCATTGTAGGATCTTTTCCAGGCCTTTGAGTTGCCATTTGAAGAACTGCTCGAGTCCAAAGGAGGTTAATGAAGTAAGCAGCTTACATATAATGAGGGGCTATGTATCTACCTTGATGCTTTGGCTGTTACCTGCAGTAATTTTTTTCACCCTTGGAGGAGGGATTAGGATTGTGATAGTGGGAACTGGTCATCTCCTTTGTTTCTGGAATATTACGTGTAATACTACCAAAAAAAGAGGTCCACCCAACTGCAGTAGTCTTCCTAGTTGGTCCATCATTTGCCTCTTGCCTGGGAAAGCCTAGGACCTAGAAGCAGCGCCTGAGGCCTGCAAACCTCTGGGCGAAGATACACTGCGGCCCCTTTAAGCTTTCAGAGTGTGCGGAGAGGGGAGCTGAGGGTGGGGCGGGCACTCTGACAGTGGCGCTCCGGGCCCCGCCCTCGGAGGAGGCGTTTCCCAGCGGACCGCAGCACCAATGCTGCTGCCGCCGCCGCCGCCGCCTGCCGGGTATTCCTGCTGATCCTGCTCGGACCTTAGCTTCCCTGACCTCTCCCTGCCCGGGGAGCGTAAGTGTCAAACCACGGGCAAAGGGCAAGCATCCCGCGACCGTGCTGCAAGTCCTGGTGGACAGTACTGGGGACTTTGCTGGCCTATCAGAGGCTAAGGCGGCGAAAGAGCGTAAACAATGCCGGCTCCAGTGAGCTAAAGCCAGGGTATCTGCTCTACTTCTGGGTGGTGACAGCAGCCGTAGGGTGCTTGTTTGGGCATGCAGTGGGTGAGCAGTGCCCACGACCTGGCTTTGCCCCCACCTGGTTCTTACTTGGGGTGAGGAGAGGGTTGCTTTTACCAGAGTATAACCCATTTGAGCTGAATGGGTGGAGCTGAATCTCTCTCTCTGGGCCTTGGATCCTTACCCTGGTATTTGAAGACCTTGGTAGCTTTGGGATGAGTAAGCATTAGGTTTTCAGCTACCTTGGTACAGTCGAGCAGTAACTCCAAGTTGTCCTAATTCACAGCCAGGTTTAGCTGTCTCTCCAGAGGCCTGTGTTGGTGGTATCCCGTACCCCTTTTGGATATGTTGACAGTGAACATCTCTTAGGAAGAGTCCAGTTAACCTTTCCTCCTGATATAAAGAGCACAATGTGAAAGAGACAGCTCTTTACCCCTCTCCATCTCTGAAGGAATTTGTGGGACGCCACTGTCCCAAGATTAGGAAAGCAAACACACCAAAGTTTGAGATAATCTGCTAGAAAACTGTTCAGATTTCTGGCCGCCTGGTAATGCAGAATACTCCGGCAAGAGGATAACACTTGTCCTTGTTAATGGGAAATACCTGGAGACAGTGAGTTTTTTTTTTAATTTGAGGGAAAGTGTTGTCATTTTTGCCACCTGCTACTCAGAGATGGGATTTTGTCAGATTTTGGTTAAATAATAAAAATCTTAAGTTTTCTATGACAGTTACATAGTTGTTGTGTTTCTTTAATCCAGTTGTCCTTCCTAGACATGGTTTGAGTAGATTTCTGGGCATGTGTATGCATTGCTTTTTTAAAAAAATAATTTCTTTTTTTTTTTTTATGAGCCTATCATCACACTCAGTGGTCATTCAAATGGGTTGCTTTTTGATGGAGCAGAAGTTTTTCTCAAACTTCTGTTAAAATCATTCTGTGCTTCTGCAATAGCATCTCCTTAGCCAGAGGTGAGAGTCCAGGAATGGTAATCAAATTCAGATCTCTTGTATTGTGATAGTGAAGAGCTTTTGTAGGTCAAGAGCTTGGGAATTTGCCATAAAAAAGTCATACTGCCAGTGGTTTTTCTCTAAGTAGAAGAGAAAATAATCTGTACAGTAGCTCTGTAATTACTCTTATAGACTATCAAAATACAGGAATTTAAACTAAAAAGACACCACACTTGGGCCCATGGGTTGTAGGGAAGAGAGACAGACTGAGAAGTAGGAGACATAGGTTCTAGGCCCAGCTCTAGTATTACTCATGACTTAATCTCTCTGTCCCTTTTAAATGGTTGGTTAATGAGAAAATGCACAGATTTTGGGGTCTCTTTTATGATGGGATATAGTGCATATTTAATAGGAAATTTGTTATTTATTTGAACACTAAACTGAAAAATCAGACAATTTGGAATTTATTCTAAGTTCTGCCTTCATGTATAACCTTGAAAACATTTCTTAACCTCTAGTCTAAAAATAAACAATTATGCCTAAACCTTTTCAGCAATAGCATGGACTATATGGTATTTGAGCTCTTAGGAAGACATTTTTAGATCAGTGGTATATGATTATAATATATCTGTAAAACATACTTACTTTAGCTGACCTACTTGTCTTTGCCTCAGTTTTAGACTGGGATAAAATCTGAGAGCTCTGAATAATTGAAATTTCTGAATATGTGTCTTTACTAGGGACTAGATCAAATAAACCACAGCAAGCATTATGTATAGTTCAAATTAATCTTCTTAATGCTTCTCTTTGTTGGCAATTTTATTTGCTCTTTAGGCATCAAACTCTACTGTGTAGCAAAAACTTGGTTCTTATATCTGTTTATAAAATCCAGATCAGTCTGCTCATCCCTATATGATACTTTTAACTTTTTGAGAAACTTCCAAATGGTTTTACACAGCAGCTAGACCATTTTGCATTCACAGCAGCTGGACCATTTGGCATTCAACTTAAAAAATACAGAGGTATAATAATTTTTATTGTATTTTACAGACATACTAGTATTCAGTTGGTGGGGGTGGTAGGGGGAAGACTGGTCCTGAGTTTGAAAAGCACAGTTTGATGAACATGTGAACTGTTTCCAGCTTTTGACTACTATGAACAACATTGCTATGACTATCCCTATATAGGTCTTCTGGTGTAATTTGCATCAGTTTCTAGGCTATACACCTAGGAATGGAGTTGCTGGGTGGTAGGGCATGTGTATCTGATAATGCCATACTGTTTTCCAGACTGTTAAACTATTCTGTCTCCCATCATTGGTGTATTTGAGTTCCTGCAGATTCTCCTGACTCCTTTAAATTACACTGCTGCTGTTTCATGGCAATCCTAGGGATTTTGAAGAAAAATCTTAATGAAAGTTCCACATATCCTAATAAACTTTTACAATTCCATCTTTCTCTGGGACATTTTCTTCTTTGCCATGGGAGGGAACAAAATGTAAAGGAAGAAGCATAGACTATGAATCTTAGTTTAATTTCATTGCTTACCAGTTTTGTTGTTTTGGCAGGTTACTTAATATTTGTGAAGCTAGTGTGTAAAATGAGAATATCTTTCCTTCACATAGTTGATGTCAGTATAAAGTGAATTAGCGTGTTTAAAAAGTACTTTGCACCATGCCTGATTCAGAATAGATATTACCAGAGTATATATTCAATAAACAAATATTTATTGAAAACATATTTTATGTCAGGCCAGAACTAGGGATGGAGAATTACGGAGGACCGCTTCTATGTTATTAATAATATTGAAAAATCGGCCAGCCTGGGCAACATAGTAAGACCCCATCTCTACAAAAAACTAAAAAATTAGTTGGGCATGGTGACATGTGCCTGTAGTCCCAGCTCCTTGGGAGGCTAAGGCAGAAGAATCACTTGAACCCGGGAGGCGGAGGTTGGGAGGATCACTTGAGCCCAGGACATCAAGGTTGCAATGAGCTGTGATCACACCACTGCACTCCAGCCTGGGTGACAGA
Source organism: Homo sapiens (assembly GCF_000001405.40). Taxonomy (NCBI): domain Eukaryota; kingdom Metazoa; phylum Chordata; class Mammalia; order Primates; family Hominidae; genus Homo; species Homo sapiens. The sequence continues at coordinate 46,823,620 of NC_000011.10, read as the reverse complement.
GTGAGACCCTGTCTCAAAAATGAAAAAGAAAAATTGGAAACAATTTAAATGTCCAATGGTAGGGTTGGTAATTATGGTACATTTGTAAAATGGAGTGCTATGTAGACTTTAAACATCATATTCTCAAATCTGGGAAAATGTTTGTGATCATATAACAAAAATGTTGTAAGGGGATTATGCCTGTCTTTTTCATATGATTTATATTACTACATGTGTATTGAAAAAAAACTGGATACGTACTTTAGTGTTCATCATGGTTATTAGGTGGTGGTAAAATTGTATTTTAATACTTAGATTTTTTTCTGTAGTTACTAAATTTTCTGCAGTTTACACACATTACTTTTATAAGAAAAAGGTGTTGTCTAGATAGATAGCATAGGGGTGGGTGCGGTGGCTCACGATCAGTGGGATCACTTGAGCCCAGGAGTTCGAGACCAGTCTGGGCAATATAACGAGACCTTGTCTCTACAAAAAATTTCAAAATTAGCCGAGCATGGTGGTGCACACCTGCAGTCCCACCAAATCCTAGCTACTCAGGAGGCAGAGGTGGAAGGATCGCTTGAGCCCAGGAGGCAGAGGTTGCAGCGAGCCAAGATCGTGTTCATTCCACTCCAGCCTGGACGACAGAGCAAGACGCTGTCTCAAAAAAAAGAAGATAGGTAGCATAAAGTTATTAAAAGGATGTTGACTTTAAACCTCACTTAAAAACATGGTTTACATAAAGAATATGTATAAAGGTTCATTCAGGGATTTAATTTTGTACTTGTTTATATAAACATTGACTAGTCATGTTTGCTAGAATTAGGGAGCTTGGCAGTATCAACATTTTTACATATTGATTCTTTCCTTTTCTTTCTTTTTTTTTTTTTTTTTTTTTTTGGGACGGAGTCTGTTGCCCAGGCTGGAGTGCAGTGCGATCTCGGCTCACTGCAAGCTCCGCCTCTCGGGTTCACGCCATTCTCCTATCTCAGCCTCTAGAGTGGCTGGGACTGCAGGCGCCAGCCACCAAGCCCGGCTAATTTTTTGTGTTTTTAATAGAGATGGGATTTCACCGTGTTAGCCAGGATGGTCTCGATCCTGACCTCGTGATCCGCCCGGCTCGGCCTCCCAGACTGCTGGGATTACGGGCGTCAGCCACCACACCCGACCCCCATATTGATTATTTTCTATAAGTAATTCTAGGTGAAAGTATGACTTTTTCCAAAACTTTTTTCTTGGCCTTTTAAAAGGCCATTTAGCTCAGCAATTCAGTTTTATTCCAGCTTCGTTTTATATCTAAGAAGTTCTTATTTGGGAAAATAAAAGCATCATTTTTTAGAAAACAAATTTTTGGTTTTTTTGAGACAGGGTCTTGCTCTGTTGCCCATGCTGGAGTGTAGTGGCATGATCACAGCTCACTGCAACTTCTGTCTCTTGGGCTCAAGTAGTCCTCCCACCTCAGCTTCCCGAGTAGCTGGGACTACAGGCACACACACCACTACGCCTGGCTAATTTTTGTGTTTTTAGTATAGATGGGGTTCCACCATGTTGCCCAGACTGCAATATATTTATATTTATATTTTTTGAGTGACTTTATTTTTTTGAGATGGAGTCTTACTCTGTCGCCCAGGCTGGAATGCAGTGGGACAATCTTGGCTCACTGCAACCTCCTCCTCCCAGGTTCAAGCGATTCTCCTGTCTCAGACTTCCGAGTAGATGGGACTACAGGCCTGCACCACCACACCCAGCTAATTTTTGTATTTTCAATTGAGACGGGATTTCACCATGTTGACCAGACTGGTCTTGAACTCCTGATCTCAGGTGATCTGCCCACCTCAGCCTCCCAAAGTGCTGAGATTACAGGCATGAGCCACCACTGTGTCCTGTCTTTTGAGTGACTTTAAAAAAAAAATTCTATTGGCCGGGCGCGGTGGCTCACGCCTGTAATCCCAGCACTTTGGGAGGCCGAGGCGGGTGGATCACGAGGTCAGGATCGAGACTGTCCTGGCTAACATGGTGAAGCCCTGTCTCTACTAAAAATACAAAAAAATTAGCCGGGCGTGGTGGCGGGTGCCTGTAGTCCCGGCTACTCGGGAGGCTGAGGCAGGAGAATGGCGTCAGCCCAGGAGGTGTAGCTTGCAGTAAGCGGAGATCGGGCCACTGCACTCCAGCCTGGGTGACAGAGCGAGACTCCGTCTCAAAAAAAAAAAAAAAAAAAAAGTCCTGTTAATTGAATTAAGTGGGGATCTGACGAAAGAACGGGATTTTTACTCTTGTTGTTGCATGAATGATAAAATAATAATCTCAGAAAAGTTATTTTTGTCTTAAGAGACTGCCTGGTTGCTAAGCAGGTTTCTACCTTTATCTGACCAGGAAATACTCTTAATTCTAAGGAAAACCTGGAAGCACAATGGGAGATGACAGTGAGTGGTTGAAACTGCCAGTTGATCAGAAATGTGAACACAAGGTAAGATTCTTCTGGAATTCGATTTTCAGTGTCGTTGGCTTGTTTTGTGAGCAGTTATACTATCATCTTACTTAGAAGTGTGTGAAAACATTGGCAGTTTCAAAAATACTGATGCCTTGTTAGATATGTTATTTTTTCTCATTGAAAATAGGTTTCTGTAGCTCAACTAAAAATTTTTTTGTCTCTGGAAAGAATTCAAAGAAAAGATATTAGTGAAGTGAAAAGTAAGTGGTATCTATGAAAAGTAACTGGCTAGTTTTTTCATCTCCTTGTATATACAGTACAATATACTTCTGGTACCTAAGTACTTACTAATATTTTATTATATAGAGACTCTTCTTTTGAGATGTGTTCTGAATTTGGCCTTAGAAATCCAGCATTTTTTAGGTTCTCTGATTTATATGATCGGCATTCCAATATTTACCCTCAGAATCTACCAATCTTTATTTTCTAGTTTATGCTAGTAAGATACAATTTATTACATCATGTCATTATTTGGTGGGCATCCTTTCAGATTATCTTATTTTTTCCCCAACTATACCTCTAGTTTCTTTCATTTTTAATCATTTTAAACAAACATCTACCATCTGGTAGATTTTAGAATTTCATTTCTTCTTGTAAATTTATTCTACTCCAAGTCCTCAGGTTTACCACTTTATGTTCTTGACAGTTCTTTTAAAGTTTGTTTTGAATCTGAGTATTCAAGATTTATGGTTGTTGATTACTAAAAATACTGAATAAAATATACTAACTTACACAGTTGTATACATACAGTTCTACCTATGTAGAGTAGAAATTTGGAGCCATGGTCCCTATATCCTCCACAGAACCACTCCTTCATCCTATATAATAAATTAGCCAAGGCCGAATACTGTATCAAAAATCAACATGTAGCTCTTCAAATAAGGCCAGATTAAAAGTGAGCTAGTTGGTTTTTATTCTAATTCGCATAGAAATTGTTGGTTATGTAGTACATTAAATTGCAACAAAAATTGGGGGAGAATTTTGGAACTTATTTAGAATCGTTAACTATAATGCTTTTTTTGGTAGATATTGTATATTCTCACTGAAAGGGGCAGACAATATAGATAAATCTTAGACTTTCCGATTTTTGATTGGTTAATATGTGCTAAGAGTTTTTCAATCTCGTGTGATTTGGTACTTTATTTTTCCCATTTTTTGAGCATTTATTGTGTGTTTTTGAAACTTAAAGCATAGAGATGTTAAATCTGTTTAGGGAACACTCATTCTACTTTATAGAATGAGATGTTGCCCAATTTTAAAAAATAAAAAAATAAATCTGGTTTAAATTGGTTAGTAAATGTTCAACTATGATGTTAATTTATGTTATACTTCACTCTAATTTTGCAGAATAGGTAATGCCTTCTTCCTAATGAATGCATCTTATAGTGGGTTAGGCAGCATTCCTTCCTTAGAAGGAAGAGTTTTTTCTGTGAGCATAGCACCTGCCCCAAATCACATTTTCAATTACATTAATTGAATCAATTCAATTACATTTTCAATTACATTTTTACTTACATTAAACAAATAACATGTAAATTATTTCTGTTTTTCAATCATATGTTGATCCTTCTGTCTCTTTGATCTAATAGTGTTGAGGACAAACATCTAATTCTTTACTAATGCTTAACACAGTAAATGCAAATTCGATCATCCCACAAACTAACTTCTCATTTAACTGCCCCCAAATCATTTCATTGCTTTCCCATTGCTCTTAGAATAATGAGTGGAATCTTTTCTTTGGCCTTCATAGTCCTGCATGATCTGGCCTTTTCCAATCCTCTCCAGCTTACTTTGTACCATACTCCCCTTCTCTTTCTTTATAGGAGTGGGAAATACCATATTCCCTGCTGCCATAGGGCCTTGGAGTATACTGTTCCTTCTGGAATGTTCTGTCTCCCCTTTTGCCACTCTTTCCTGATTAGTTCCTATTTATCTTTCAGGGCTCAGCTCAATTACCATTTCTCAGGAAATTTTTTCTTAACACTAAGACAAAGCCTTTTATAATATATACTTTCATAGCACCAAGTTGCTTCTCCTTTGTAGTACTTAATGCTTTGTTAATTTTAAATTTATTTGTATTATAGCTTAATGTCCCCTCCTGCTGGAGTGTAAGCTCCACAAGGGCCAGAGCTGAATTGATTTTTATTTATTAAACACCTGTTGAATAAATTAATGAAAAAAGAATACCTCAGTAAAAATGTCCGGAATCTACTAGCTGAAATTAATATACAGTGTAATATAAAGCTACCTAATGATTATACAAAAATAGAACCAAAAAACAGCATATACTTTGGAGACGGGGCAGTTTCATCAGGGTGATTTCTCATGTTTGAGTTATCACATCTTTAATACAATATTATAAAGAAGTAATAATTCTTAGATACAATGTGAGATTCATTTATAATGGCCTATTATGAATGGCAGAGTATCATAAACACTAAACACTTGTAAGAAGTTTATTAGCTAATCTTTTTTGAAAACTGCCAATTTCTTAAACTCTTTTTTCATTTCTAGTCATGGGGTCCTTTGTTTACATTACCTGACATAGGATATTCATTTCTATTCTCACACCCTCCCCCCCCAGATTAATAGTAGATGATAATATCATTAAATTATGTTTTGTTTCAAAATACTACTTTTCTTTTAGCTGTGGAAAGCAAGGTTAAGTGGGTATGAAGAGGCCCTGAAGATCTTCCAGAAAATAAAGGATGAAAAGAGCCCAGAGTGGTCCAAATTTTTAGGATTGATCAAAAAATTTGTCACTGATTCCAATGCAGTGGTTCAATTGAAAGGATTAGAAGCTGCACTTGTTTATGTTGAAAATGCCCATGTAGCAGGAAAGTAAGTACTTTCTTTCCAACTTTACTGATAAAAACCCCTGTTTGGTGTTACATAATGTATGTTTGTAGATCACTGTCCTTAGTTATTAGCAGTTTTAGAATAGATGAATTTTCTTACTTTCGTAGTTTCTTGATACTTGTTTTTCATTCAGTCTTTATTCTCAGAAATCTAAATGGCACATGAGATCTGTAGAGGAGTAAATTAGAAATAATATTTTGAGGGTTTACCTTAAGGTTTGATGACCAAGTGGTTTTCCTTTTAAGCTTTTTGTATGGGAATTATTCTAAACTAAAAGGAAGAGTCTTTAGTAACTTCAAAAAGAAACTGAGAGATTGTCAGTAAAGGAATTATCAGAATTTCACTGAAGACATTTGGGCATTATAGAAAACTAAATTTTTTACAAGGGTTGTTAGATAGGTGATGTTAGAATCATGTCTTTCTCCCTTTGTTCATTAGGCATTTTTATTTCTTGGGGGAGGTAATGCTTACTAAACAACCTCAGTGACTCCTGGCCAGTTTAACTTGATCTGTGAATGACAGATTTCTAGTCATCCTACTATCCCATACCTCATAGACCTGATTTTCCTAACTCTAGTCTCTGTGTCATTGAAAGGAACCCTCCATACAAAAAAAAAAGTTGAAACACTTGACTTAATTGCACAAGAAATATATACTTGACTTACTTCAAAGATTATACCAATAAAGATCATCATTAATTTGACAATTTGGTTAACTGGCATCACTGGGTTTCCTTTACCGTTAGTAAAACTATCACTTTTTAATTTCTCTTCTGATACTAGAAGCGGTTTTTTGATAAATGCTGCATGTAATCTCAACCCACTCAGTTCTTCTGATTCCCGGTAGTGTAGGTTTCATTTCATTTAGAGGAGATTCAAAGCAGTAAAGTTATTGTAAAGTCTTATTAAGGAGTCAAGAGTAGTCTTTTATTATTAAAGGTACATATCCGTTCCCTCTGTGAAGAAATTCTCTTTTCCTAAAAAGTGTTTAAAACGACTTAAAAAATTTTTTTGCCCAGATGCAGTGGCATGTGCCTGTAGTCCTAGCTACTCAGGAGGCTGAGGCAGGAAGATCGCTTGAGCCCAGGAGTTTGAGGTCACAGTGAGCTATAATCCCACCACTGCACTCCAACTGGGTGACAGCACAAGACCCTGTCTCTCTCTCTTTTTTTTTTTTTTTCTTTTTGATACACAGTTTCGTACTTGTTGCCCTGGCTGGAGTGCAATGGCGCGATCTTGGCTCACCACAACCTCCACCTCCCAGGTTCAAGTGATTCTCCTGCCTCAGCCTCCTGAGTAGCTGGAATTACAGGCATGCGCCACCACACCTGAGTAATTTTGTATTTTTAGTAGAGATGAGGTTTCTCCATTTTGGTCAGGCTGGTCTTGAACTCCTGACCTCAGGTGATCCACCCGCCTCAGCCTCCCAAAGTGCTGGGATTACAGGCATGAGCCACCATACCCGACCAACCCTGTCTCTTTAAAAAAAAAAAAAAAAAAAAAAAATTGAAAGCAAGCATTCTGTAACCCTACTTTTGTAAAGTATATTTGTATGTCCATATACACACACACTTAGAGAAAGGTCTGGAAGGAGGGATATCAAAAAGTTGAAAGTAGTTTTCTCTGGGTGGTGGGATTTCAAGGGATCTTTAATTTTTTGTTTGAATTTTCTACATTTATAAACTGTTACTATGCCTGCTATGACATGTCTTAAAATTTTATGTTTAACGTTAAGTTTTTAAAATATTCTTGAACATAAATTTAAAAATTAAAGACTCATTTACTGTATTTCTAGCATTTGTAAAAGTACTAGTACACCCCCTTTCCGTGACCTTTTTCCAATTCTTACTACTTAAGTGGGATTTTTGTTCTTTATAATATGTTACAGAACCACAGGAGAAGTTGTGTCAGGTGTTGTAAGTAAGGTGTTCAATCAACCTAAAGCTAAAGCCAAGGAGCTGGGCATAGAGATCTGTCTTATGTACATAGAGATTGAGAAAGGAGAGGCTGTTCAAGAAGAGCTCCTGAAAGGCTTGGACAATAAGAATCCCAAGATCATAGTGGCCTGTATAGAGACACTGAGGAAAGCCTTAAGGTAAGACTTTGTTTTAGCTTTGTTAACTAGAGCAGCAGTCCCCAACCTTTTTGGCACCAGGGACCAGTTTCATGGAAGACAATTTTTCCATGGAAGAATTGTGTGTTGGGGGGATGGGGGGGTCGTTTTGAGATGAAACAGTTCCACCTCATAAGGAGCATGCACTCTAGATCCCTCACATGTGCAGTTCACAGTAGGGTTTGCACTCGTATGAGAACCTTAATGCCCTGCTGATCTGGCAGGAGGCAGAGCTCAGGGGGTAATTCTCGCTTGGTAGCTGTTCACCTCCTGTTGTGTGCCTGGTTCCTAACAGGCCACTGTACTGGCCACAGCCCAGGGGTTAGGGATCCCTGAACTAGAGTATCTCAATTGAGTTTGGATTCCGGGTTTAAACAGAAATGGAAACTGCAGAATTTGACTTGGCATGCCAAAACAAGCAAGAAAGTGACCTGAATAAGGAAAGTCATTCCCCAAGTGTGGCACTTCATGTTGACTAATTTTAGCCTTCAAGTGTGTTGTGTAGTTATTTTATCTGAATCCCTTTCTAATGAAGATGAATAGAGATTTCTGACCTGTTATCAGATTAAGAATTAGGCTTTTCAGTTGGGGGCAGTGGCTCATGCCTGTAATCCCAGCACTTTGGAAGGCTGAGTTAGGAGGATCACTTGGGGCCAGGAGTTTAAGACCAGCCTGGGCAAGATGGCAAGACCCCTGCCACTATAAAGAAGCTGAGGTGGGGAGGATCTCTTGAGTCTAGAAGTTCTAGGCTGCACTGAGCTGTGATTGTGCCACTGCAATTCAGCCTGGGTGAGAGAGCAAGACCCTGTCTCTTTAAAAAATAAATAAATATGGCCAGGCTCAGTGGCTCACTCCTGTAATGCTAGCACTTTGGGAGGCCAAGGCAGGCAGATCACAAGGTCAGGAGTTTGAGACCAGCCTGGCCAATGTGGTGAAACGTCTCTACCAAAAATACGAAAAAATTAGCTGGGCATGGTGGCGCATGCCTGTAATTCCAGCTACTCGGAAGGCTGAGGCAGGAGAATTGCTTGAACCTGGAAGGCAGAGGTTGCAGTGACCCAAGATCATGCCACTGCACTACAGCCTGGGTGACAAAGCAAGACTCCCTCTCAAAAATAAATAAATAAATACATTTTAAAAATTGGCCTTTTGGTGGAAAAGCACTGAAAAGAAAAGTACTGGCCTTTTGTTGGAAAACTACTCCTCAGGGTATTTAAGCAGCTCTTTTTCTCTTGCTATCTTAAGTATAGACTTTCGAAGTCTATACTTTGAGATGTTGGCTAAAGATAAAGTTTGTGGACTAAAGCTAACCTTTATTTAGGTGCCTTTTTAGTAAAGTAGAAGCAAATGCTATATGCCTTTAAAGAGACGCACAGTGAAAGCAAATAGAAAAGTAACTTTTGCTCTTATGTAGTAAGTTCTTTTCAACCCTAGACTTTCTTGTTTGGCCATGAAATTTTTCATGAATAGGATCTCTTTCAGGAACAAGTGGATGTAATTTGCTATGGAAATCTGAATTAGACAGATCACTAGTTTGTTCAGACTTGGCAGTTCTTCTAATCTGGTATCCTGTCCCCAAGTACTGTCTATATCAGATATTTTAGAAAGCAGCTGTAGTAAAATCCTCACGGAATGAAGATCATCCATCTCACCTCTCATGATTTTGTGTATGACCTACATCTTGGAGAAAAATGTTTCCTTTGGTGTTTATCTTCTGTGAAAGTATAAAAACTCTTGTATTTTGTTGAATGATCTTTGATTTATAGGTCTTTAATATTGTTTTTTGCTTTGCTCATAATGTACTTTTATAAAATTTGACTTGCTTAGATTCTTACGTGAATGAAGTTTCCTTGTTTCTAGCCTATTACAATATAGTAAGCAGATGTTTTTCTGAGTAGTAAACAGTATGCTCATTCTATTATCTTAGAAATTTAGTGACTCATCTTAGTTATCAGAACTATGCTTATATCAATAAATCTTTTGTGTCCTTAGTGATGTCTAAATTTTAAAAAATACTGTAATCTTTTTTTTTTTTTTTTTTTTTTTTTGAGACAAGGTCTCGCTCTGTCACCCAGACTGGAGTGCAGTGGTACGATCTCAGCTCACTGCAACCTCCGCCCCTGGGTTCAAGCGATTCTCATGCCTCCAGCCTCCTGAGTAGCTGGGACTACAGGTGAGCACCACCACACCCAGCTAATTTTTTTTTTCTTTAATAGAGATGGGTTTCTCCATGTTGGTCAGGCTGGTCTGGAACTCCTGGCATCAAGTGATCCCACCTCGGCCTCCCAAAGTGCTGGGATTACAGACATAAGCAACCGCACCTGGCCTATAATCTTCTACCTTTAAATTACAAGTTTCTAGTCTGGAGTGCTGTGTACTCTGGTTATTTCATTTTTTAGCTAAACTGGGAGAATAAGGGTAGGAAAATAACAAGTTACGTATATCTCATGTTTTCTTCATAGATGTTGTTATGTAGTCCCATCCCTGTGTGGTTCTTTATTTGTCCTAAAGCATTTCAGAGTCTATAGTTTAACTAGGTAGCTCTCTGGGACCCTCAAGAACCTTGAGGCCAAACTGCTTGATCCTGGGTTCCAGAGCTTGCTAAAGCTTTGTTAGTGAGAGCTTCAGGTGACCAGAAACATTTGTGGTACCTAAAACAGGTTTCTAGTACCCTTTTGTGTTTTCTATAGTAATACGTTTAGTATCAAAATTAGGTTTTATTTTATTAAGGTGTCTATTTTCCATGTGGACTTGCTCCATCTTTTTTTTCTTACAGAAGGAGGCCAGGATAGAGAAAAAAGATTCAGATGAAACAGTAATAATATATAGGAAGATTTAAGAAATCTCAAATGTTAGGTTCTTCAGGCACCATGTTAAATATCCCTAAAACAAAATGGTTTATTGCCACTATAATTTCTTATTTTTTGTTTAATCTTAAAGGTCAGCTGAGCCAAGTTAAAATGTAATTTTTTTAATAATATAAAAGCATTTTAAAAAATCTTAGAGATTATGTAGGTTATTCTCATGATATTTGTACTTAAACTATATCACATAGCCAGGTATCTTATTAAAAATTCTTTTTTTATTGTGCCTGTAGTCCCACCAACTCAGGAGGCAGGAAGATTACTTGAGCCCAGGGGGTGAGGCTGCTGTGAGCTATGATTGTGTCACTGTACTCCAGCCTGGTTAACAGAGTGAGACACTATCTCAAAAATAATAATAATAATTAAGGCCAGGAGCAGTGGCTCATGCCTGTATTGTCCCAGCACTTTGGGTTGGGAGGCTGAGGCAGGCAGATTGCCTGAGCCCAGGAGTTCAAGACCAGCCTGGGCAACAAGGAGAAACCCCGTCTCTACAAAAAATACAAAAAAAAAATTAGCCGGGCATGGTGGTGCCCCTCTGTAGTCTCAGCTGCTTGGGGGACTGAGTCTGGAGAATAGCTTGAGCAGGGAAGGTCGAGGCTGCAGTGAGCTGTGATCATACCACTGCATTCCAGCCTGGATGACATAGTGAGACCCTGTCTCCAAAAAAGTAAAAACAAAAACCAAGAAAAAAAAATCGTTGGAGTACACTAGTAGCTATTACTGAGTAATTTTGTTGCATTTGCTCACATGAGATAAATTTGTGCACATTAGATAATAGATAAATAATAATTTGGGTCCTACTACTCATACAGAATTTCAGTGTTCTTTCATAAATAAATCTCTCCTGCTCCAGAATCTGATACTCACAAATGTTAATAGTGATATTAGATAGCTAAAATTGGCCAGTTGGGAACTTGAAAATGTAATCTATGACAGATATGTAAGGTTAAACACACTTTTTTTTAATTTTATTTTTTTTTTGAGACGGAACCTTGCTCTGTTGCCCAGGCTGGATGGAGTGCAGTGGCGCGATCTCGGCTCACTGCAACCTCTGCCTCCCGGGTTCAAGCGATTCTTCCACCTCAGTCTCCCAGGTAGCTGGGATTACAGGCGCCCACTATCGTGCCTGGCTAATTTTTGTATTTTTGTAGAGACAGGGTTTCACCATGTTGGCCAGGCTGGCCTTGAACTTCTGACCCCAGGTGATCTACCTGCCTCAGCCTCCCAAAGTGCCGGGATTATAGGTGTGAGCCACTGCGCCTGGCCAAATATGCTTTTTGAAAGAAGTCAAAATGCAACATTTTCCCCATAGAAAACTGAAGTAAAGAAAGATTTAAGATGCCCAGAGTTATAGTGTGATAGCCACAAAGTCAGGAACAAAATATTGCCAAGATTTGTGATCTATCTAGGTAAATGAATCACTTTAATTATAGGAGCTATTAAAGGTTTATTAAAAGTAGATTTCATTCATGTAAATATTTATAAACTAGTTTATATTTGTAAGCTTTTATATGTATATACATACATATTTGTGGTATTAGGCTGGGTGTGGTGGCTCACGCCTGTAATCCAGCACTTTAGGAGGCTGAGGCGGGTGGATCACCTGAAGTCAGGAGTTCCAGACCAGCCTGGCCAACATAGTGAAACCCCATCTCTACTAAAAATACAAAAATTTGCTGGGCGTGGTGGCGCATGCCTGTAACCCCAGCTACTTGGGAGACTGAGACAGGAGAATCACCTGAACTCAGGAGGCAGAGGTTGCAGTGAGCTGCAATCATGCCATACCACTCTAGCCTGGGCAACAAGAGCAAAATGCCATCTGAAAAAGAAAAAAAAAGGGTATTAAACATGTTGATCCTTTATAGGTTTTAATTATTCCTAGTCTGCTTACCTAGAAAGTTTGTTTAAAAATGGTAATATTATTTTGGGCCCTACACATTAAATAATATTCTTAGAAGAACAACACCTTAGTAGGTAAGCAGTTATGAGTTCCTTTTCTTTTGTTGCCTTAAAAAAAACTGAACTTATATAATTCTTCTAATATGTAGATATGGAACTATGTTTGAATGAAGAAAAGCTAATGCTTTATTTAATTGCATTGCACGTTGACAGTTTTTTCCCAATTTTTTACTTGTAGTGAATTTGGTTCCAAAATCATCTTGCTTAAGCCAATTATCAAAGTGTTGCCAAAACTCTTTGAGTCTCGAGAGAAGGCTGTTCGAGATGAAGCCAAACTAATTGCTGTGGAGATTTACAGATGGATTCGGGATGCTCTGAGACCCCCATTACAAAATATAAACTCTGTTCAGGTGAGACAAAAAGTTTTCTGGTTGCTTTCGCACAAGGTTAATATGAAAATATTTTCTTCCTATCGTTGTTGATATTCTGTCCTTAAAAATAATTATTTTACATTCTTAATTTTGAAATCAGCTTTTCTGAGCATAGCTAACTTTCTCAGCAATTCTCTTGGGTGGCAGAACTTATTATCTGTGTGAAGTACATTCTTTCTGGCTTTTTATTACAATTGGTTTTGGAGACTCTTCTGATGATGTAAATGTATCTGAATTAATGAACTAATGAGAGTGTCTTAAAAAGTGGGACTTACTGTTCTTTCTTAGTGCTTAGACATACGTCTTCCTTATAGTAAATTCAAGTTGGTTTGACTTATGCTGTAAAAGAAATAAAATTTAATTATATATTTTCTTCCGCTGGTGCAGTGGTTCACACTTATAATCCCAGCACTTTGGCAGGCCCAGGGAGACAGATCACTTGAGCCTAGGAGTTCGAGACCAGTCTGGGCAACATGGCAAACCCTATCTCTACAAATAATAAAAAAAAAATTAGCCAAGCATGGTAGCACAGCCTGTAGTCCTAGCTACTCGTGAAGCTTAGGTGGGAGGATCACCTGAACCTGGGGAGGTGGAGGCTGCAGTGAGCCAAAATTGTCCAGCCTGGGCAAAAGAGTTGAGACCCTGTCTCTCAATGAATGAATGAATGAATCTTTCTTGTTTGCCCTGGTAGAGCCACATAAATAAGAAATTAGAGGCCAGGCACGGTGGCTTATACCTGTCATCCCAGCATTTTGGGAGGCTGAAGCAGGAGGATCACCTGAGGTCAGAAGTTCAAGACCAGCCTGGCCAACATAGTGAAACCTCATCTCTATTAAAAATACAAAAATTAGCCGGATGTGGTAGTGCACACCTGTAATCCTAGCCACTCGAGAGGCTGAGGCACGGGAATTGCTTGAACCCAAGAGGTGGAGGTTGCAGTGAGCCAAGATCATACCACTGCACTTCAGCCTGGGTGACAGAGTAAGACTCTGTCTCCAATAAAAAAAAAAGAAAGAAATTGGGTCCTGATATGTCAATAAATGTAAGTATTAAGTATGTTAACTAATGGTGGAGATGCAGATATTATTTAAATATTATATGACATTTGCAGTTGAAAGAACTAGAAGAAGAATGGGTCAAACTGCCAACAAGTGCTCCTAGACCTACTCGATTTCTTCGTTCCCAACAAGAACTAGAAGCTAAATTGGAACAACAACAGTCTGCTGGTGGAGATGCTGAAGGAGGTAAGCCAATTTTAAACACCGGTTTCTGCAAAAATTAGCAAGAACTGGCACTGCCATGAGAATCTGTGTTCATTAGGCATATTTTGTAGGATTGCCTTTAATAAAATATAAGTTGCATGTAGCTTTAATAACTCTGGTCCCTTCTCTATTAAAATTTCATCAGGGTTGTGAAAGGACTGATAACTGATAAGTAAAACAATTCTAAGCATTTTTAAGGTTTGTGTTGTTTTTCTCCTTAAAGGTGGTGATGATGGTGATGAGGTGCCACAAATAGATGCTTATGAGCTTTTAGAAGCTGTAGAAATCCTTTCCAAACTTCCCAAAGACTTTTATGACAAAATTGTAAGTAATAGTTAAACTTCTTTCATTTATTTCTTGTAAAATAATTACTTGAATAGAATTAGAATACTCTGCTGAGCCCTTGCCTGATGCACCCCCTTCCATCCCATATCTTCCCTAGTAGAGTGAGTTAGTTGCTTCTTCCTCTTTGCTCCCACACTACTTTGTACATATATATATTATAGCACTTTTTTAAAACATGTCTTGCCATAAAACCAGAACATTCTTGACTTCCTTTTTCTAATTTTCTCTCTGGTTTTTAACACTAAAGAGCTCCGGATTCCTCCCCTTTCTCCGTTTCTACTGCCACTACTTTACCCCAAGGTTTCTTGACCTTAGCACTGTTGACATTTTTTGTCAGCTGTCCTGTGCATTGTATGATGTTTAGCAGCATCTTTGGCTTTTATCCACTAGATGTCAGTAATACCATCTCCCTAAGTCATGACAATCAAAAATGTCTTGAAACATTGCCGGAAGTTCCCTAGGAGACAAAATCATCCCCAGTTGAGAAACACAGTCTTATCCCAACCACCACTGTAGTAGTGGGTTGTTGGTTATGTGATTGTTCTTTTCTGGTCTTTTTAATGTTGTCAGTGTAGAAATTCCTCTCCTGTAATTGTGCTGCTGTGAGATGGGTGGGCTAGAAATGCTTTCTATTAATGTTTTCTGTTTGACATCTGCTTACTAACGTTTGCCTAGAAAATGAGAATGAAACGTCTATGGCATTGTTTGTTTATTATATTACTTTAGTTATAACATCTTATGAAAATACTTTTTATATATGAACAAAAATTTATATATATGAACAAAATGTTCTGATTGCCTCCACAGTTTTATTTTTTATTATTATTACTATTTTTTTGAGACGGAGTCTCGCTCTGTCGCCCAGGCTAGAGTGCAGTGGCGCGATCTTGGCTCACTGCAAGCTCCGCCTCCCGGGTTCATGCCATTCTCCTGCCTCAGCCTCCCGAGTAGCTGGGACTGCAGGTGCCTGCCACCACGCCCGGCTAATTTTTTGTATTTTTAGTAGAGACAGGGTTTCACCTTGTTAGTCAGGATGGTCTCGATCTCCTGACCTCATGATCTGCCCTCCTCGGCCTCCCAAAGTGCTGGGATTACAGGCGTGAGCCACTGCGCCCGGCCAGTTTTATAATTTTTTAAAAAAATTATGTATCTTTGAATTAGCAGAGTGCAATAAATAGACTTTTATTCCGCTCTCTTATTTCCTGTTACAAATGACTCATATTGTATCTTGCAGGAGGCAAAAAAATGGCAAGAGAGAAAAGAGGCCCTGGAGTCTGTAGAAGTACTAATAAAAAACCCCAAACTGGAAGCTGGCGATTATGCAGATTTAGTAAAAGCATTAAAGAAGGTAAATATGAGGACTTGCAGTACTGGTATTGTAACAGCCATCAGGCCTTTGAATTTCTCATCAGTCATCTTTTTAATTACACATACATTGCCACTTAAGGAACATTACTGATGGTATTTGAATTACAGACATACATTTTTAAAGGGTTGTTTTAAATTCCTGTTGTGGGTTAGTTTCATTTTCAATCTTTGTTTTTTGTCACTTTGACTTTAGGTATGCTATTTGATAGCTTCTGTAACTCTCTAGGAAAAGAGAGTTGCTGATCTAGAACTACATTTTCCAGTTTTATAATTCTATAGGATGAGCTATTTAAGTTAGCTGTATTTAATTGGACAAATATTAAACATGAAGATAGCAAATGATAACACACTACTTTGTATCAGTATGTAAAGAGTATACGAATATGAGGTCAGTTCTGAAACAGACAAGTACTAAGTAAGAGATAAACATTTTTAGGAAATAATCTTTTGGTATTGCAAGTTGAATGCTGCTGGTGGACATTTTGTATGTAGTAACTTTTTATGAAAACTGTAAGTATAGATCAAACACTGTGGATATGATTATAGTGCTTAAGAACAAACTCTGAAAACATCTTCATGAATATAGCAAGAATGAAAATTTTGTTTTGTTTGCTTCCTCAGTCTGAAATTACAGAGGATTACAATGGTGAGGGGAGGAAGTTGATTTTTAATTATACGCACACCTAAGTCATTACTTGTAGTAGTTATATTCTGTAAAGCCACTGCGAACACTAAATTAGTGAATATTGAATCATTGCTTCTAAGAGAAATACAGGGTTAGGATCCTGCAACCCTTTGGTCACAACATTTCCATCAATCAGTACATAACTTTGTTTTATTCTGTTTGGAGATAGCATATTTAATATATGTTGTTGATTCATTAACATTGAACTCTTGGCCGACAACACTGTAACTCTTGCCTGATTGAAGCTTTTCCTAACGCATATATTTTCTCCCTAAGGTACATCACAGCCTGTTTGCACTTAGGAATACTAGACAGCATTTCAGCACTACACTTAGGGGCCATTTTAAACAACAAGAGCACCAACAAAAAACACAAAAATGCAAAAACATGGCACTGAATAAACCATGAAAAAGACACTTGTTTATAGTGTAAAAGCTAAAGCAAGAAGGTAGAGTGTTATCTTGTCTACCTCAGCTGGGAATGTGCACAATAGACAACACAAAATGTTCACAGCTCTGAACTTGTCTGTAAATGACCAGGAAAGTACCATGAGTGTTGATTTGGGGATTATAAGCAAGTTTTAGCAAGTAGGTGAATTTGCAAATATGGATTCGTGAATGATGAGGATCAACTATATTCTAGTAGTTAACCTTCCTAGGCTTTCCTTCAGTGGGACTTGGAGGCAGAGATATGATTTGTGAAATCTTTGTTCAGTCATCAATTTTCCATCTTGAAGAGTTACACTCGTGTAAAATAAATTAAAAGAGAGTTGCCCTAGGGGAAAAAGAGTTTTACCAACCTGGAACCTGGGAGGAAAGAATGGGAAGGGGAATAGTAGAGGGCACTGAGACAAGGAAAGTCAGGTTCCAGTGGCATATGAAGAGAGCTACAGATTCTCTGTCAATTCTTCCAGCATTTGGTTATTAATTAGAAATCTTATTGCTCTGGTGCTGAATTCTCGATGTGTCAAAGAAAACCTTTTCTTTTTCCTTATCATTAATATTATGTGTTTTCTACATGTATTTTCTAAGGATATTAGCTTCTCACACAAAGACAGTTCTGTGGTTTCCATTGGCATTGTGAATGTAAATATAATCTCTTGCTGTACTATATAAAGAGAGAGCATCATGGATTTTATATTTGAGTAGACAGACAATAGATTTCTGAGAGATCTAGGGTAGCAGTAGAAACTTCTTTCCCTTTTCACGTGGTGGGGTGGAGGGAATCAGAGACCACAAACAAGTAAAAAGAAACTGAATTTTGTGGCTAAAATATTTAAAACAATGAAAAGTTAACTTCAGTTGTAAAAATTAACCTGAAACGACATTTTCTTTTCTTTTTGCCTTAAGTAGTGACAGAGACATTTTATTTTTTTTATTTTCTTTTTTGAGATGGAGTTTCGTTATTGTTGCCCAGGCTGGAGTGCAGTGGCACGATCTCGGCTCACTGCAACCTCTGCCTCCCGTGTTCAAGTGATTCTTCTGCCTCAGCCTCCCAAATAGCTGGGATTTATAGGCACTTGCCATCACACCCAGCTAATTTTTGTGTTTTTAGTAGAGACGGGGTTTCACCATGTTGGCCAGGCTAGTCTCGAACTCCTGACCTCAGGTGATCTACCCTCCTTGGCCTCCCAAAGTGCTGGGATTACAGGCATGAGCCACGGTGCCCAGCTGACATTTTATTTTTTGTATTTGATTTTAGTTATATGTACACACAAACTTTGTATTATGTTGACTTCCTAGAAACATAACAAAAGTGGGGAAATGGTGAAATGGAAAAAAGTGGGGAAATGGTGAAATGGAAAAAAGAGGATGAGATTGAAGAATAGATTACAGACCAATCCTTTTTCCCTCCTTATAATTATCTCTTCTTTGTATTGTATAAATCAAGTAATCCCATTAATTTCTCAATTTTTTTCCTTTAATGAAAGTAGTAAAAAGGCATTAACTTTAAAATTTCTTATGATATTCCTGAAATTATTTTTAAACTGTTTTGAGTTGTCACCTGATTTAGCATATTCTGTGGGCTTTCCTGTTCTCACAGATTATAGTTCTTTTTTTTCTATTATTTTTAATTGATGTATTTATTTTTGAGACAGAGTTGCGCTTTGTCACCCAGGCTGGAGTGCAGTGGCACGATCTCAGCTCACTGCAACCTCCATCTCCCGAGTTCAAGCGATTCTCCTGCCTCAGCCGCCTGAGTAGCTGGGATTACAGGCGCGTGCCACCATGCCCGGCTAATTTTTTTTTTTTTTAATTTTTAGTAGAGACAGGGTTTCATCATGTTGGTCTTGAACTCCTGTCCTCAAGTGATTTGCCTGCCTCAGCCTCTGAAAGTGCTGGGATTACAGGCGTGAGCCACTGCGCCTGGCCTATAGTTCTTTTATTTATAAGATGCCTCCCTCCCAGCTCATCGCTTCTTTGATTTTGTCATGTGCCTATGCCTATGGACATTTGATTTTTTATATATATATAATTTATTTATCTTTACATTAAGATTTGGATTTTCGAAGTGCTTTCTTATATAATCTTTAGACTTCTATGTGGTATTAATCTTTTTTCACTTGTTCTTTCTACTTTTCCCCCCTTAATTATTGCTTGTTTTCATCATAGTTTTCTAAACACAGTAATTCATAATGGGTTTCATTAATTTGTTTCCTTTCCTCTGTCAACGGTGTGCTTTAGTTATTATTAACTAGTGGCTTTAATTTCTAGTTAAAGATAAATACCAATTGATAATTACTTTAAAGCACTTTGTTTTAATACTGTAGGCCTCAATTTATGAGAAAAGTGACAGCACTTAAAACTGTACAAGATTTCCTATTGTTTAAATTATATTGAGATTATGAGCTAAAGCTTCCATTCCCTGGTCTAGAACAGAAATTACTGAAAAGACAGAAGTCATTGTTTTTCTTACCTCTGAAATGGAGTCCCCCCTCATATGTTACTTTTCTTAAAAATAAACACTTCTCCATCTTCCCTACTCTCATTTCCCTGTTGAGAATAACTTGTTTATGGGAATAAACAATGAGTGTCAATGAGTGTGACAGGCAGGTATTATATTAGGGTATCTGGTCCATTGCTCACTTATAAGTTTATTTGAGCCTTTGCAATCTTGAAATTTAACAGATTCGCAGTATCTTCTTCAATACTATACAATAAGATCATGAGTGTCTAGAGTCTAGCTCCCACTGGTTACTGTTCCAACAATGGATAGGGAGAGGTATTCTCCTAAGAAAGGAATAGAATGATAGTTTTTTAACTGAGCCCATATGACAAAATCACCCTTTGAGCCATTTAAAAATACTGATGTCCAAATTTCATCCCAGATTCATTGAACTAGAATTTGTTGGAATGGGATCTTACATGTTTTTGATGTCCATTCCTAGAATATATATTTAGATGCTAAATATAAAGCCTAGCATCTAAATCATATCTGAGAGGTATTTTGATAAGGAAAAATAATCAGAACATTTATAAATACCAATAGTGATTTCAATACAGAAATGAATGGAAAATTTTTTTCTTCATAGACTTACAGTAATTAGAGATTTAACAAAATGTTTATTAGGACCCTGATCTCATCCTCTCGTAAGGAAAAGTGAACTTAACACAAGTTGAGAGGGAGAACATGCTTTACTTAATAAAAGGAGCAAAAACTTTGGAGTCAGAATTGACCTGGGTTTGAATCACACAGCATTACCATTTGCTAACTACCTGACTGTAAGCACATTAATCTTTATTTAATTTTTAGAATCTGGCTGGGTACAGTAGGTCACATCTGTAATCCCAACACTTTGGGAGGCCGAGGCGGGCTGATTGCTTGAGCCCAGTAGTTTAAGACCAGACTGGGCAACATGAAGAAACTCTGTTTCTACAAAAAATAGAAACATTAGCAGGTGTGGTAGCATGTGCCTTTAGTCCCAGCCAGTCGGGAGGCTGAGGTGGGAAGATCGCTTGAACCTGGGAGGGGGAGGTTGCGGTGAGCTGAGATCAAGCCAGACTCTGTCTCAAAAAAAAAATCTTTTTGAAGTCTGCACTTTTTTGTTGTTTTTTTGTTTCTGAGATAGTGTCTCGCTCTGTCACCCAAGCTGGAGTGCAGTGGTATGATCTTGGCTCACTGCAACCTCCGCCTCCCAGGTTCAAGAGATTCTCCTACCTCAGCCTCCTGAGTACCTGGGACTACAGGCGCATGCCACCATGCCTGGCTAATTTTTCTATTTTTGGTAGAGACAGGGTTTCGCTATGTTGCCCAGGTTGGTCTTGAACTCCTGGGCTCAAGCGATCCTCCCACCTCAACCTCTTAAGGTCCTGAGGTTACAAGCGTGAACCACCATGCCTGGCTGTGAATCTGCAAAGTTGAAATAATAATAGTCCTTACCTCATAGGGTTTGGGTGAAAATTAAACTTAAAAAGGATTATAAAGTGCCTACAAAATTTTGGTGCCTAATTTGTTTTTTCAATAAATGTTAGTTTCTTTATCCTTATTCCTCAGCACTTAAGGAGTGCATATAAGTGCCAAGTAGAACTTCTTTCATGTTGCATGTTAGGAGTTGTTTAATGCAGAGAATCTAGAATAAAGCATTCTGCTTATGGAACACCACATTGTAGGGACTAGATAAAATTCAAAGTAGACTGGAGGCATTACTCTTACTGGGAAAAGAGTGAAAAAAGAAGAGTTGGGGGCATTTAAAAATAAAGCAGCCGTGTGTGTGTGTGCATTTATAAATAAAGCAGCCGTGTGTGTGTGTGTGTGTGTGTGTGTGTGTCTGTCTGTCTGTCTGTCTGTCTGTCTTGCTCTGGTACCCAGGCTGGAGTGCAGTGGTGCGATCTGCACTCACTGCAACCTCTGCCTCCCAGATTCAAGTGATCCTTTTGCCTCAGCCTCCCAAGTAGCTGGGACTACAGGCACACGTCACACTGCCTGTATTATTATATAATAAAGCAGCTTTTTAACACCAACTGATTGGGCAGTGTACCACAGTAAAATCTTACCAGGAAGGAACCCAGTCGTAGTCAGTATCTTGTTAAATTGACACAGATGCAGCTACTACCCGTGAGTTTAGATAAGTGCTGGGCTTTGTGGGTTGTGGCATAGGAGGGCAGTAATATAAGCAGTGCTAGAGGAGAATCGACTGAGACTCTGAATTGAAGCTTAACCATTATTAGATGACTGAAGTGGCAGCCTCAAGGCCAGAAGCTCCCTCAGAAGAATGGTTCTCAGAAGAATGCAGTAGCATTCACAATTTAGAGTCCCCATGGACTTCCTGAAGGTACCTGCAGCCGTTTGTACTGGTGCTTCTTGGTTATGAATATTAGAGCTGTTGCCCTGTGATGTCTTTCAGAGATACATTGCCTTTTCATTTTCCTTGTCCCAAAGCAAAGTCAGCAGACCTCTCGTCTCTCTGCCATTATCAGGGTCATTTCCTGCACAGTTGAACAGTGCTGACAGCCCAGACTGCCACTACTGGATAGTGAGCAATTTGATGTTGTGGTTTTATCTATGTTTTATTAGTAGAACTTTAAGATAGAAGACTAAACATAATGAAGGGAAGCTCCCAAATTCGATACAATGAAAGAAGAATTTCTCCTCTGTTGTAGTAAATAAAATTGGTCATATATTAGCATAAGAGCTTTCAGAGTTCTTTTTTTTTTTTGAGATGGAGTCTTGCTGCGTTGCCCAGGCTGGAGTGCAATGGTGCAATCTCGGCTCACTGCAGCCTCCGCCTCCCAGGTTCAAGTGATTCTCCTGCCTCAGCCTTCCAAATAGCTGGGATTACAGGTGCCTGCCACCATGCCTGCTTAATTTTTGTATTTTTAGTAGAGACAGGGTCTCACCATGTTGGTCAGGCTGATCTCAAACTCCTGACCTCAGGTGGTCCACCCACCTTGGCCTCCCAAAGTGCTGGGATTACAGGTGTGAGCCGCTGCACCCGGCCTCAGAGTTCTTTTGAGAATAAAATTTCAATACCCTTCTACATGGCTGTGACTATTTTGTTTTCCTTTTTACCCCCCTTTGTAGGTTGTTGGAAAGGACACCAATGTCATGTTGGTGGCTTTGGCAGCAAAATGTCTTACTGGCCTGGCTGTTGGGCTAAGGAAGAAATTTGGACAATATGCAGGACATGTAAGTAACACTCCTTTTTAGATACAGATCAACAAAATTTATCAAAAATGGTAGGCCTAGTTTGCTGTTTGCTTTAAAACAACTCCTTGGCATAGATGTGTATATACTGTACAAAGTAAATTTCTCTCTGTTTTGTTAATATTCAGCATAGATATATCTTAGAAATTTCAGTAGATGTCAGTTGTAACAAAATTTATAGGCCTTATGTAGAAAGTCAGGCACTAGGCCTAAAGTACTTAGTTGAGTTTATTTATTTGCTTATTACTTATTTACTTACTAGTATCTTGCTTTGTTCTTACAACATTATACACATCATAACAAGATGAAACAAAACTTGTAACGACCAGGACCAGAATGAAAATGAGAGTCGGAAAGGCAATGTAAAACTATAAATGTAAAACTGTGAGGTTAATATATAAAATGTGTTTTACATTGTTTTCCTATTTTAATATATAATTTACTTACATATTTGAGACATTTTATATAGGTTACAATGTTATATATTTTATATAGGTTATCTCCGTTTTACTTATTCAAAGAAAATCTGACTGGAGACATTTGTTGACTTACTATTTGTATAAGTTTGTTTCCAATCAAATTTGGTAATAATTTTAATTAAGATGTTTTCTTTAACTGTGGCATCTGTCCTTTGGCCTCTAAATCCGGTCTGCATTACTAAGAATGGCTCAGCATCCTAAAAATTGACCTTATTGATCTTTAGAGTTTAGCTTGCTAGCCCCTTCATCATTTGATTCCCTAGACTGACTTAGGAGTTTCCTAATAGTCCCTAGTCATGTGTCCATTTTATATTGTGAAGCTAATACCTAGCCTCACATGAGCTATGGTATTTGGAGCTTGCTTACTCATAGCATTAAAAATAATCTCAGAGAACTTAACTGAAGAAAAAGAAGACACTACCAAATAAAAATAAATCATGACTGGCTTATTACTAGGGAAATAAAAATAAGGGTCTGTAAAACCCTTAGACATATACATCATAAATTGAAATAAAATTAAAATCTATTTTTATAGCAATCAATATTATATAATATCGATGTGTATATGCCATTTTGATCAATTTTATATTACTTAGGATATTTTACACTTTTATATTGGGAATAATTTTTCAAGATAAAAAACAATTTTTTCCTACACCACTTAAATATCAGTTCAGAGAATAATTTTAGTTTTTTTTTTTTGAGACAGGGTCTCACTTTGTCACCCAGGCTGGAGTGCAGTGGCACCATCTCAGTTCACTGCAGCCTTAACCTCCTAGGCGCAGGTGATCCTCCCACCTCAGTCTCCTGAGTAGCTGGGACTTCAGGCACACCCCACACCATGCTTGAGTACTTTTTGTATTTTTGGTAGAGATGGGGTTTTGCCACCTTGCCCAGGCTGGTCTCGAAATCCTGAGCTCAAGCTATCTGCCTGCCTCAGCCTCCCAAAGTGCTGGGATTACAGGCTTGAGCCACCACACCCGGCCTAAAATTCATTTTAATTTACCAAATTATGGTTGGATAATTAACTGGCTTTCCAGTTTGAGTTCTGATTCTGGCTTTGTTTCAGTTTGTTGTCCTGGTTAAAGAATGTCTCTATTGCTCTGTAGTTTGGGGTCTCCCCCACCTTAATACTGTAATATATGCGGTGTTTAGTATCAAGCATGTTACTGACTTGGCTTTATTTTCTTTAAATGTTTACAAACTTTTTGGCAATATTTATAAAAGTGAATGTTAGCTTTATAGACATTAAAATATCTTGATTTTCAAGTTTATAACTAGTATTAAAAAGTCTTGTATTTTTCCATGGGAACCATAGTCCTTGAACTATACCAAGTAGTCTATAACCACTTCTGTGAAATCTTGAAAACAATTATTTCTTGTTTTTGGATGCCATTGAGCTTTGCTGTGTCCTTTGGACCTTAGAAATTTTCTTCCCCAGCCTGGGCAACATGGAGAAACCCCCGTCTCGACAAAAAATAAAATAAAAAATTATATTTACAGGGAAATGGTCAAGAAATTAAGAATTAAAAAAAAAAATAGCAGGTGTGGTGACATATACCTGAGGCCTACCTACTCGGGAGGCTGAGATGAGAGGATTACTTGAGCCCAGGAGGCCGAGGCTTCAGTGAGCCATGTTCATCCCACTGCACTCCCACGTGGGTGACAGAGCAGAGGCGGCAAATAGG
This sequence comes from Homo sapiens, assembly GCF_000001405.40. Classification (NCBI taxonomy): domain Eukaryota; kingdom Metazoa; phylum Chordata; class Mammalia; order Primates; family Hominidae; genus Homo; species Homo sapiens. The sequence continues at coordinate 46,799,014 of NC_000011.10, read as the reverse complement.
TTGAGAAGCACTGCCATAGTGGGAGAGAATGAGAATTCTTCATTGTTCCGGCATAAGATACGATGTCCTTCATGAAAGGAAATGACTTTTTATTCCACTTAAATGTTTGCTTTATTGGTTTGTTTTGGTGGAGACAAGGTGGTTTTTTAGAAAGTAAGTTTTATTGAGATAAAACTTGCATACTATAAAATTTACCCTCTTAAAGTGATTTTAGAATATTCACAATGTTACATAACCATCAGCACTATCTAATTCCAGAACATCTTCATCACCCCAAAAAGAAACCCCTTGCCCATTAACAGTCTCTCCCCATGCTGCTCCCTGCCCTTGACTCTAGCAACCACTAATCTACTTTTTTGTCTCTGGATTTAACATTTCATGTAAATGGAGTCATACAATACATGGTCTTTGTGACTGCTTTTTTTTTTTTTTTGGAAGACAGGGTCTTGCTGTGTTGCCCAGGCTACAATACAGTGATGCAGTCGTAGCTCACTGCAGCTTTGACCTCCTGGGTTCAAGTAATCCTCCCACCTCAGCCTCCCAAGTAGCTGGGATCATAGGCACATACCACCACACCTGGCTAATTTTTTTTTGTTTGTTTTAGTAGAGACAAGATCTCACTCTGTTGCCCAGGCTGGTCTTGAACTCCTTGCCTCAAGCAACCCACCTGCCTCAGCCTCCCAAAGTGCTGGGATTACAGGCATGAGTCACTGTGCCCAGCCTGTGACTGGCTTTTTTTTTAACTTAGCATACTATTTTTAAGGTTCAGCCATGTTCTAGGATATATCAATATATCATTCCTCTTTGTTGCTGAATAATGTGCTAGCCATTCACTTTTACAGGTTGTGCCAACCATCTTGGAGAAATTCAAAGAGAAGAAACCTCAAGTGGTACAAGCCCTGCAGGAGGCAATTGATGCAATCTTCCTTACTGTAAGTTGACAGCATGAGTTTGTAGTTTTATCTGAAGTAAAGTTTGTAAATATAATATTTTGATTGTTCTTTACAATTGAAAAAAGCTCATTAACCACATTTTCTTTCTAAAGACCACACTACAGAACATCAGTGAGGATGTTTTAGCAGTAATGGATAATAAAAATCCAACCATCAAGCAGCAGACATCTCTTTTTATTGCAAGAAGTTTCCGCCACTGCACTGCTTCTACCCTGCCAAAGAGCTTGCTAAAGCCCTTTTGTGCTGCACTACTTAAGGTACAGACTCTCTTTGAAGTTGGGGGAATATTTTATACCTAGGCAAGATTCTTTTCCTGCAAATTATGTACAGTGACTACTTGACTTTCAGACTATAGAGGTTATGATCTTTTGAGGAGCAGAGCCTTTGCAGCTTGGAAACTGAATCCAAATTCTCCTGTGTTCCTCTTCTTGAAAGAAAGCACAAGTTAGTGTTATGATTCCATTAACTGTTAAACATGTTGTTTCTTACTTGTCCCATATACTGGTGTTCAGCTGAATCTGGCCAAGCATAGGCATCAAATGTGGAGTATTTGAAGATCATTTGGGAGTGAGTTATTTTAGATAGAGGGTAAGAGGAAAAGGAAATACTTATTTGCTAAATGGATTACCAAGGGTTTCCTTAACCCGAAAAATTTTTGTTTTTTTTTTTTTGTTGTTGTTGTTTTTGTTTTGTTTGAGATGGAGTTTAGCTCTGTTGCCCAGGCTGGAGTGCAGTGACACAATCTTGGCTCACTGCAGCCTCTGCCTCCTAGGCTCAAGCAATTCTCCTGCCTCAGCCTCCTGAGTAGCTGGGATTATAGGCATGTGCCACCACGCCCGGCTAGTTTTTGTATTTTAGTAGAGATGGGGTTTCACCATGTTTGCCAGACTGGTCTCGAACTTGGCCTCCCAAAGTGCTGGGATTACAGGCATGAACCACTGTGCCTGGCCCAAAAAGAATTTTTGAAAGAGTAACTGTCAATTGGCACAAGGAAAGCTATACTTAGTTCCAGTAAATTGTAAAAAGCAAATTCTTTATCTAGCAACCATCAGTCTGAATTAAAATGAGTAATGCCTAAAATACCTTGCATTAATATCATTTTGCTTACTTCTGGACTATAGCACATCAATGATTCTGCTCCTGAAGTCAGAGATGCCGCATTTGAAGCATTGGGTACTGCTTTGAAGGTGGTTGGCGAGAAAGCAGTAAACCCATTCCTAGCTGATGTGGACAAACTCAAGCTTGATAAGGTAGGTTAGTAATGGATTGGACTGAAATTGGACAACATTCCTGTCTCTTTGCATCATGGCTTTGTCTCTTGACAGTTATAGAGTACTGGTAGTTTTGATGAGGAGTTCTTGATTTTTTTTAAATTGCCATTTATAGTAGGAAAGAAATGCATAATTGAAACAAGTTTTGGAGGATGCTCTCTGGTACTTTTTGTCTTCAATTTTGTCTGTTGTTTTATTAAGAAAAAAATGCTGATATCACCTCAGGAAATTTATTTCATCCTCCACTGATAGTTCAGACCGAGTTTGAAAACTTAGCTTTTGAGAATTTAAGTTTCATTCCAGGCTATGATGGTGATAATTGTAGAAATAGCTTTCAAATTATAACCGAAAAAAAGCTGAGTGACCAATCTGTAGAGAAGGTGAAAACAGTTCTGTGAGATAAATTTATTTCTAAGGTCCAGAAAATTACCTTCTTATATGTGAATGTCTTCCATAAACAATGTGGTCATTTTAAGTTTATTACAATTCTAATTTGTAAAGAAATAAAATGTAAGATTAATATCTTACGTATGTCTATCTACTGCCAAAAAAGTGTAGATAATTTATCTTTTTTGTTGAAAGGGAAATTTTTTCTCTGAAAATTTTTTTTTTTTTTTTTTTTTTTTGGCAATGAATCTCACTCTGTCACCCAGGCTGGAGTGCAGTGGCACAATCTCAGCTTACTGCAACCTCTGCCTTCTGAGTTCAAATGATTTTCGTGCCTCAGCCTCCCAAGTAGCTGGGATTACAGGCGCCTGCCACCACGCCCGGCTAAACTTTTTTATTTTTAGTAGAGATGGGGTTTCACCATGTTGGCCAGGCTGGTCTCAAACCTCTGACCTCAAGTGATCCACCCATCTCGGCCTTCCAAAGTGCTAGGATTATAGGTGTGAGCCACCTTGCCTGGCCATTTCTCTGAATTCTTATGTGTAGTTGTGGTTTAGAAATGTAATAACGTAGTGGTTGTGTTTCAAAGTTGGGCTTAATGATGTTCATCTCACTTTCATTCTCCAGATCAAAGAATGTTCAGAAAAGGTAGAACTGATACATGGTAAGAAAGCTGGACTAGCTGCTGATAAGAAGGAATTCAAACCTCTGCCTGGAAGGACTGCTGCTTCAGGGGCTGCAGGAGATAAGGACACAAAGGACATTTCTGCACCCAAACCAGGACCTCTAAAAAAGGCACCTGCTGCTAAGGTTAATAGATTATTTAAAAATAGAAGTTAGTAAGGAAGGGTCTGAGTCTCAGGTTCGTGGTTGTTCCTCTAAAATTATTTTGTTTGAGAAATGAATTCATTGGCCACATTAAAAATACAGCAGAAAATCTGTTAATGAAGATAGGATATTCCAGCAATAAATTCAGCTGTTTGGAGCTTTAATAGAGATAAAAATGGTGATGAAGGCACAGAAGTGTGTTTTGTCAATTTAACATAAAATTTACTATCTTAACTTTTTTTTTTTTTGAGATGGAGTCTCGCTCTGTTGCCCAGGCTGGAGTGCAGTGATGCAATCTTGGCTCACTGCAACCTCCGCCTCCCAGGTTCAAGTGATCCTCCTGCCTTAGCCCCCCAGTAGCTGGAATTACAGGCACGTGCCACCATGCCAGGCTAATTTTTGTATTTTTAGTAGAGATGGGAATTTGCCATGTTGGCCAGGTTGGTCTTGAACTCCTGACCTCAGGTGATCCACCCGCCTTGACCTCCCAAAGTGCTGAGATTACAGGCGTGAGCCACCGTGCCTGGTCTGTCTTAACTTTTTAATGTGCAGTTCATTAATATTAAGTATGTTTATAATGTTGTGCAGCATCACCACAATCCATTGCCGTAATGCTTTTCATGTTTTAACACTGAAACTCTATGAATCAATTAACTATCCTCCCATTCTCAGCTTCTTCCAGCCCCTTCTTTCTGTTTCTATGAATTTGACTACTTTGTTTTTATTTTCTATATTTTTTAGAGACAAGGTCTTGCTCTGTTGTCCAAGCTGGAGGGCAGTGGTGCGATTATAGCTCACTGCAACCTGGAACTCCCAGGCTCAAGTGATCCTCCTCACTCAGCCTCCCAAGTAGCTAGGATGACAGGGACTTGCCACCATACCCAGCTTATTTTTAAAAATTTTTTATAGAGGGCCTCGCTGTGTTGCCCAAGCTAGTCTTGAACTCCTGGCCTCAAGTGATCCTCCTGCCTTGGCCTCCCAAAGTGCTGAGGTTACAGGCATGAGCCACCAAGCCTGGCCTTGAGCATCTTTTCATGTGCAGGTGGCAATCTGTAGTTGTATAGTTCTTCTTGGAAAAAAATATCTACTCAAGTTCTTTGCCCATTTTTGAATTGGGTTGTTTTGAGGCAAGGTCTCACTCTGTTCCCCAGGCTGGAGTGCAATGGCACAATCACAGCATACCTCCCAGGCTCAAGCAATCCTCCCACCTCAGCCTTTTGAGTAGCTGGGACCAGAAGCACGTGCCACCACACACAGCTGATTTTTTATTTTTTAATATTTTTGTAGAGACGGGTTTCACTGTGTTGCCCAGGCAGGTCTCAAACTCCTAGGCTCAATGAATCCTCCTGCCTCCGCCTCCCAAATTCCTGGGATCACAAACCTGAGCCACTGCCCCCAGGCTTATGATGCTTTTGCCCTCTATTTTGTTCTAAAGATTTTATAGTTTTAGGTCTTACATTTATGTCTTTATTTTGACTTTATTTTTATATACGGTGTCCAACTTCATTCTTTTTGCATGTGGATATTCAGTTTTCCCAGCACCATTTGTTGAATAGACTGTCCTTTCCCCATTAAACCGCCTTGGTACCCTTGTCAAAAATCATTTTACTGCATATGCAAGGGAGGAGTATTTTTTTTTTGTTTTTTCTGAGGTGGAGTCTTGCACTGTCACCCAGGCTGGAGTGCAGTGGCACAATCTCGGCTCACTGCAACCTCCACCCCCTAGGTTCAAGCCTCCTCAAGCGATTCTCAGCCTCCTGAGTAGCTGGGTTTACAGGCACCTGCCACCATGCCCAGCTAATTTTTTCTATTTTTAGTAGAGATGGGGTTTTGCCGTGTTGGCCAAGCTGGTCTCGAACTCCTGACCTCAGTTGATCCGCCTGCCTCAGCCCCTCAAAGTGCTGGAATTACAGGCATGAGCCACTGCGCCCAGCCAGGAGGAGTATATTTTAAAGGATCAGAAAGTATCATTAAATAATGAAATAAAATGTGGCAACACACTTAACATTAATAACTAATAATACCAATTGGTCATTTTACTGATAATGCCGATGGATCACATCACTGAGTCTTCATGCCAGTCCAGGTGTTTACACCTTTGTACAGTGTAGAAGTGGGGCAAATGCCTAGTGGCAATTACGGCATTCTTTTAATGAGCATGTGTCCTGTGGACTCTCTTAAGAGTGAGAGTTATCTGCTGCAGATGCAAAAAGTTTAACTCTCCTTCCCCACGCCAGCCCCATCTTGAACCACTCAGCATGGAGTTAGGGGAAGAGAACTGATATTTAGTGAGCATCATTTTATGAAACACTTTGCCTTTATAATGTCATTTAATCACTGTAACAACTCTTGAGGTAGGTATTCATTATCCTTGTTTTTCCAAAAAATGAAACTAAGACTCAGGGAGTTTGTGTCCTACACATGCTCTGATATTTTTATTGTTGATTTGATTGTTTTGTTTACTGTATCCCCACACCATATTGTAAGCTTTTAAAGGATAGAGATCTTGTCACTGCTTGATCCTCCATGCATAGAATAGTTTCTGGCGTATAGTAGAAACCGGGTATCTGTTTGTGGAATGTGTAGAGTGGCAGAGCTGGGATTTACCCTGAGTACCTCTAGTTACAGACTCTACTTTCTTTCACATTATGCTGTCTCCTTGGCATTCTAGAACAGGAAATCGGCAGCTATTTTCTCCTTTCTCACTAGTTCCTGTTTCTCTGGACAATTACCTGGACCCAAAACCTTAAAAGATGTGTCCAGATTTTCTTGCTGTAACCCACTTGCCTCTTACCTCTTTAAACCCTTCCATGTTCATGCTGGCTGACCTTCTCTTATTATGAGGAATTATCTTAAAAATTAAAATGCTGGGAGCAACCTCCTTCTATTCCCATTCTGAAAAAGATAAGTAGGACAATATCAGCAGCACGTGAGCCACTGAGCCAGCTATCATGTAGAATGATAATTCTGTCTTTTTTGTTTGGTTGGTTTTGTTGTTGTTGTTGTTGTTTTTGTTTTTTTTTGAGACAGAGTCTCCTTTTATCCCCCAAGCTGGAGTGCGGTGGCACGATTTCATCTCACTGCAACCTCTGCCTCCCTGGTTCAAGTGATTCTCCTGCCTCAGCCTCCCGAGTAGCTAGGATTAAAGGCACCTGCCACCACGCCTGGCTAATTTTTGTATTTTTAGTAGAGATGAGATTTCACCATGTCGTCCAGCCTGGTCTCAAACTCCTGACCTCAAATTATCTGCCTGCCTCAGACTCCCAAAGTGCTGGAATTACAGGCATGAGCCACCATGCCCAGCCTCGATAAATCTGTCAATTAATAAATAAAAATTGATGTCTGTTAACAACAACAAAAAGAATAGTAGATTTGTTATTTGAAGTATCTCTCCATATAGAGAATGCTATTACAGAGAAAGATCCAGAAGAGGTATCCTAGTTAATCAAAGAGTACAGAATTTTCCATTTTTAGGGTTAGAATGCAAATCCTTTTATGGGGTTATTACTGTGAACCAGCAAAACCATACTGTCGATATGACATGGTAAGTATTACAGGTTTCCATTTAGTTAAAAACTAGTATCCTTAGTTTTGCTAAATACAACTTACAATATTGGAATATATTCAAGATAACATTAGTTTCAGAACAGGTCTGGATGTTGAAGACTAATTTGATCCCCTTTCATTTTATCTTTTCTTTTTAGGTTTGGGGCATTTCATAACAAATATCCAAAATAGGTACAAGGAACAATGTGAATGGTGATGTGTGTTGCCATAATACAGTTATCATTTGCTGTGTACATTGTAATATACTACTTTCTTGTGACTTTTTCCCCCGTACATATTCTGCTTTTGTATCTTGGGACTTTTGAAAACTGGAGTGGAATGAATTTATTTATTTTGAGACAGGGTCTCACTCTGCCACCCAAGCCAGAGTATAGTGACATGATCATGGCTCACTGCAGACTCAACTTCCTGGGCTCAAGCAGCCCTCCCACCTCAGCCTCCCAAGTAGCTGAGACTATAGGCATACACCAACACACCTGGCTAATTTTTTTGTATTTTTTGTAGAGATGGGGTTTTGCCATACTGCCCAGGCTGGTCTCAAACTGCTGGGCTCAAGGGATCCTTAGCCTCCCAGAGTGCTGGGATTACAGGTGTGAACTACTGTGCTCAGCTACTTGGGAAGCTGAGATGGGAGGGCTGCTTGAGATGGGAGGCTCGCTTAAGCCCAGGAGGTCAAGGCTATAGTGAGCCGTGATCAGGCCACTGCACTCCAGTCTGGATGACAGAGCAAGACCCTGTCTCAGAAAACAAAAAAAAAAAAAAACCCAAATAAATGTAAAAAAAATAAAGGTATCAGGATGTCATTCTCAAATTAATTTGTAAATGTAGTATAATTTCAGGCCATCACTTCTGTTTCATTTATCTCATTAATTCTAAATTCAAGTTTTTAATATGGGGTCTACAGATTACCCCATGGGTGGTCTTCAGGGCTTCTGTCTGACCTTGAAACTGCTAAATTTTGTAGGTACAAAAAATGTTTATTTTAGGGTAATCCCTCATTTTAATCAAATTTTTAAGGGAGTGTGTGACTCAATAAAAGTTTAAAAACCACTGTTTTAGGCCGGGTTCAGTGATACATGCTTGTAATCCCAGCACTTTGGGAGGCCAAGACAGGAGGATCTCTTGCAGCCAGGAATTCGAGACCAGCCTGGGCAACATGGCAAAATCCTGTCTCTACAAAAAAAATTTTTTTTAATTAGCCAGGCATGGTAGCACACGCCTGTGGTCCCAGCTACACAGTAGGCTGAGGTGGGAAGGAAGATCCCTTGAGCCCAGGAGGTTGAACCTGTAGCAAGCTGAGCTTGTGCAGCTGCATTCCAGGCTCGACAACAATATGAGACACTGTCTCAAAAAAAATAAAAATAAAAAACTCCACTATTTTAAATCCTTAGGTGGTTTAATTTTTATTTTTTAAATTGTTTTTAGGCTGGTGGGCCACCAAAAAAGGGGAAACCAGCTGCACCAGGAGGCGCAGGGAATACTGGAACCAAGAACAAGAAAGGACTGGAGACTAAAGAAATAGTGGAGCCTGAGCTCTCGGTCAGTATTAACACACTGAGCCTGAAAATCATGAACCCTGCAAAGTGAGACCAATGAGAAGACTGGAGTTCTTTGCTGGGTTCTACAACGTACAGTTAATTGATATTTTTTAGCTTATTGAAACTGCCTTGGACAATCTCCTTTATCAAAGTATAATAGAAGCCTCAGAAACTATAGCATACCTATGGGAGTATTCTTTTAGTTTTGGCTGGAGTATGTTTACGTTCTTGTCATCTGTTCCCTTAAGCAATTCCTAATTCTAATATGTTTTTGTATCTTACAGATAGAAGTATGTGAAGAAAAAGCTTCAGCTGTTCTTCCCCCTACCTGTATACAGCTTCTTGACAGCAGTAACTGGAAAGAAAGGCTGGCTTGTATGGAAGAGTTCCAGAAGGTAGTGCATAGGGAAGAATTGAGTGTGAAAGAAAATTAGATTATATGGAAGCAGCGAAATTGATGAATGAAGGATTTGTCCTAATTGCTGTGTTTTATAACCGGTGAACACGTTTTATGGCATTAAAGATGAGGTGGGACTTTTTATTTCTTGTAGCTGTGTAGTGTTTGCTATCTTTAAACATCAGTATTCTATGGCCTTTATAAGCTCATGACTTAATACTTAAGAAAATTAGATTCTTATTCTGAATTATAAGGCTTAGATTATTTTTTTATTTTTTGAGACGGAATCTTGCTCTGTTGCCCAGGCTGGAGTACAGTGGGGCGATCTTGGCTCACTGCAAGCTCCACCTGCTGGGTTCACGCCATTCTCCTGCCTCAGCCTCCTAAGTAGCTGGGACTACAGGCGCCCACCACCACACCCGGCTAATTTTTTGGATTTTTAGTAGAGATGGGGTTTCACCATGTTAGCCAGGATGGTCTTGATCTCCTGACCTCGTGATCCGCCCGCCTCAGCCTCCCAAAGTGCTGGGATTACAGGCATGAGCCACTGTGCCCAGCCCAGCCCAGCTTAGATTAATTTTTTAACTATGGTACTTGCTCATAAACTTCCTAGGCAAATAGGTCACTCTACTTAAACCACCCCTCATCCAGTACTTTTTCTCCCCTTTATCATCATGATTCCTTGGTAGAATGGACATTATCCATTGGTATGAAAACCTCTCAAAAACCTGTGTTGTAAAGGAGCATGGCAGTTCATTTTGGCATATACCGGGTGATTCTAATGAGGAACGGTAAGGAGAAACACTGCAAGAGCACTGTCACTTATGGCAGAAGCCGTCTAGTCCTGCGTCTGCTGCCCATTGGGTTTAGATCTGAGTTTGTGCATCTTTGATATTCGGTACTTTAGAACTTCAAATCTATTCTGCTTTGCTGTTTTTAGGAAAATCAAGGAAGAGAAAATACATATAAGCAGTTTCTGCCACACACTAGGCAAATGAAAACTATTATTTTGCATGGAGCAAACTATTTGTGAATTCCTGAAATGTGAGATAAACGTTCAGTGATACTAATTTAACAGCCATATACCAAGCATCTAGCTTAAGAAATAAAGCATTATAGACATAAAAACACAAAGAAATAAAGCATAACAGCGGAAGCTATATAAGCTCCCTCAATAACCCTCCTCAGTTCTATTCCACTCCTTTCTTCAGAGGTAACCACTTACTTGACTTTGGTATTTACTCTTCCTTTGGAAGTAACCTTTAACCCTTAAACTCTTATTCTCTTATTTTACTTCAAGGCTGTTGAGCTAATGGACCGAACTGAAATGCCATGCCAGGCATTAGTGAGGATGCTAGCCAAGAAACCTGGATGGAAAGAAACTAATTTTCAGGTATTTTAAAATGTGAGATTTGATGTCTTTTATTGAAGTAATTTACATTACATCATCCTATGGAGTAATACAGCAGAATAGTTTTCGTAATGATTTTTTTTTTTTTGAGACGGAGTTTCGCTCTTGTTGCCCAGGCTGGAGTGCAATGGCACGACCTTGGCTCACCACAACCTCCACCTCCTGGGTTCAAGCAATTCTCCTGCCTCAGCCTCCCGAGTAGCTGGGATTACAGGCACCCGCTACCATGCCCGGCTAATTTTGTATTTTTAGTAGAGACGCGGTTTCTCTATGTTGGTCAGGCTGGTCTCGAACTCCTGACCTCAGGTGATCCGCCTGCCTTGGCCTCCCAAAATGCTGGGATTACGGGCGTGAGCCACCGCGCCCAGCTTGGTAATGATTTTTAATGAACAATGGGGTGTGTGCATTTTGATTGAACACATAACTACAGTTGACTCTTGAACAATGTGGTGATTAGGGGTACTACCCCTTGTGCAGTTGAAACTTCACATATAACTCTGGACTCCCCAAGAACTTAACTACTAATAGCCTACTGTTGCCAGAAGCCCTACTGATAACATAGTCAGTTAACATATTTTGAATGGTACATGTATTGTATATTGTATTCTTACAATAAAGTAAGCTAGAGAGAAAATGTGATTAAGAAAATCCTAAGGAAGAGAAAACATATTTACTATTTATTAAGTGGCAGTGGATCATCATAAAGGTCTTCAATTCCCATCATCTTCATGTTGAATAGGCTGAAGGAGGAGAAAGAGTAAGAAAAGGGGTTTGTCTTGCTGTTTCAGGAGTGGCAGAGGCAGAAGAAAATTCATGCATAAGTGGATCTTCGCAGTTCAAACCCATGTTGTTCAAGGGTCAACTGTATAACTTTATATAATTAGGAATTTATATGTGTATAAATATGTAAATATGTATACATCCATATATAATTTGTATAATTTAGATATATACATTTTTTTCTTCTCATTTTTAGGCCTAGAAGCCTCCTTATCCAATCTTTACATATTCAAGGGAGAAATAAACAGTGAGATAGCTTTTTTATTTGATAGGATAAAAAATAAGTGCAGTCCTTAAATTGCCAGTGAAAATTTACCACATAATCAATTGTATAGCCCCATTAACTGATAATAGAGCTGAAATTTAGCAGTACCAAGTTATTAGTCTAAGGGGTGGGTATAGAGGGAAGTATAGGAAAGTGCTGCAGGAAGGAAAATGAGAAAAAGTTTCCTTCTCTTTTTCTAGATGTACATACAATAGACCTCATGCTAAACAAACTTGAAATGTATCAGGTTTATTATTGGCATCCTGCTAGTCTCTTTTTGGTTTCTCTTCTGCTGCCACCTCTTGTTTTCTGTCTAGGATGTTTAGCTCCCTCATACACTGTGTGTCCCTTACATTGTGTTACATAGCACCTTATTCGTATAGGCCAGCTCCACAAAGGCTAAATATTCTAAAAGATTCTTGAGGTGCCCTCTTCCTCTCACACCACCTTCTTTTTTTTTGAGAAAGGGCTTCACTCAGTTGTCCAGGCTGGAGTGTGGTGGTGCAAACGTGGCTCACTGCAGTGTTGACACCTTAGGCTCCAGAGATCCTCCCACTTCAGCCTCCCAAGTAGTCGGGACCACAGGCGTGCATCACTACACCTTGCTAATTTTTTTCTCAAATTCATAGACAGTATGAAGTGTAATCTCATTGTGATTTTGATTTTCAGCCACCAAAGACTCTCTCCTTGGTTAACTTAATGACCAGCTAATGACTGGAGAGATTTTCTTAAATGCCTTGAACCAATGTGATCTGTCTCCCACCCTCTGCCAAGGGGGAAGGTGTGTATGTTTGTGTGTGTGTGCGCGCTGGGTCATGCCAGAGATACTCAGGCACTTTACAGCTTTACCCTGGAATTCACTTTTTAAGCAAGGTCTTGAAGGTCAGTCAGAGATTAGGGCCCTTTTCAGTCTTTCCTGGGCATACACATAACCTTGAATATTCGCATGACCTTCTAGATTCTCAAAGTCCTCTGTGGATATCTTATTCCCTAGGTCCTTTTATGTTTTTGACCAAGCTGGGTTCCCCCAGCTGGTATTATGGACTTACACAGTTCTGATGTTAGATGTTAAACAGTTGCCACTCATTGTTTTCGTTGTTTTCAACAAAATCCCTGGGGATAGGGCTTTTCCCACTGAGCTAGCCAGAGTCCAGTCAAATAACAGGACTTTCAAATGGAGCTTTTCTAGGAAGCTGCCAGACAAGACAGTACTTTGGGTCAAAACTTTTTGAGGAGGTCCAAACCTGAGCTGTCCCCCCACCTGCCAGTGGCTGCACAGCTCTAGGTTTTCATAGTTGCCATGGTTACAAGACTTCAGGTTTTGAAGGCTACTGTGGAGCTGGAAGAAAAGGGGAGCAAGGCAAGTTAAATCACCAGAAACCTCACTGTCCTTACTAAAATTCAGCATCCTTTCTTTAAATGGTTCTTGTATGTTACAAGCCTTATTTAATTTTCAGAGTTGTGAGATAAGTTGATTTGGATAGTTTTTGCCAGTGTTCTTTGTTGCTTTTGAGGAAGATCAGTTTTTCAGAGGTATTGACTCCACAATTGCAGAAGTCCCACCCAAGATAATTACATTTCTTTGGTTTGTTTTTTGGTTTGGGAATTTTTTTTTTAATTTTTTAAATTTTTATTTTTTCACATGCCTGCTATGTCAAATTTTGGGGGTTTGAGACAAAGTCTCACTCTCTTGCCCAGGCTAGATAGTGCAGTGGTGTCAACATGTCTCTCTGCAGCTTCAGCCTCCTGGGTTCAAGTGATCCTCCCACCTCAGCCTCCCAAGTAGCTGGGACTACAGGCGAGGGCCACCATACCCAACTAATTTTTGTACTTGTTGTAGAGCTGGGGTCCCTCCATATTGACCAGGCTGGTCTTGAACTCCTGGGCTCAAGCATTCCCCTCGACTCAACCTACCAAAGTGCTGGGATTACAGGCATGAGCCAGGCGATAATTGCATTTTAAAAGAGGATGTTTGTGTGGCTGGGCACAGTGGCTCACGCCTGTAATCCCAGCACTTGGAGAGGCTGAGGTGAGATCCCACTTGAGATCCACTTGAGGTCAGGAGATCGAGACCAGCCCGGCCAACATGGTGAAACCTCATCTCTACTAAAAATACAAAAATGAGCCAAGCGTGGTGGCGGGCGCCTGTAAGTAATCCCAGCTACTTGCGAGGCTGAGGCATGAGAATCGCTTGAACCCAGGAGGCAGAGGTTGCAGTAAGCTGATATCTCACCACTGCACTCCAGCCTGGGTGACAGAACAAGATTCTGTCAAATAAATACATAAATAAATGGGAGTATTTGTCACCTAAATTAATCTGTATAATAGGATTTCTAGTGGCGTAACAAAAAAAGTTAAAATATTCACACAGTACAAAGAAAAATATTTATGAGCAAAGGGGTCCTTAATCCCATAGGTCTGCCATCACAATAATATCTTTAAATTATTTTCCACAGATCTTTTTATTCTTATACTTAAAAGCCAACAAGTTCTCTAAAATCTCTGAAGTTCTGTGTTGCATGTGTGTATAAGAGGGTTGTAGTGTTTTTGTAGGCAGCCCTAGTAGTAATTCTCAGTTATGCAGTCAGTATAGTAATTTATTGTGTATTTTAGGGTGTGTATTCAGTACTAAATGCAAATAATCATAAGAGGAGGAAAATTTAAAAATCAGATTTTTCAATTAATAAACTTTCTGTGCAATATTACTTGTTAGTATTTTGGAACACTGAGTAGCTTTTTTTCCCTCTCTTCACTGTCAGTTAAGTAATTGGTAACAATTAAAGGATACAAATTATTTTGCATATTTGTTTAAAATCCTGATTTTACTTTAGTTGTGTTTCCAGCTGTCCCTAACCATGTCATATCTGTTACATGCTGTTAATACAAGTAAATAAATAAATGTCCTTGGCTTGCTCTTAGCTTTATGATACTGATCCTTGTTCAGGTGATGCAAATGAAGCTTCATATAGTTGCTTTGATTGCCCAGAAGGGAAATTTTTCCAAAACGTCAGCTCAGGTTGTATTAGATGGCCTTGTGGACAAGATTGGAGATGTGAAATGTGGGAACAATGCAAAAGAAGCTATGACAGCAATAGCCGAAGCCTGTATGTTACCATGGACTGCTGAACAGGTTAGTGACACAGAAGTCTTATTCCTCTAGTTTTCCCAATTTTTTCCCCCAAACTTTAAGCTTACTAATTAAACATTAGTTTTTATCTTCTCAAGTAAAATCTTTTTTGATACTGCATTTTTTTTGAGATGGAGTTTCACTCTGTCGCCCAGGCTGGAATGCAATGGTGCAATCTCGGCTCACTGCAACCCTCCCGGGTTCAAGTGATTCTCCTGCTTCAGCCTCCCGCATAGCTGGGATTACAGGCACCTGCCACCACGCCTGCCTAATTTTTGAATTTTAATAGAGACAGGATTTCGCCACGTTGGCCAGGCTTGTCTCGAACTCCTGACCTCAGGTGATCTGCCTGCCTCGGCCTCCCAAAGTGCTGGGATTACAGGTGTGAGCCACCATGCCCGGCCCTTTGATACTGCATTTTTATTTTTACCTTAAAAAATACTCTATTGCCTAGTGATGAAAATTCATCTTAGTCAAAAATATTCGGTCAGACACAGAGGCTCACACCTGCAATCCCAGCACTTTGGGAGGCCGAGGCAGGAGGATGACTTGAGGCCAGGAGTTTGAGAGCAGCCTGGCCAACATGGTGAAATCCCGTCTCTACCAAAAATACAAAAATTAGCCAGGCGTGGTGGTGCACACCTGTAATGCCAGCTACTAGGGAGGCTGAGGCAGGAGAATCACTTGAACCTGGGAGACAGACGTGGCAGTGAGCCGAGATCACGCCACTGTACTCCAGCCTGGGCAACAGAGTGAGACTGTCTCAAAACAAATAAACAAAAAATTCTATAGAAGGTGAAAGCCCACGAGCTTGAGGCTGCAATGATTGATGATTGTGCCACTGTACTCCTGGGTGACAGAGCAAGACCCTGTCTCTAAAAAAAAAAAAAAAACATTATAATGCAGAGTAATTGCTGCAAAGCTATAAATAGTCCAGAATGCCTTTAGTCCTACTATCATTTCACCTCATTTTCTTGTGTAGGTTCACTCTTGTTCCTAAGGCATTCTTGCAGTTGTTTTAGCGTCAGAAAACTAGTTTAATGCACATCTGCCTTAATGTCATGCTGTATTTCTATAAGAAATACGAGATAAAACACAGATCTGCTGTTTTTCCCTTTTCAGGTTGTGTCAATGGCTTTCTCACAAAAGAATCCCAAAAATCAGTCAGAAACTCTGAATTGGCTATCAAATGCCATAAAAGAATTTGGTTTTTCTGGGTAAGTCAGAACGAAATCAAGTGGAAAATAGTTAAATGTTCTGTCAGTCTCTAAGTCGTGCTGTTTATAATAATAGCTATTGCTGTTTATTTCTGAAGAGTGAGAGCTGGATTGTCTCATTTATATAAAAGAAAATTACCTTTGTTCTCAAAGGTCTATATTGGCTTGTGTTCCTGCTTTTTGATGTTCACTGAAAGAGTTCTCTACGTTATTTTTCCTTAAGCATTAATAGCTGTCCCACAGAAAATCCAGTTCCAAGAATTTCTAGTCAAATACATTAGGAAATTTCTGTATATAATTACATTTGTTTAAAGACCTATAGTATGCCTTGGCGAATTAACTGCTGTCAGAAATCCTGCAATAGAAGAGCTTGTTTAACTTTGTTTAACCCACTGTTCCCAAACTTATTTGCTTATAGAGCACGGTTGTTTATTTAAAACAAAACTTTATACAGTTTACTTTATCCCAGGTACTTTTAAAAAGCACTTTCTAAATCATAATTCATTTGATTTAATCATCATAACAACTAAGCGAGGTATTATATTATCCCTATCTTATAGATGAGGACTAAGGCACAGAAAGTTTAAGTAATTTGGGCCCATCATAGTTAGGAAAGTGGCAAAACCAAGATTTTAATCCAGGCATTCTGGTTTGGAGAAAGAATGATGTAGCTGCTATACTATGTTACCTTTCTCTGTGCCATGCTACATTTTGCAACATGCCTGTTAATATCTTGTAAAAGGGTATTTTGAGTTCTACTGATTGAAAAAACACTACTCTAGAAGTTACTCAAATAACAAAGAACGGTTTGTTATGTTATTATCTGTGGTGTTCGCCCATAGTTGAGGGTATTGTTATAATTCCTCTTAATTGTATAGTCTTTGATATAACACACATCTCTTGGCATGTCACTTATAAAAGCCATATATTTTCCTCTTTTTTGTTATGATCTTTCATTTATTCATTTATTAAACAATTACATATTGGCCACTACAATGTTCCAATTGTTTGTTCCAGTCCTTCAGAATACATCATGAACGAAATTAAATTTCTGTTTCATGGGAGTTACATTTGAGTAAAGAAAGATAGGTAATAAACAGTTAAAAATATATATATAGAGAGAGAGAGACAGAGACAGAGAGGCAGGCAGGCCGGGCGCGGTGGCTCATGCTTGTAATCCCAGAACTTTGGGAGGCTGAGGTGTGCAGATTACCTGAGGTCAGGAGTTCGAGACCAGCCTGACCAACATGGAGAAACCCTGCTTCTACTAAAAATACAAAATTAGCTGGGTGTGGTGGTGTACGCCTGTAATCCCAGCTACTCAGGAGGCTGAGGCAGGAGAATCACTTGCACCCAGGAGGCAGAGGTTGCAGTGAGCCAAGATCATGCCATTGCTCTCCAGCCTCGGCAACAAGAACAAAACTCCATCTCAAAAAATATATATCTATTTTTTTTTACATATATATGTTTATGTAAAGCAGGATGAAGGGTTAAATGGAATAATGTGGTATAGTTTAGATGGTGTTGTTTTCTATATAGTAGTTGAAGAGTTCTTCCTGAAAAAATGACATTTGAGTAGAGACCAGGACATGAGAGAGCAAGCTGTGATAATCAGAGAGGAGCATTCTAGACCAAGGGAAGAGCAAATGCCAAAAGCTCTGTGGTAGGAGTACATGTGATGTATTTAAAATAGCAAGGAGTGTCTTTTCTTCAGAATGTAGCTGTAGGACAATGAGTGAGTGGGTAGGAAGTGGTAGGAGATAAAGCTAGAGAAAGAATAGGGGCTAGGTCATGTGGGGCCTCAACATTTTGAATAAGTTGGGAAGGCATTAGGGGCTTTTGAGAAGAGTAACAGGTTCATATTCTGACTGTTGTCAGAGAAGACAGAGAGGAGATCAAAGACAGGAAGACGAATTAGTAGGCTATTGGAATAATCCTGTCGAGAAATTCTGGTGGCTTGGACATAGATTGTAGAAGTGGAAGTGTTATAACTGATAAGATATTTAAAAAGTAGAATAGAACAAGAGAGAGACAAGTCAGGGATAACTTCAAAAAGTCAAGGATAGCCTGAATAACTGGAAGAACAATGTGGCTCTTTACTGAGGTGTAGAAGACTCTGGGAGGAACAGGTTTTGGGACTGGAGTGAGGACAATCAGGAGTTTGGTTTCAGTATATTAGATGTAGGCTGTCTTCCAGGCATACAAATGGAAATATCACAAAGGCAGCTGGATGATGTGAATCTGGAGTTCAGGAGAGAGTTCAAGATTGGATTTAGGAGTTGTAATTAAGCATAATAGGATTGTCAGCCTATAGATAGTATTTAAAGCTCACTTTAAAGTTAGTGTAGGAGGCTGGGTGTGGTAGCTCATGCCTGTAATCCCAGCACTTTGGGAGGCTGAGGCAGGCAGATCACTTGAGGTAAGGAGTGCGAGACCAGCCTGGCCAACATGGTGAAACCCTGTCTCTACTAAAAACAAACAAACAAAAAAAATTAGCTGGGCATGGTGTTACACACCTGTAATCTCAGCTACTCAGGAGGCTGAGGCATGAGAATCGCTTGAACCAGAGAGGCAGAGGTTGCAGTGAGCTATCATGTACTGTACTGTAGCCTAGGTGACAGAGCAAGACTCTGTCTCAAATAAATAAAATAAAATAAAGTTAGTGTAGGAAGAGAAAAAGTGAGAACTTTGCCAAAGGGAGCCAGTCCTAGAGTCTGGCTTTATAAAACGTTATTGAGTATTTTGAGGGTTTCATTTGTTTGCTTTTAATTCTAAATGTTTCTTCTAGGTTGAATGTCAAAGCTTTCATTAGCAATGTGAAGACAGCTCTTGCTGCAACAAACCCAGTGAGTACATAACAACATATATAGGGCAGTATTGCCATCTTTGTGGATTTAAAAAGTTATTATTGCCATCTTTGTGATTTAAAAAGTTATTTTTCTTCTGTCTGGCAGGCTGTGAGGACTGCTGCCATAACCCTGCTTGGCGTGATGTATCTGTATGTTGGTCCCTCTTTGCGAATGTTCTTTGAGGATGAGAAGCCTGCCCTCCTATCCCAGATAGATGCAGAATTTGAGAAGGTAGAATTTCCACAAATGATACAATCTGTTAGTGGACTTGAGAATCTCATTAAGACTAAACTGTTGGGTGTAGTGGTGCACGCCTGTAGTCCCAGCTACTCAGGAGCCTGAGGAAGGAGGATTGCTTAAGTGCAGATGTTTTGGGCTGTAGTGTGCTATGCCAGTTGGGTGTCCACACTAAGTTCAGCATTAGTATTGTGACCTCCCAGGAGCTGAGACCACCAGTTGCCCAAGGAGAGGTAAACTGGCCCAGATCAGAAACAGAGCAGGTCGGCCAGGTGCAGTGGTTCATGCCTGTAATTCCAGCACTTTGGGAGGCCAAGGCAGGAGGACCCCCTGAGCCCAGGAGTTTAAGACCAGCCTGGGCAACAAAATGAGACCTTCTCTACAAAAAAATAATCAAAAAATTAGCCAGGCATAGTGGCACATGCCTGTGGTCCCAGCTACACAGGAGGCCAAGGTGGGAGGATCACCTGAGCCTAGGAGGTTGAGGCTCCAGTGAGCCATGTTTGTACCACTGTACTCAAGCCTAGGCCACACAGAGAGACCTTTTCTCAAAAGAAAAAAAAAGAAAGAAAGAAACAGAGCAGGTCAAAACTCCAGTGCAGATCAGTAGTGGGATCACAACTATGAATAGCCACTGCACTCCAGCCTGGGCAACATACTGAGACTCTGTCTTTCTGGAATGAAGAATATGTATGTATTTGCTTTTATGCACAATAAAGTATCCATGGAAGAGTTCATAAGAAATTGATGATTTTGGCCGGGCTTGGTGGCTCACGCCTGTAATCCCATCACTTTGGGAGGCCAAGGCGGGCAGATCACTTGAGGTCAGGAGTTTGAGACCAGCCTGGCCAACATGGCAAAACTCCATCTCTACTAAAAATACAAAAGTCAGCCGAGTGTGGTAGCACGCCCTGGAATCCCAGCTACTTAGGAGGCTGAGGCATAAGAATCACTTCAACCCGGGAGGCATAGGTTGCAGTGAACCAAGATCATGCCACTGCACTCCAGCCTGGGTGACAGAGCAAGATTCTGTCTCAAAAAGAAAAAAAAAAATTTTTATGTTTTGTTTGTTTTGTTTTTGGGTTGTTTTGTTTGTTTGTTTGTTTTGAGGTGGAGTTTCACTCTTGTTGCCCAGGCTGGAGTACAATGGCGCTTCCTGGGCTTATTCCAACCTCCACCTTCCAGGTTCAAGCAATTCTCCTGCCTCAGCCTCCTCAGCTGGGAAGCTGGGATTACACGCACGTGCCACCATGCCAGGCTAATTTTTGTATTTTTAGTATAGACGAGGTTTCACCGTATCAGCCAGGCTGGTCTTGAACTCCTGACCTCAGATGATCCACCCGCCTTGGCCTCCCAAAGTACTGGGATTATAAGTGTGAGCCACCACACCCTGCCTTCTAGTAGGTTTTGTATAAAAATACCTTTTGACATATGGTCTCAAAATTGTAATCTAGGTAGTAGTCAAATTACCTACTGTGTAAATAGGTATTACAAAGGAATGAGAGTTTGACACAGGCACCCTCTCTAATTTGTTTGTTCCCATATCCTATATAAATTTCATTAGCCTTACTCATTCATTTGTGTATAGATGCAGGGACAAAGTCCACCTGCTCCAACCAGAGGAATTTCCAAGCATAGCACAAGTGGTACAGATGAAGGAGAAGATGGAGATGAACCAGATGACGGGAGCAATGATGTCGTTGATCTTTTGCCGAGGACGGAGATCAGGTAGGTTCCAGTCTGTGAAATGGTTTATTTCATTCATTGTATTGAATTCAGAATGTTGTCTTCTTTTTGAATTCAGTGAGGGGAACTTAACGTGATATCATCATTTTTTTGGAGTCTGGAATTAAAGGTTATTTTCTGTTTTTCAGTGATAAAATCACTTCAGAGTTGGTATCTAAGATTGGTGATAAGAATTGGAAGATTAGGAAAGAAGGCCTAGATGAAGTGGCAGGTATTATTAATGACGCAAAATTTATCCAACCGAATATAGGTGAACTTCCAACTGCCTTGAAGGGTCGACTCAATGATTCAAATAAAATCTTGGTATGTAGAGCATACGGCTGTTCTTTTTATCTCCCCTCCCCACTGCTGCAGGAGTTACCTTTTCAGTGTAGCCTTCACTTGCAAAAAATAAGTGGTTACTTTATTTGCTTTGAACTAGAAATAGCTGCCTTTAATTTATTAAGTGTATCTCAAGATATGATGGTAGTTGGCAGATTTATTCATCAAATTTTTATGAGTCTCAGAATTTGCTTTTTGCAGGAATCCAATATTGAATATATTTGTATAAAACTGCTTGTAATACATGTAAACATAATGATTTCTGATTTTTAAATGTGGATTTTTATGTCAGGATTTCCTTAAACTAGGTTTTACCTTAAAGTTGTAAAGTACTATGATCTCTGGTCTAAAATTCTGATAATCTAGTTTTACGAACTGATGATAAAAAGGCCACTGCCTAAAAATTAATTAGAATAATCTAAGTCGAATAGCATGACAAGCCAGTGTCTCTGTCTCTTGAGTAGGCCAAAAATCTCCTGCTGTATTGACAGTATAGCAGCAAATTTACGGAAGTTTGCACACAACTTGCTTATCGTTTCAACATAAAGTATTGGCTCTTTCCACTCAGGTACAGCAAACGCTGAATATCCTGCAACAACTGGCAGTAGCCATGGGCCCAAATATTAAGCAACATGTAAAAAATTTAGGCATCCCTATCATCACAGTCCTTGGAGACAGCAAGGTAAACCTAACTCTTTTCACCATGCCTCCATTCTGGAATAGGCCAGCCATATTTTTGGGTTAAAGATAATTCTCTTTTTAGAGTCATGTAAAGACCTGATAAACTTTATAAAGATGAAAATATTAGAAGAAAAACAGTAAACATTTTTATCTTCCAGGCAGTATTAAGGTGACCAGGTATCACTTATTAGTTTTGTGACTTTTAGATAAGCTATCTTTGTTGAGGGTCAGTTTCTTTATCTGTGAAATTTCTTTCTTACAGAATTAAATGAGTCTGTATGTAAGGTACATTTTATTGTGCCTGTCTCATATAGTATGCACACAATAAATGGTTGCTATTATGATTATAACGTAATTGTGTAACATTTTGCTATAGTGAATAAATATGTGAATTTGGAGTTCATTAAGTTATTTTCTACTTTTATTTTTCTGAACTATTAGAGTGGGATCTTCTAGTAGTTCAGCAAGATATTTGTAGTTTCATAGTTCTAGAAGTCACTGAAATATCATTGAAGGTTACAATGTTTAGCCGTAGACTAAATATTTGAATATCTCTATACTGTTGTATAATTTATTTAACTTGAGGAACTTTATTTAATATAATTTGTGCTTTTAATATTAATGTAAATTAATATAAAAATATAACTAATTTTCAGTCAATTTATTAGCAGTTTCAGTCTTAACCATTATGATGTCTTTAACATTTAGAATTTCATTCTTTAGCAGACAGACATGGACGTAAATGCCCCCAACTACTCAGGAAACAAAATATAAGAGTTATTCTTCTTACATGATATTTTATGCCCAGATCACTCACTGTTTTGCCTGATTAACTGAGTACACAAGTTTTACAATTTGGAGTTTTATATTTCTACTTTACTTTGGAGTTTTAGTACAATCATAGAACTAGTTTCTGTTTCAGAGAAGATGGTTTCATGTATGTTCATGTGGGCCTTAGATAACCCTCCATTGTTCATGTTCATAAAGCAACAGTGATCACCCCCTACCTCCAAACTGTAGTAGATATTATTTTTGCTGATTATCTTCTCCATTTAGAACAATGTTCGAGCTGCTGCCCTAGCGACTGTGAATGCTTGGGCAGAACAGACTGGCATGAAGGAATGGCTGGAAGGAGAAGATCTTTCTGAAGAGCTCAAAAAGGAAAATCCTTTCTTGAGGCAAGAGGTTAGTATCATAAATTAATCATGTGCATTACTCATGTCATTTACTTCCATAGGGGCTTGGGCCTGTCTGATAAATACGCATTTATGGTTAGAATGAGTTTCATTATAAAACAGTTAATAAAATGAAATCACATTCCTGGGGCCTTTGTATTCATGTGCTTCCATTTTTTCCTTTCACATGCTTCTTTATCAATAACGCTTTTTAGAGGACTAGGCTTTTTGTGGAATTTTTCCCTTTTCTTAAACATTTAAATGGTAAAATCAGAGGTTTTGTGTTTTTTTTATTATTATTTAAGCTCTGGGATACATGTGCAGAACATGCAGGTTCGTTACATGGGTATACATGTGCCATGGTGGTTTGCTGCATCCATCAACCCGTCATCTTCATTAGGTATTTCTCCTAATGCTATCCCTCCCCTTGCCCCGCTAACCCCCGACAGGCCCCACTGTGTGATGTTCCCCTCCCTGTGCCCGTACGTTCTCATTGTTCAACTCCCACTTACAAGTGAGAAATTGCGGTGTTTGGTGTTCTGTTCCTATGTTAGTTTGCTGAGAATGACGGTTTCCAGCTTCATCAATGTCCCTGCAAAGGACACGAACTCATTCTTCTTCTGTGGTTGCATAGTATTCCATGGTGTATATGTGCCACATTTTCTTTATCCAGTCTAACATGATGGGCATTTGGGTTGGTTCCGAGTCTTTGCTATTGTGAATAGTGCTGCAATAAACATACGTATGCATGTGTCTTTATAGTAGAATGATTTATAATCTTTTGGGTATTACCCAGTAATGGGATTGCTGGGTCAAATGGTATTTCTAGTTCTGGGTCCTTGAGGAATTGCCACACTGTCTTCCACAATGATTGAACTAATTTACACTCCAGCCAACAGTGTAAAAGTGGTTCCTGTTTCTCCACATCCTCTCCAGCATCTGTTGTTTTAATGATCGCCATTCTAACTGGCGTGAGATGGTATCTCATTGTGTTTTGATTTGCATTTCTCTAATGACCAGTGATGATCTTTTTCATATGTTTGTTGGCCACATAAATGTCTTCTTTTGAAAAGTTTCTGTTCATATCCTTCACCCACTTTTTGATGGGGTTGTTTGTTTTTTTCTTATAAATTTGTTTAAGTTCCTTGTAGCTTCTGGATATTAGCCCTTTGTCAGATGGATAGATTGCAAAAATTTTCTCCCATTCTGTAGGTTGCCTGTTCACTCTGATGATAGTTTCTTTTGCCGTGCAGAAGCTCTTTAATTTAATTAGATCCCATTTGTCAATTTTGGCTTTTGTTGTGATTGCTTTTGGTGTTTTAGTCACGAAGTCTTTGTCCATGCCTATGTCCTGAATGGTATTCTAGGTTTTCTTCTAGGGTTTTTATGGTTTAAGGTCTTAGGTTTAAATCTTTAATTCATCTTGAGTTAATTTTTATATAAGGTGTAAGGAAGGGGTCCAGTTCAGTTTTCTGCATATGGCTAACCAGTTTTCCCAATACCATTTATTAAATAGTGAATCCTTTCCCCATTTCTTGTTTTTTGTCAGATTTGTCAAAGATCAGATGGTTGTAGATGTGTGGTGTTATTTCTGAGGCCTCTGTTCTGTTCCATTGGTCTATATATCTGTTTTGGTACCAGTACCATGCTGTTTTGGTTACTGTAGCCTTGTAGTATAATTTGAAATCAGGTAGCGTGATGCCTCCAGCTTTGTTCTTTTTACTTAGGATTGTCTTGGCTATACAGGCTCTTTTTTGGTTCCATATGAAATTTAAAGTAGTTTTTTCTAATTCTGTGAAGAGAGTCATTGGTAGCTTGATGGGAATAGCACTGAATCTATAAATTACTTCAGGCAGTATGGCCATTTTCATGATATTGATTCTTCCTATCCATGAGCATGGAATGTTCTTCCATTTGTTTGTGTTTGTTGAGCAGTGGTTTGTAGTTCTCCTTGAAGAGGTATTCCTAGGTATTTTATTTTCTTTGTAGCAATTGTGAATGGGAGTTTGCTCATGATTTGGCTCTCTGTTTGTCCATTATTGGTGTATAGGAATGCTTGTGATTTTCGCACATTGATTTTGTATCCTGAGACTTTGCTGAAGTTGCTTATCAGTTTAAGGAGTTCTTGGGCTGAGAGGATGGGGTTTTGTAAATATGCAATCATGTTCATCTGTAAACAGAGATAATTTGACTTCCTCTCTTCCTATTTCAATACCCTTATTTCTTTCTCTTGCCTGATTGCCCTGGCTAGAACTTCCAATAATATATTGAAAAGGAGTGGTAAGAGAGGGCATCCTTGTCTTATGCCGGTTTTCAAAGGGAATCCTTCCAGCTTTTGCCCATTCAGTATGATATTGGCTGTGGGTTTGTCATAAATAGCTCTAATTAAAATCAGAGGTTTTAATCAGAACATAAAAATAGAGGCTGGGTGCAGTGACTCATGCCTGTAATCCCAGCACTTTGGGAGGCCGAGCAAGCAGATCACTTGAGATCAGGGGTTGGAGACCAGCCTGCCCAACATGGTGAAACCCTGTCTCTACTAAAAATACAAAAAATTAGCTGGGTGTGGTGGTGCGGGCCTATAGTCCTAGCTACTCGGGAGGCTGAGGCAGGAGAATCGCTTGAATCCAGGAGGCAGAGGTTGCAGTGAGCTGAGATCACACCACTGTACTCCAGCCTGGGTAACAGAGCAAGATTCCATCTCAAAAAAAAAAAAGTCCAGTTGCAGTGGCTCACGCCTGTAATCCCAGCACTTTGGGAGGCCACGGTGGGTGGATCACCTGAGGTCAGGAGTTCAAGACCAGCCTAGCCAACATGGTGAAACCCCATCTCTACCAAAAATAGAAAAATTAGCTGGGCATGGTGGTGGGCACCTCTAATCCCAGCTACTCAGGAGGCTGAGACAGGAGAATCACTTGAACCGGGAGGCGGAGGTTGCAGTGAGCCAAGATCGCGTCATTGCACTCTAGCCTGGGCAACAAAAGCGAAACTTCGTCTCAAAAAAAAAAAAAATAGAACATTCAAAAATCCATCAGAGTAATCATAACAACAGAATAACAAAATTTGTGATTATATCAACTGATGCAAAAAAGGCATTTGACATATCCAACATGCATTCATGATTAAAAACTCTTAGCAAGTCAGTAATGAAAGAGAATTACCTCAACTTGATATAAGCATCTGCATAACAACCTCTACAGATAACATGAAACTTAATGGTGAGGGCCAGGCGCGGTGGCTCACGCCTGTAATCCCAGCACTTTGGAAGGCCAAGGCGGGGGCAGATCACGAGGTCAAGAGATCGAGACCATCCTGGCAAACATGGTGAAACCCCGTCTCTACCAAAAATACAAAAATTAGCTGGGTGTGGTGGCATGCGCCTGTAGTCCCAGCTACTCGAGAGGCTGTGGCAGGAGAATCACTTGAACCCGGGAGGCAGAGGTTGCAGTGAGCCAAGATCGTGCCACTGCACTCCAGCCTGAGTGACAGAGCAAGACTCCGTCTCAAAAACAAAAAAACAAAAAAAAAAAAGAGGAATCACTTTACAATTAGCTTACTATATTGCTAATGTAATCAAGACACTGTGATAGTGGTAGCAGGAGGATGGGGTGGAGATAGACACGTAGATCATTGGAACAACAGAGAGAACCCAGAAATAGACCCACACTAATATCAACTAATTTTTTACAAAGCTACAAAAATAAGTCCGTGAAGGAAGTATAGTCTTTTCAACAAATGATTCTGGAGCAATTGGACATCCATAAACAAAAAAATGAACCTCACCCTAAACCTCACTGTCTCAAAACAGATTATGGACTTAAATTTGAAACATAAAACTATAGAACTTTTAAGTGCAAACTAGAAAATCTCCAGGATGGGAGGCTGGCAAAGAATTCTTAGACTTAAAACCAAAACCATAATCCATAAAAGGAAAGTTGATAAATTGGACCACATGAAAATTAAAAACTTTTACTCTGCAAAAAAAACCACATGAAAATAATAAAACAAGCTACAGAACAACAGAAAAGATTTGTAAGCCAGTATCCAATAAAGGACTAATATCTAGAATATATAAAGAACTCTGAAAACTCAACAGTAACAACAACAACAACAGAAAAATCAGAAAATGGGTATCCATGGCCAAGCCTGTGAGTAGTGAGCTGAGATCATGCCATTGCACTCCAGCCTGGGTGACAAGAGCAAGACTTAATTTAAAAAAAAAAAAAAAAAAGATGCTCAGTGTTATTAGCAACCAGGGAAATGCAAATTAAAACTGTGTTGAAATATCACTATACAATCATCAGAATTGCTAAAATTAAAAATAATGGTAACGTGAAATGCTGGAGAAACCTAAACAGTCATGCATTGCTGCTGGAAATGTAAAATGGTACAACTACTTCAGGAAATAGTTTGGTATTTTCTTATAAAACTAAACGTGCAGTTACTATATGAGCCAGCAATTGCACTCTTGGACATTTATTTCAGAAAAATGAAAATTTATATCCATACAAAAATCTATGTACAAATATTCATAACAACTTCAATCATAGTAGCCAAAAACTGGGACTATAGCTCAAGGGTAGAGCATTTTACTGCATAATAGCCAAAAACTAGAAACAGTTCAGATACCTTTCAGTAGGTGAATGGTTAAACAAATCTCTTGTACATCCATACATGGAATACTATTTAGCAATTAAGAACAAACTGCTGGTAAATACAATAATTCAGATAAATCTCCAAGGAATTGTGCTGCATGACTAAAGCCAATCCCACTGGCCTGCGAGCCAAGATTATGCCATTGCCCTCCAGCCTGGGTGACGGGAGTGAAACCTTGTCTCAAAAATGAAAAATACAAATATGAACTATTTTAGGGATATAGAGAAGAAAAATGTCAACATAAGGCAAAAAATAAGAAGTCTTGGTAAAATTTGTAACCTTCTGATCACAATAAGTGCTTTGGGTCTTCTAGCTAAATATTTTTCAGAACTAAAGGGAGATAAGTAAAAGTTTTTCATCTTTAAGATGTATTAAAGCTTTATAATTTAATACCCAAATATAGTCCAAAGAAATGTGTCCTTATCTTAAAGATGATTGTCATCATTGCATATGTTATTTAAATTTAGCACAGTTCTTGAATTATGAAAAGTACTGATTTCATATTGGAAAGTTATAGTGTGAAAGCTAATTCAGTGCTTGAGACTAATGAAATCAGTAAGCCTGAGATCATAAATGATAACAGTCTTCATTTGAAGTGTGTAACTAGTCTTTATTTCTTTTGGCAGCTTCTGGGCTGGCTGGCTGAGAAACTACCTACTCTTCGTTCCACCCCTACAGACCTTATCCTTTGTGTTCCTCATCTCTACTCCTGCCTAGAAGATCGAAATGGAGATGTGCGAAAGAAGGCCCAAGATGCCTTGCCATTCTTCATGATGCATTTAGGATATGAAAAAATGGCCAAGGCTACTGGGAAACTAAAGGTACTACTTCTTGTTGCTGCTACTGCTGTTAAAAGCTATTAAAAAATATATTTAACATGGGCCTGGCACGGTGGCTCACGCCTGTAATCCCAACACTTTGGGAGGCCGAGACAGGTGGATTACCTGAGGTCAGGAGTTCAAGACCAGCCTGGCCAACATGGTGAAACCCCATCTCTACAAAAACAAAATTTAGCCGGGTTTGGTGGCACATGCCTGTAATCCCAGCTACTTGGGAGGGTGAGGCAGGAGAATCGCATGAACCCAGGAGGCAGAGGTTGCAATCAGCTGAGATCGTGCCACTGCACTCCAGCCTGGGCAACAAGAGAGAAACTCTGTCTTAAAAATATATATATATTAAACATGAATTTATATGAGGAAAAAACCATATTACCTCCTGTGAGTCTCAATTTGAAATCGTAACAAGCAAAAATAAAATATTAAGCAGTGTAGAAGTAAAAATCTGCTGACCTCACAGGGGTGAAAACTGTGACCTTCTAGAATGATACCTACCTTAGTGTGACTTCATAATGTGTGTGACTTCTCTGACACCATGTACTGCCTCCCTTACTTCAGTGGTATTTCAAAACTAGGAGCTCAATCATTTGTTTGACAGAGGATTTGTTCATAAGCTTTGTATGACTTTATCATTTATGTGACCTCTCACTTTTTATGTCATTTTGTCTCTCTAGCCAACTTCTAAAGATCAGGTATTGGCCATGCTAGAGAAAGCCAAAGTTAACATGCCAGCCAAGCCTGCTCCACCCACTAAAGCAACTTCTAAACCAATGGGAGGGTCCGCTCCAGCCAAATTCCAGCCTGCATCAGGTAACTCTATCTTAAGAAGGTTAAAGGGGAAGGAAATAGCCCTGAGGAACTCTAAAAAGACATTCAGCCTTGTCTTTTTTAAATCACATTTCCTTACAGCGTAGATCCAAGCTCTCCTTCCTTCTCTGCTTACTTTCCTTTCACAAACACTTGTCAAGTAGTCAAGTACCTATTTTATGCCAGGAACTGTACTAAGGGTACAAACGTGACTAATTTGGTTTCTAATTCTAAAAAGTTTTTTTTGTTTTTGTTTTGTTTTTTTTTTTAGAGATGGCATCTTGCTCTGTCACCCAGGAGGGAGTGTAGTGGCGTGATCATAGCTCACTGCAACCTCGAACTCCTGGGCTCAAGTGTTCCTTCTGCCTCATCCTCCCAAGTTGCTGGGACTACAGGCATGCGCCATCACACCTGGCTAAATTTTTTACTTTTTATAGAGATGAGGTTTTGTTGTGATGCGCAGGTTGGTCTCAAACTCCTGGCCTCAGGCGATCCTCCCATCTCAGTCTCCTAAAGTGCTGGACTTACAGGCTTGAACCACCACACCCGATCCCAAAAGGAGTTTTGGAATAGTACATTAAAATAGTCCTTTCTGAAGTGTTGCATCCTACATTTCCACAACTATTTTCTGCTCCTGGATACTATAATTAGAAGAGGAATTGGGAGAATCTAGCTTAATCCACTTTATTAACCTTCTTTAAGGGATAATTCTTGATTTCTTTATCCTGATATTAAAATTCCATAATAGGCTGGGCACAGTGGCTCATGCTTGTAATCCCAGCACTTTGGGAGGCCAAGGCCAGTGGATCATTGAAGTCAGGAGTTTGAGATCAGCCTGGCCAACATGGAGAAACCCCACCTCTACTAAAAATACAAAAATTAGCTGGGTGTGGTGGTGCATACCTGTAATCCCAGCTACTCAGGAGGCTGAGGCAGGAGAATTGCTTGAATCCGGGAGGCAGAGGTTGCAGTAAGCCAAGATCACGCCAGTGCACTCCAGCCTGGGGGACAGAGCAAGACTCTGTCTCAAAATAAATAAATAAAAATAAATAAAATTTGATAATATATAACCTGTGACCAATTCATTTTTAGACTTACTGCTTAAACAAAACAATATTCTTGAATTTAGTGGAATAGAAATTGTTGATGCTATAAAGTTAGAAATTTTACAGCCTGAGCAACATGGCAAAACTCCATCTCTACAAAAATTACAAAAATTAGCTAGTCTTGGTGGCGCACACCTGTGGTCCCAGCTACCCAGGAGGCTGAGGTGGGAGGATCGCTTCAGCCCAGGAGGTTGAGGCTTCAATGAGCCACGATCGCACCACTGCACTCCAGCCTGGGTGAGCCAGAACTAGTCTCAAAAAAAAAAAATTTTACCTGTGTAAAACTCTTTATTAAAGTACATATTCAGTTTTTATTGAAATCTTGCTATGTAGCAGATACTGAATATCAAAGATGTCTTTACCTTTAAGAAAGTATCAGTCTGGGCTGGGCATGGTGGCTCACGCCTGTAATTCCACCACTTTGAGAGGACAAGGAGGTCAAGACCAGCCTGGGCAACATAGTGGGACCCTGTCTCTAAAAAAAAAAAAAAAGTTGTTTTAATTAGTTGGGCTTGGTGGTGCACGCCTGTAGTCCCAGCTATTCAGGAGGCTGAGGTAGGAGGACTGTTTTAGCCAGGGAGGTCAAGGCTGCAGTGAGCCCTGAACGTGCTATTGCACTCTAGTCTGTGTGACAGAAACCCTGTCTAAACAAACAAATGAAACTACAGTTTAAATGTTGGTAAATGAGATACAGATTTTCTGAATTAATTTCTCTCTTACGCTTAAAGATTTTGGGAGAAAAATTATTAGGAAAAAAAAATCTAAGCCAGGCACAGTGACTCACGCCTGTAATCCCAGCACTTTGGGAAGCCAAGGTGGGTGGATTGCTTGAGCCCAGGAGTTTGAGACCAGCCTGGGCAACATGGCGAAACCCTGTCTCCACAAAAATTACAAAGAAAATTAGCTGGGTGCGGTGGCACGGGCCTGTAGTCCCAGCTACTAGGGAGGCTGAGGTGGGAGAATTCATTGAGCCCAGGAGGTCAGGACTGCAGTGAGCACCGTGAAGGCACCACTGTACTCCAGCCTGGGAGATAGAGCAAAATCCTGTCTCATAAAAAAAAAACTAACTGAAAACATCTTATAAATTGATACATTTAAGACTGCAAGCTTCCTTGTCATCATTATATATTTAACCTGTCCAAAATAAAATGATATTAGTTAAAGTTTATAGTATATATATATTTTTTTCCTCAAAGCACCTGCTGAAGATTGTATTTCCAGCAGTACAGAACCCAAACCTGATCCAAAAAAGGCCAAAGCTCCAGGATTATCCTCTAAAGCAAAGGTATGTTAACTCTGTATACTTCGATGTAGACTTGCTTTTAAATATATTTTATATACTGAGTCATTCTATTAGGAAGGATCATATTATATATAAAAGAACATCACTGCTGTTGATATTATCAAATTATTTATACAAATTTCTGTGGTTCATTTTTAATAAGGTCCTAAAACGGAGACATCCTGCTCTCAAGAGGTGCTGTCATCTTCCTTTCATGTAGATTTTCGGGGAAAGATTTACTTTATTGAAAGAAGAAAGGGCCGGGCACAGTGGCTCACGCCTGTAATCCCAGCACTTTGGGAGGCCGAGGCAGGCGGATCACCTGAGGTCAGGAGTTCGAGACCAGCCTGGCCAACATAGCGAAACCCTGTCTCTCCTAAAAATACAAAAATTAGTTGGGCATGGTGGCACACCTGTAATCCCAGCTACTTGGGAAGTTGAGGCAGGAGAATCGCTTGAACCCAGGAGGTGGAGGTTGCAGTGAGCCAATATCTCGCCATTGCACTCCAGCCTGGATGACAGAGCGAGACTCAGGAAAAAAAAAAAAAAGGAGAAAGCATTTGTAGCTCTGGCATAATAAACACTTTAGGCTGATTTGGATTTAAGAAAAGGAAGTTAAATCAACCTCCTTCAAATTTGGCACTGTTGTCATCATATTAGAAGATGTTTCGGTTAGTCTGCAGGGAAATATCTTTTGTCCCAGTGGGATTTATTTTGATGCATCAGCAATTCTTTCAATATTCATGGAGAGTTGGACAATTTAAAGCAGTGTGTTCAAATGTTCAACTTTATCCTCTGGGTGATTTTTTCATTTAATTAAGTTTTAAAATCACAGTAAATTGTCATTATCTCTATCAAGATTGAGATTAATAAACATATTCAGAGTGTTAATTATTTAACACTTACAAAAGGAAAATTGCAAAACTGTGCAATGGGTAATGAATCTAATAGTAAGTCTAAATAGAGAATTATTTAATTTACTTCCTGTAATTGATGAAAAAATATAGAGAATGTTTTTTAACCAGTACATGTATTATTACACCCCCATTTTGGAGTACACACTCTAGGGCCTTTCTTCTAAATATTACAATTAACCATTTTTCTTCCCTATGCTCAGGCCCTTTAACTCCTCAGTGAATTAATTTAAATGGGTAATTATCTTCAACTATCCAATGACGTTGTTCTTTTCCTGTCTGCCTGTCCTCATCCCAAATTTAACAAGTGCTTATTTTAGTTTAGATCACGAGTGTTTTGCAGTATTTTTGACTCCGTTCTTAATGCCATAATTTTTTTCCCAATCTTTTTAAACTTACGAAGCAGTTTCATATAAATGATCTCATATTTGTTTGGTCTGAATGACATTAGTGTTTATACTAGAAAGAAATTGTGGCCAACTAGAAATAGTGGCCATGCTACATTTATAATAATAATGATTCCAGTAATGAAATTTGAATTTTACCTTAAATATGTGTACTATTGTTTACTATTTTCTTTCTATCTGATATGAAGATTTTAAATCTTGGATTATTTTTTAAAACCACTTTAGTGACTTAAATATTTAAAGCATTTCTTGTAACTTTCTCTAGAAGCAAGTTCAAAAGGTCTTCAGTTACACTGTTATGATAAGAGATACATTTAAATATCAATGGAAAGAAACAGAAAAGCTTTCAAACTAAGTGTTTGGAAATGTGTAAATGCCATTCAAGATGTCATTAATGGCTGAGGTGGGTGGATCACTTGAGGTCAGGAGCTCGAGACCAGCCTGGACAACATGGTGAAACCCTGTCTCTACTAAAAATACAAAAATTAGCCAGGGGTGGTGGTGGGCGCCTTTGGTCCCACCTACTGAGGAGGCTGAGTCAGGAGAATCACTTGAACCTAGGAGGTGGAGATTGCAGTGAGCTGAGATCACGCCACTGCACTCCAGCCTGGGCGACAGAGTGAGACTCCGTCTCAAAAAAAAAAAAAAAAAAAAAAAGATGTCATTAATATGGAAAGCTATAAATAGTGTTGAAGATTTCAAGAAAACAAAAACAAAAAGTTTGTGACCTAGACTAATGATCAGTAATAGCAGTTTTTCCAACTACATAACATGCCAGTCCAAGAACTAACCAACAGTTACTTAAGAATATTCTCAGAAAAATTTCTAGAGAACCTGTTCAAAAACATATACAAGATTCTGTGATGCATGTTTTTTTCATGTGAAATATCACGTAGAAAGATATCTCTGTTTTCTACAGTGCCCTTTTACTGGGCAGCAGCATCATATTCTTAAGGAGAAGTGGCCAAGCTAATCAGTATTCCCTGAACCTTGGTTGTAGAGTGCACAAGGGAAGAAGATGCCAAGCAAAACCAGCTTAAAGGAGGATGAAGACAAATCCGGGCCTATTTTTATTGTTGTTCCAAATGGAAAAGAGCAAAGGATGAAAGATGAAAAAGGATTGAAGGTAAGGAAGGATTAAGAATCGTCAGGAGATTTTTGCTTGTATTGTTATTCAAGAATAGTTTTGCTGTCTGAATTCATGTTATTGTTTAATATCTAGGAATTAAGTGTTTCTTTTGCTTATAAATTATATTATTTAGTTTATGGGAGCATTAATTCCTACAAAAGAAACTATAGAATAGAGTTATTGCCTATTTTTCCCTGTAAATAGAAATAAATGATTTAGTAGCTTTTTTGGTATCTTCATTGATTTTTTTTTTTAATTAATTGGATGTATAAGCTTCTTCATTAATCCTTCTTTTTAAGACCTTACAAGGCAGACTTTGTGACTGTATAAATGGCTAGTTCAGTCATTTATGTTACTTTGATTTCATTAGATACTTAAATTTGTTTTCAAAATACATAATCTTTTTTAAAAATTATATGCAGTACAGAAAGTGCAAAGTATAGTAAGAAAAGCATGTCTCTGTTCCAGTATCCCTCCACAGGGAGGATATTAGTCCTCATTTTTTCAATGTATTACTCCAGAAATATTTTATACCTCTACTATCATATGTATATTTTTATATAGCCCTCCTTTTATACAGATGGCATATACAGACATGCCGTACTGTTTGTTCTGTATCTCACTATTTTCTTTTAATGATGTTTGAAATATCTGAAAGATCATTCGTATCTGTGTATATATGTGTGTATCACTGTTTGTATTGGTGCATTGTATGTATGTACCTTTCTTTATCCTTCGCCCACTATGTTGGACATTTAGGTTGTTTCTGGTCTTTCACTATTACAAACACTGCTGCTGTGAATATCTTTGAATGTAGGTCTTTGTACACATATGTGAGTGTATCTATATTAAACTCCTAGAATGATGATATGCATAATTTTGATAGATATTTCAAATTTTCTCTCTATCAAAGATGTGGCAGCAGTGTCCACCATGTTATATAGTTATATGTAGGATTAATTTTTTTTTTTTCTTTAGTAAGAATTGCAAGGCCAGGCACAGTGGCTCATGCCTGTCATCCCAACAATTTGGGAGGCTAAGGCAGGCAAATTGCCTGAGCCCAGGAATTCAAAACCAGCCTGGACAACATATTGAGACTTCATCTCTACGAAAAAAATTTTTTAATTAGCTGGGCATAGTGGTGCATGTCTGTAGTCCCAGCTACTTGGGGGGCTAAGGCAGAAGAATCACTTGAGCCTGGGAGGTTAATGCTACAGTGATCTATGATCATGCCACTGCACTCTGCCATGCCCAGGCAACAGGTGAGACTCTGTCTCAAAAACAAACAATTCCAAAAATTTTTATTCCTAGAAGATTTTCAGAGTTGTTAAGCTTCAAGAAGTATGACACCTTGAAATTTGCATTCATATTTAATTACAAATGAATATTGTTGAATTTTTAAATATTTTATTGTTCCTGCAGCTGCATTATATAAGGCTCTCTACCTCATTTCAGTTGAACACCCTGTAGCCCCTTTTCACCGTTTGTTTTTTCCAGGTGCTAAAGTGGAATTTTACTACCCCACGGGATGAATACATTGAGCAACTAAAGACTCAAATGTCTAGCTGTGTGGCTAAATGGTTACAAGATGAGATGTTTCACTCAGACTTTCAGCATCATAACAAAGCCCTTGCTGTTATGGTTGATGTAAGTCTGCAATAGATAAATATACATGTATTTCAGACATGTAAAAATACCGAGCCCTATGAAATAATCTGAAGTTTGCATGACTTGGAAGTAGAATATACTATGTTCTCTATTTTTAGAGCTGTCTTGTTATTTGGTAGAATAAATGAATGTGTGTGTATATTTTTTAGGTCTTAATTGAAGGCTTAAAAATCTGTCATTTTCTTTTTGGGCTCCAATAAAATTTAAAAGACACTTGCCTAGTAGAATTAAGATTTTGATTATTCTTATTTGTGGGAGTTTTGTTTTGTTTTATTTTAAGCACTTGGAGAGTGAAAAAGAAGGAGTTATTGGTTGCCTGGATCTTATCTTAAAGTGGCTTACCCTGAGGTTTTTTGACACCAATACAAGCGTCCTGATGAAAGCACTAGAATATTTAAAATTGCTCTTCACCTTGCTAAGTGAAGAAGAATATCATCTTACTGAGAATGAAGCATCTTCCTTCATCCCCTATCTTGTCGTCAAGGTAATGTGGTGTTCTCTCTCTGGGAGACTGCTTAAGTTCCCAGCTGACCTCAGTTTCTGTACTTTTATTTCCTCTCCCTTTTTTACTGATTATATCACGGTACCTTCCCTACTTATCCCTATTTCCCTATTCTTTCAAAACATAGTAATGCATGGGAGAATCATTGCTACTTAGGAAATGCCTCACTTAATCATTATTTTCCTTATCGACTAGGTTGGAGAACCAAAGGATGTCATTCGTAAAGATGTTCGTGCCATCCTGAACCGGATGTGCCTTGTCTACCCAGCTAGCAAGATGTTTCCCTTTATCATGGAAGGAACCAAATCCAAAAACTCTAAGCAGAGAGCAGGTGAAGCAAACAGTTTAAACTGAGATGTGAATCTCTGCAGCAGTAGCCTATAGAAGAAATAGTTTATAGATGAACAAATAAATTTCTCCAGTGCCTATGTAGTTGATTCCAACCTCCTGATTTAGACTGTGAGAGTGATGAGTTGCACACTGGTGGAGCCATGGTATCAGGTGATACAGGCACCACTCAGTATCACCCTGGTGACAAAATCAAGTGCACAGGGGCCATCTGACTCACAGGCATCTCTTCCTTTCAGGAGCACTTGCTGAAATACCATTTTTTCACTGATAAAAGGCAGTAAACAAAAAATCCTAGGCAGAGCCAGAGTAAGGTTTTAGTCCTTCATATATGCCAAGGGAAATTTCTCTAGTAAGGATAAGTCTCTGTCCCAAATATGTGTTGTCTCATTAATCTAGCCTTTCTCCCCCATCAGAGTGCCTGGAAGAGCTGGGATGTCTGGTTGAGTCCTATGGCATGAATGTTTGCCAACCAACCCCAGGAAAAGCCTTAAAGGAAATAGCTGTTCACATAGGAGACCGTGACAATGCTGTACGCAATGCTGCACTCAACACCATTGTAACGGTGTACAATGTACATGGGGATCAGGTGTTCAAACTGATTGGAAATGTGAGTGACTTCTCTGAACACTGTCAGCATGTCGTGAAAAGAATTGCAAGATCTCCTAGGTGTTAGGTTTCCTGTCCTCTCAACTGTAGCTAAGTTTTTACTACTTTTTAGTCAACTCAACCTATCAATGTGTCCTAGAATCCAGATAGACCCTTGAGGTGTCTCTGATTAGGCTGTTTTAATGGAAATCAAGTTTTCTTTTCTGAGCATTCTATTCATAGCAAATTTGCTTTAGAAATGAGTGCTATTTTTGAATCAAGAAATCTGAGCTAGTCCCGGGTTTAAATTCTGCCTGGCAGTCTGCTCTGTAATTTTTACTGCATCGAGTTTTTGGTTAAAAAGTGCTTATTTGTGTATAGTGTGGATGCTAGTATCTGTCAGATCACATCTTGCGCTACAGCCGTGAGCCAGTTTTTCACTCACATTAGGTTCTGCCTCTGACCTCTTATTTCGTTTGAGTGAGTCTGGACCTCCGTCTTCAGTTACCTCATAGTGTCACCATGTATTTACACAGGGCTTAAATATGTTTACTTATATTTTCTAATTAAATTCTCACTACTACCCAGTGAAGAATATAAAGCAGTTGGGAATTTTACAGATGACCAAAAATGAAGTTTCTTGCCCATAGTCACACAGCTAGATAGTGGTGACAAAACAAAAAATGAGGAAGCTTCATTTAATTTTTGACCTTTTTATTTGTAGTTACTAATTGGCTTTCTTTTTTTTATCGTTTCTTTTTTTTTTTTTTTTTGAGACAGGGTCTTGCTCTGTCACCTAGGTTGGAGTGCAGTGGTGTGATCATGGTTCACCGCAGCCTCGACCTCCCAGGCTCAAGTGATCCTCTGACTTCAGCCTCCTGAGTAGCAAGGACTACAGGCGCGTGCCACCACACCCAGCTTATTTTTATACTTTATGTATAGATGGGGTTTCACCATGTTGCCCAAGCTGGTGTCAAACTCCTGGGCTCAAGTGATCCTCCTGCTTTGGCCTCCCAAAGTGCTGGGATTACATGCATGAGCCACTGTGCCCAGCCCCTCTCCTTCTTTCATATCTCCTCTTCCTATAGCAGCTAGGCAGGTATTAATAGTAGTTGATTTTGAAATGTGGTGCTTTGAAAGTAAACATGTCCTAACATAGAAGGTTCTATTTGTTTTGATATGAAAATAGATATTATTGTGTTATCCAGTTAGGTTTCTAAATTTGGCCTCTTTACAGCTTTCTGAAAAGGATATGAGCATGCTCGAGGAGAGGATTAAGCGGTCAGCAAAGAGACCCTCTGCTGCACCAATAAAACAGGTGGAAGAGAAACCTCAGCGTGCACAGAACATAAGCTCCAATGCCAACATGTTACGCAAGGGACCAGCTGAGGACATGTCTTCCAAACTCAAGTATGTAGATAGAGATACTTGTCTGAGAGCATCTCCATGGCCTTTGCCTTGTGTGCTCACAGCCTGTCCTGTAACATAATCTTGAGTTCTTGTAGCCATTATCATGCATGACAGAGTGTCTGGGTAAATGTATTGTAACCAAATGTTTGATTCTTCAGTCTTCATTGTCTTTGTCTTTGTCTCAAAACCACTTCTAAATGGTCTTGTGCCTTCTTTCACTGCTTTTCCGTGGACAGAATTATGTATCGCACTTATAGGATGTAAGTACTGCCTGCTAATTTCTCATTAGCAGGGCTCTTATATCTTTCTAACTTCTGACTTGGATTCATCCCCTCTGGAGGGTGACTAGCTTAGAGTTTATAATCAGGGTAGAGGGTGTCCATAAGTACCCCATGAATCAAGTCTTCCACAAAAGTTCAATGTCATGTGGCTAAAATACTGATTCACTTTCTTCTTTGTGTTATACTTGGTTGTGCTTAGTTTCCTATTCTTGAGATAAGGCTAATTAAAATACATGCAACCCAAAATTGGCTTAGGGACTCAAAATACTGCCTCCTAAGCAAGACAGCTCTATTTTGGGTTGTGTCATGAGTATAATTTTAACGAACTTGAATTTGGAAACTTTGAATCCCTATTTCTTGGATGTAAAGCTGGCCCTGACCTGTCAAGAGTGAATATTCTAAAAAGGGGTGACTGGTGGTCTCACAAAATATAAAATGTGCTGAACACGGCATGGAATGGTACTTATGATTAGCAAAATTAAAGCACTGGTTAATTTGGTGGAAAAGAACCAGCCAGTCTAAATTTTTCTTATATATTTGCTCATAAGTAGTGAACTTTGAGTCAATACAAATATATTTTATTGTTTTCTGCCCCTTCAGGAATAGAAATACAAGGTTTGTTGGCTTTAGTGAACTAGAACAAATACTTATAACTTGGCAGGTAATGTAAGTACAAATTAAAGTTATCTGCCCTCTTAGGATATTCATGAACCAATGTTGTTACCTATTAAAGGCACTTGCTTAGACTCAGGGACTTAAATCATTCAGGGGGGCTGAAACCAGAAGTTGAACATCTGTCCTGAAGCTTTGGGGCAACTGACAGTGCTACTCTTGCCCTTTGGTTAAGAAGTCTCTTTTAGTTCAGGAGCCTCCTTTTGCTTCCCTTAGCCAAGCCCGAAGCATGAGTGGGCATCCTGAGGCAGCCCAGATGGTCCGCCGAGAATTCCAGCTGGATCTAGATGAGATTGAGAATGACAATGGTACAGTCCGATGTGAAATGCCAGAACTTGTTCAGCACAAACTGGATGACATTTTTGAGCCAGTCCTTATTCCTGAACCCAAGTGAGTTAAACTCTTTCATTTAAATATGAGCAGTTCATGATGATCAGACGGCCTACGTGAAATGTGCCCTTTGTAATGTGCAGTTAAAACTTTTTAGAACTGATTATTTTTTGAATGATAGCAGTTGTTAACTAAGACCTGGACCTAGTGGAGAATTGTATAACTCCAACTGACTGGGATGTCTTGTAATAGAGGTTGAAGTTTTCTCTTTGTTCTGCTATCTAGGATCCGGGCTGTTTCTCCACACTTCGATGACATGCACAGTAATACAGCATCCACAATCAATTTCATTATCTCCCAAGTAGCCAGTGGTGACATCAACACAAGTATCCAAGCTCTGACACAGGTAATGGGTGTGCTCCCGTGACAGGGATTCCATTGGTGGACATAGAGGCTATAAATGTGATGAATTGCACACTCGCAGAGTCATAGCATTAGGGGATGCAGGCAGTGTTTCATACTTTCCCGAGGAAAGAAATGCACAGGTGCCACTCAGTCATCACTTGCCTCAGAGGATGTGACTCTAATAGAGCCTTATTTTTTTTTTTTTTTTTCCTCTTTTGAGACCAGGTCTCACTATGTTGTCCAGGCTGGAGTACAGTGGCTATTCACAGGCACTATCATAGCACATTGCAGCCCCAAACTCCTGGACTCAAGTAATCCTCCTCTCTCAGCTTCCTGAGTAGCTGGGACAACAGGCTTGCATCACTGCACCTAGCTAAGCCTTGCATTTTTTATAATTGCATTGATTCACCAGAGGCTAGAGATAAAACAGCAGCTAACAAGTAAGGACCAACTCTCATGGAACTTATTTAGATTTTAGTGGACAGAGACAAGTAAACAAGAAAATATCACACAGTTGTAACAACTGTGTAAATATAACTTAAATGGGGTAATGACGGAAAGGAAGTGAGTAGATACTTAGACTGGGTGATCAGGAAAACTCTGATATCCTTGGGGCTTAGAGTATGCCAAGGAGAGGAAAGAGCTAGTGGTCAAAGGCCTTAGGGCAGAAATGAGCGTGAAGTTCAAGGAAATAAGAGAAGGTTCATGTGCCTGGAGCATAGTGTTAAAGGGGGACAATGATACAGAATGAGATTTGAGAGGCAGACAGTGATCATATCATGTAGGGCTTTAAAAGCACCAGGGTGAGTTGTTTGGATTTTATTTCAATTATGATAGGAAACCATTAGAAATTTTTTAAAAGAGAAGTCATGGGTGGGTATGGTGGCTCCTGCCTGGAGTCCCAGCTGCTCAGGAGGCTGAGGCAGGAAGATTGCTTGAGCCTGGGAGGTTGAGGCTGCAGTGAGCTGTGATTGCACCACTATACTCCAGCCTGGGTGACAGAGTGAGACCATGTCTCAAAAAAAAAAAAAAAAAATAGGCCAGGTGTGGTGGCTCACACCTGTAATCCCAGCACTTTGGGAAGCCAAGGTGGGTGGATCACGAGGTCAGGAGTTCGAGACCAGCCTGGCCAATGTGGTGAAACCCCGTCTCTACTAAAAATACAAAAATTAGCTGGGCATGGTGGCGCACGCCTATAGTCCCAGCTGCTCAGGAGGCTGAGGCAGGAGAATCACTTTAACCCAGGAGGCAGAGGTTGCAGTGAGCCGAAATCGTGCCAGTGTACCCCAGCCTGGGTGACAGAGCGAGATCTCGCTCCATCTCCAAAAAATAAACAAATAAATAAATAAAATTTAAAAAATAAAAAATAAAACAACCCAAAGTGAATCAACAACAATGTGACAAAATGAAAATTTTTTTGTAATTTTTTTTTTGAGATGGAGTCTCGCCGTTGCCAAGTCTGGAGTGCAGTGGGGCGATTTCAGCTCACTGCAGCCTCTGCCTCCTGGGTTCAAGCAATTCTCCTGCCTCGGCCTCCCTAGCAGCTGGGATTACAGGCACCCACCACCACGCCCAGCTAATTTTTGTGTTTTTAGTAGAGACAGGGTTTCACCAGGTTGACCAGGCTGGTCTTGAACTCCCAACCTCAGGTGATCCACCTGCCTCGGCCTCCCAAAGTGCTGGGATTACAGGCGTGAGCCACTGCGTCAGGGTGATAAAAGGAAATTATGTGCTACACTGATAGGATCCAGTGACAGTTCCACATCACTTTGCTGATAATTCTAATGTTGCATAACCTGAATCATGGGAAACATCAGAGAAATACAAATTAAGGACATTTTATAAAGATTCAAGGTCAAAGCTGGGCGCTGTGGCTCATGCCTATAATCCCAGCACTTTGGGAGGCCGAGGTGGGCAGATCACCTGAGGTCAGGGGTTCGAGACCAGCCTGACCAACATGGAGAAACCCTGACTCTATTAAAAATACAAAAAAAAAAAAAAATAGCCGGGCATAGTGGCACATGCCTGTAATCCCAGCTACTCCGGAGGCTGAGGCAGGAGGATAGCTTGAACCCGGGAGGTGGAGGTTGCTATGAGCCAAGATTGTGCCATTGCACTCCAGCCTGGGCAACAAGAATGAAACTTTGTCTCAAAAAAAAAAAAAAAAAATTCAAGGTCCAGAAAGTCAAGGAAACACTGAAGAACTGTCCTACACTATAAAGAGACTGAGAGACATGACAGGTAAATGCAGTGCATGATTCTCGACTGGTCTTTTGCTTTAAAGGACATAATTGAGGTCATTAGAGAAAATGGAATGGGGTCTGAGGATTAGATGGTAGTAACATCAATGTTAATTTCTTGATGTTGATGGTTTTATTGTACTTATGAAGGAGAATGTCCTTGTTGTTAATAAGTATACCCTAAAGTATCAGGGTATGGAACATCAGATTGACAACTTACTCTTAAATGATTCAGGATAAAAGAGTTCCTTTACTACCCTTTCAACGTTTCTGTAATGTACTTTTTTTTTCACCTTTGCAGGTTTTTTGTTTGTATTAATTGTGGAAGAAATTACTCTGGCTGCTCTAGAGATAAGATTATATGCATGGCAAGAGTGAATTCAGCAATTTTTTTAGGAAGTTGTGGCCAAAATTTATATGAAAGATATTATGTGCCACTAGGATGATAATGGTGAAGAGGAAGGAAGTCATGGTTTCAGGGTTTCTTTTGGAAGTAGAATCCACAGAACTTGCCAATAGATTAGATATAAACAATGCCTTATTATCATTAGTGACAACCAGTGTACTGCAACAGAACACTGGACCAGTATGTGAGAAAGCTGAGTTTTTGAGTTTGGACCAGTAGTCTGATCTTTCTGAGCCTCACTTTTCATCTGTTAAATGGAGATCTTAATATCAGCCCTGTCTGAAGAGTCTAAAAAGCACTCTTTTTAATAAATTGAACATTTAAACATAAGTATTTTTGTTTTGTTTCTGAGACGGAGTCTCGCTTTGTCACCCAGGCTGGAGTTCAGTGTCGTGATCTCGGTTCACTGCATCCTCCGCCTCCTGGGTTCAAGCAATTCTCCTGCCTCAGCCTCCCGAGTAGCTGAGATTACAGGTGCCTACCACCATGCCAGGCTAATTTT
Source organism: Homo sapiens (assembly GCF_000001405.40). NCBI lineage: Eukaryota > Metazoa > Chordata > Mammalia > Primates > Hominidae > Homo > Homo sapiens. Next base: position 46,755,775 of record NC_000011.10, on the reverse strand, counting down.
TCTATTTTTGGTAGAGATGGGGTTTCACCATGTTGGCCAGGCTGATCTCCTACTCGTGACCTCAAGTGACTCACCTACCTTGGCCTCCCAAAGTGCTGGGATTACAGATGTGAGCCACTGTGCCCAGCCAAACATAAGGATTATTATTCCCTGAACTAGACAATGAGCCTCTTAGAATCGAACCTGTGACTAATGTATCTAGTATCTTGCTCAGTAAATATTTGCCGAATGACTGAATCCCTAAGGACTAGTTATTTATATTTAAATGGGGCCAGGTGCGGTGGCTCACGCCTGTAATCCCAGCACTTTGGGAAGCCAAGGTGGGTGGATCACGAGGTCAAGAGTTCGAGACCAGCCTGGCCAACATGGTGAAACCCCGTCTCTACTTAAAATACAAAAATTGGCGTGGTGGCAGGCGCCTGTAATCCTAGCTACTTAGGAGGCTGAGGCAGGAGAATCACTTGAAACCGGAAGGTGGAGGTTGCAGTGAGCCAAGATCGTGCCACTGCACACCAGCCTGGGTGAAAGCAAAATTCTCTCTCAAAATAATAAATGAATAAAATAAATAAGTAAATGGGCTTTTTTTTAAGGTAAGACTTTAGAAGTACTTTGCTAATAAATATTCTTATGGAGAAGTTTCATATAGTGTCTTCCGCTATTTTAGAAGTATGAAGCTTGGAAAATATATCTTGAAATTTTTGTTATCAGATCGATGAGGTCCTGAGACAGGAAGACAAAGCTGAAGCCATGTCCGGCCATATTGATCAGTTTCTGATAGCCACTTTTATGCAGCTAAGACTCATCTACAACACACACATGGCAGATGAGAAATTGGAGAAGGACGAGATCATCAAGTTGTATAGCTGTATCATTGGCAACATGATTTCGGTAAGGGCACCTCTGCAGAATTTCAGCTTCCCATCAATCTCTCAGCCTACAGAGGTTCAAAAGCCAGAGTCCATGCAGATGTTGCAGTGAGTCCTGTGTCACTTGGTAGAATTTTACATGCATTGTATATAGCAAGCTACTGATGGCTTCCATTGGATGTTTGGCTACACTCCATCCCACCTTACTGTTAGGATATAAAGTAACATGCTTACAGACTACCTAGCTTCTTCCGGCCAGTTTCTTCATCAGGCATGGTAGGCCATAGCTGCCTTTCCACAGATAAGTATGGTTCTATTAAAAATGCTAATTAGCCTGGTTTGATCAGTATACATTGTATACATGTGTTGAAATACCACTCTGTATTCCATAAATTTGTACAATTATTACATGTCAACTAAAAATAAAAGGGAAAAAATTTGTTAATGTTTTACCTGTAGAGCAGATTATAAGGATAATAAAGACATTCTCACTCAGATTTCAATATTCTTTCTTAAACTGGGGCTAAAAGGGTGGACTTAATGACACCAACTAGCCAGAAATTACAAATTTGGCATAACAGTAAATAATTTCACATGTAAAAACAAATACTTTGGCCAGGCACAGTGGCTCACACCTATAATCTCAGCACGTTGGGAGGCCAAGGCGGGTGGATCACAATGTCAGGAGTTCAAGATCAGCCTGGCCAAGATGGTGAAACCCCATCTCTACTAAAAATACAAAAAATTAGCCAGGCCTGGTGGCGGGCGCCTGTAATCCCAGCTACTCGGGAGGCTGAGGCAGAGAATTGCTTGAACCCAGGAGGCGGAGCTTTCAGTGAGCCGAGATCGTGCCACTGCACTCCAGTCTGGGCAACAGAGCAAGACTCTGTCTCAAAAAAAAAACAAAAAATTTCACAATTAGAAGCACACCGATTAATTTTGCCTATTACTAGAGGCTTGGGGGAGTGTGGTGATTTTGTTTTTTCTTTAATACTCTGAATTTTTACAAATATAACATAGCCGGGCGCGGTGGCTCACGCCTGTAATCCCAGCACTTCAGGAGGCCAAGGCAGGTGGATCACGAAGTCAGGAGATCGAGACCATCCTGGCTAACACGGTGAAACCCCATCTCTACTAAAAAAAAAAAATACAAAAATTAGCCCAGCGTGGTGGTGGGTGCCTGTAGTCCCAGCTACTCGGGAGACTGAGGCAGGAGAATGGCATGAACCGGGGAGGCAGAGCTTGCAGTAAGCCAAGATCACGCCACTGGCACTCCAGCCTGGGCGACAGAGGAGACTCCGTCTCAAAAAAAAAATACAACATAATTGAATATTTATCAGAATATGCCACCCACATTTCTTTACTCTCTATATTGAGTTTTACACCTCCCTGACACAAGTATGTCTGGATAGCTGTTTCAGATAGAGAGCCTTGCCCGGGAGGCCTCCACTGGAGTACTAAAAGACCTAATGCATGGCCTCATCACCTTAATGCTGGATTCTCGGATTGAAGATCTTGAGGAAGGACAACAGGTCATCCGCTCTGTGAACCTCTTGGTGGTGAAGGTTCTGGAGAAGTCAGACCAGACCAACATCCTGAGGTATATCTGTACTCTCAGCCAATAGAGCCTGGGGCATCCTCGCTTTTGTTTACACTTAGAAACCATAATGTCCGTAAGTCAACTTCCTAGGCAACCTAACAATCATAATCAACTTCCTAGGCACACTTAAAGTTATAGCTACATCAGTTATAACTATATCAGTTAAAACTTTAAGTGTGCCTAGGAAGTTGATTTATTACTCTTCTTCATCATGGACCAAAGGTATTTTAGCCTGAGACCATAGCTAAAACTAGTAAATACTTAGTTAGCCAGCCAATATCATGCATTTTCTATAATAGGACTGTAAAGTTTGTCAGTTACATTTTTCTTGTACATTTCAGGTACATTTTATTCTTTCTCAGCTACCAATGACAATGAAAAATAGAGTCACAAACCTTACACTTACCAAGTGGTGACTTAAAAGGCTTAAACAATGTTTATTTTCTTAACTGAATGTCAGGTAGTCCAGGACAATTCCTGATCCATGACCTCTCAGTTTATTAGATGAATAGAGTAATCTCACTTGCCCTTTCAACTGCTGATTCTAATTGGAATGCAGGTTTGAAACTTAATGCTGTTGTGTTGGGTTTTTCTTCCAGTGCCCTACTTGTTTTGCTCCAAGACAGCCTGCTAGCAACAGCCAGTTCTCCCAAATTCTCAGAGCTTGTTATGAAGGTGAAGTTGAAATGATTTGATCTCTTTTCTTTCAAAGATGCAATCACTTTGTTAAAAGTATGGGGAAAGAGGAATTGGAGCTAAGAAAGACATAGGCTCAAATCAACCAAGTCACACCTGAAAATATATTTTTCGTAATAAAAATATTAATAAATTTTTAAAAATTTAGCCAGGTGCAGTGGCATGCACCTATAGTAGCAGCTACTCAGGAGGCTGAGTTGAGGAGATTACTTGAACCCAGAAGTGAGCTTGATCATACCACTACACTCCAGCCTTGGCAACAGTGAGACCCCATCTCTTAAAAAATATATATATGGTTTTTTATATATATGTGTATTATATATATGTATATATGTATTATATATGTATATCTTAATATGTTATATATGTATATAATACACGTGTGTGTGTGTGTGTGTGTGTGTGTGTGTGTGTGTGTGTATATATATATATATATATATATATATATATATGAATTGGTCTTCAGTTTTTCCCTTCCTACAATTTATATTCTAAGTTCAGGCCTAAACAGTTCGTGGCCTCAAACAGTGAAAGGGAGGAAATATTTTGTAAATATTTTACTAATTCTCTGAGGATCAAAAGGAAAGAAGTTTGAAACAGATTTCATTTATTTTGGGGAAAAAGATATCTACAGCCCTATGATATTTGGTCTCTTTTGTGAAAGAGACCAAATGAACATATTTATAACATTGTAATACTGTTATTACACTGAATTAGTATCAGATATTTTGTCCCCTTGCATTAGATTTGGTTAAGCAACATGAACTACTTTACTCTCAGGAACGAAGGAAACCCAAGAGAGAATTTCTACCAGGTTAAATGATGGCCCCTAGCTCTGGGGAGTGGGAAGGAGTAGAGATGGATGATTAGATGAATGACTGGACACACTTCAGCTGGTGTCATGGTAGAAGTGATTAAAAATTTTCATGTTTTAGCAGCTGAACTTGAAAGATATGATGTGCCACATTTATAGCCCTGGCCATCTTTTAGAAGTGAGCTCAAAGCTTAGGGAAGATGAATGGTGACAAATTATCCTCATTCTTCAGTCACTCCTAACTCTTTTATTCTTTTTTCAATAGTGTCTCTGGAGAATGGTTCGACTGTTGCCTGATACCATCAATAGCATTAACCTAGACAGAATTCTTCTGGATATCCACATTTTCATGAAGGTCTTCCCCAAAGAGAAACTGAAGCAATGCAAAAGTGAATTTCCCATAAGGACCCTAAAGACCCTGCTACACACCTTATGCAAATTAAAAGGGCCCAAGGTGAGTAAGAATCGCAACTGGTCTCTGAGGGAGCTTGAGAGAAAATCATGGAAATGGCAGTGCTATCAGTCATGCATGTGTCTCCCTCAGATCCTGGACCACCTAACGATGATCGACAACAAAAACGAGTCTGAGCTGGAGGCCCATCTCTGCCGGATGATGAAGCACAGTATGGACCAGACTGGGAGCAAGTCTGATAAGGAAACAGAAAAGGGAGCATCTCGAATAGTGAGTGGCCTGACTTGAAAGATTGAGGGACATGAGGCTACACCGGAAGTGATCTTATCTAAGGTGTAGGTCACCAGGATATGCTTTCCGAAGGTCCAAGGTGAAGGCTCATGGACTGGTTGAATCAGTCTCCTGCTGTGGTGCAGTAACCATTTCCACCTTGAAATTTTAAAATCTAAACTAAGTATAACCATGTGTTTTTTGGTCCCCAAGAAAGATGCCTAAGGCATTGGTCACCAGATAAATAGCTAGTTCTGCTTAACATGGAAAGAATATGTCAGTTCCTTCTCCATCAAGTTGAGGTGGAAATCTGAGACTGGAGGCATTCAGTAACACAGAATGTTAGTGCTTCTGCTGCAAGACCTGCATCATCGGTGCATCTGTTATCTGTAGGAACATACCAATAAGGCCCAGATTTTGAGATATTTTCTGTTCATATCCAACCATCAGTTCCTAATTAATAACTCAAGTCTAACCAATTCTTCCTATGTCTTTCAACTTTTCAGGATGAAAAATCATCAAAGGCCAAAGTGAATGATTTCTTAGCTGAGATTTTTAAGAAGATTGGCTCTAAAGAAAACACTAAAGAGGTGAGAGTGAAAGGGTTAAGCAGAATAGGGGTCTGCTTTATGGTAAAGGGACACTAACATTCATCCCCACCTCTTCCCTTTTCCTGTTCACCAGGGACTAGCAGAGTTATATGAATATAAGAAGAAATACTCAGATGCTGACATTGAACCATTTCTGAAAAATTCCTCACAGTTCTTCCAGAGCTATGTCGAAAGAGGCCTTCGGGTGATTGAGATGGAGAGGGAGGGCAAAGGTCGTATTTCCACTTCAACAGGTATGGTTTCCTGTTATAGCTCCAGGAATAAGCTCAAAATAGCTCCTAGCACAGGAACCTGAAGTTTTGGTTAGTTTAAATTCATATCCATGAACCTCAATACTTAATGGTCACCAAATGGCCTTCCCATTGCTATATCCAGTGGTCAATTCTTAGCCACCTGAATTGACCCATCATCAGTATTTGACAATGGTAAATAAATTGTTCCCTGCCCTTGAGACAGCTTCTTCACTTCGCTTCCAGTTCTCCATGCTGTCTTGTTTTCCTCCAGTCTCACTGGCTATTCCTTCTTGGCCTTTGACTGATTCTTGCTCACTTGCTCTGACCTCTTTTTTTTTTTTTTTTTGAGATGGAGTTTCACTCTTGTTGCTCGGGCTGGAGTGCAGTGGTGCAATCTCGGGTTCAAGCTATTCTCCTGCCTCAGCCTCCCGAGTAGCTGGGATTACAGGCATGCGCCACCACGCCAGGCTAATTTTTTGTATTTTTAGTAAAGACGGGGTTTCTCCATGTTAGGCTGGTCTGGAACTCCTGACCTCAGGTGATCCGCCCGCCTCAGCCTCCCAAAGTGCTGAGATGATGCTCATGAGCCACTGCGCCTGGCCTCACTCTGACCTTTTAATGTGGACATCCCCCAGGGTTCAGTCTATGGTTGTCTTCTCTCTTTCTCTTATTTCCTTAATGAGTTCATCTACTTTCACCACTTTAAATAACATTTAAATCTCCAGCTTAGACCTCCTTCCTGATTTCCAAACTGCTATATCCTACATGATATCTCCACCTGGGTTTCAAATAGATTTTTTTTTTTTTTTTTTTTTTCTTGAGACGGAGTCTCACCCTGTCACCCAGGCTGGGGTGCAGTGGTGTAATCTCAGCTCACTGCAACCTCCGCCTCCCAGGTTCAAGTGATTCTCCTGCCTCAGCCTCTTGAGTAGCTGGAACCACAGGCGGGTGCCACCACACCCAGCTAATGTTTGTATTTTTAATGGAGATGGGGTTTCTCCATGTTGGCCAGGCTGGTCTTGAACTCCTGACCTCAGGTGATCCACCCACCTTGGCCTCCCAAAGTGCTGGGATTACAGGCTTGAGTCACCATGCCCAGCCTCACATAGACATTGTAAACTCTACATGTCAAAAACTAAAGTCCTGGCCAGGCATGGTGGCTCACGCCTGTAATCCAGGACTTTGGGAGGCTGAGGCGGGCAGATCACGAGGTCAGGAGTTCAAGACTAGCCTGGCCAATATGGTGAAACCCCGTCTCTACTAAAAATACAAAAATTAGTTGGGTGTGGTGGCGTGCGCCTGTAGTCCCAGCTACTCAAGAGGCTGAGATAGAAGAATCACTTGAACCCAGGAGGCGGAGGTTGCACTGGGCCGAGATCGCATCACTGCACTCCAGCCTGGGCGACAGAGCGAGACTCCATCTCAAAAACAAACAAACAAAAAAACTAAAGTCCTGATCATCCCGTAAGCCTGATCCATTGACTTTTGTTTTGTTTTGTTTTGTTTTGAGACAGTCTCGCTCTGTTGCTCGGGCTGGAGTGCAGTGGTGCGATCTTGGCTCACTGCAACCTCCACCTCCCGGGTTTAAGCAATTCTCCTGCCTCAGCCTCCCGAGTAGCTGGGATTACAGATGCCTGCTACCATGGCTAATTTTTGTATTTTTAGTAGAGACGGGGTTTCACCATGTTGGCCAGGCTGGTCTTGATCTCCTGACCTCGTGATCCGCCCACTTCGGCCTCCCAAAGTTCCGGGATTACAGGCGTGAGCCACCATGCCCAGCCGATCCATTTACATTCTTCTCCATCTTGGTTGATGGCAACTTTATCCTTCGAGTTTGTTCAGATCCAAAGCTTTTGAGTCTTCTCTTCCTTTCCGTCAGGAAATTATTTTGGCTCTACCTGCAAACCATATGCAGAATTCATCCACACTTCTCTTCACTGCTACCACCTTGGTGTGTGTGTTCTCTCTCATCTGTATTACTGTACTATCTTCCTGCTTGATCTCCCTGCTTCCACCCTGCCTTCCTCTGTTCTTTTCTACACATAGCATCAGAATGACTCTAATGAAACATTTTCCAGAGGCTCTCCCTTTCACTCAGCAAAAGCAAAAGGCCCTTTAAAGGTCTCTGAGGTCCTGTGTTTATAGGACCCGCCAGTGCCCCTAGTACCTCATCACCTAGTCCTCTTCCTGTTGTTTCACTCCAGCCCCACCAGCCCCCTTGTTTCTTTTAGAGTCAGGGTCTCGCTCTCTCACTCAGGCTGGAGTGCAGTGGCGCAATCATGGCTCACTGGGTTCAAGCAGTCCTCCTGCCTCAGCCTCCCGAGTAGCTGGGACTACAGGTGCATGCCACCATGCCTGGCTAATTTTTGTATTTTTTGTAGAGACAGGGTTTCTCCTTGTTGCCCAGGCTGGTCTCTAACTCCTGGGCTCAAGTGATCCACCCACATCGGCCTCCCAAAGTTCTGGGATTTCAGGTGTGAGCCACCACGCCTGGCCTCCCCCTGGTTGTTTCTGGAACACACCAGGCATATGTCTTCTTAGGGCCTTTGCACTGGCTATTTCTTACACATAAATGCTCTTCCTTAGATGGCTTTGTTGCCTAGCTCCCTTTCCTCTTTCACATCTTTGTTCAAATACCACCATCTTAGTGAAACCTTTTTTTTTTTTTTTTTGAGATGAAGTCTTGCTCTCTCGCCCAGGCTGGAGTGCTATGGCACGATCTTGGCTCACTGCACCCTCCGCCTCCCAGGCTTAAGAGATTCTCTTGCCTCAGCTTCCCGAGTAGCTGGGATTATAGACGTGCACCTCCACGCCCAGCTAAGTTTTGTAGTTTTAGTAGAGGCGGGGTTTCACCGTATTGGCCAGGCTGGTCTCCAACTCCTGACCTCAGTTGATCCACCTGCCTTGGCCTCCCAAAGTACTCCCAGGCATGAGCCACTGTGCCTGGCCAGTAAAACCTTATTGTTTAAAACTTGCAACCTATCCCTCACCCCACCATAGCACTTACACCTCTAACATACTATATAATGTAGTATTTATTAGGTTAATTGTTCAGCATCTGTGTCTAGTCATGCATATCAACATTTTGCCCAGTGATGGACTGCATATATGATGGTGGTCCCATAAGATTATTTATTTTGAGACAGGGTCTCACTCTGTCATCCAGGCTGGAATGCAGTGACGATCTCGGCTCACTGCAACCTCCACCTCCTAGGTTCAAGTGATTCTTTTGCCTTGGCCTCCCGAGTAGCTGGACAGTTGCGTGCCACCACACCCAGCTAATTTTTTGTGTGTATTTTTAGTAGAGACAGGGTTTCACCATGTTGCCCCAGCTGGTCTTGAACTCCTGGTCTTCCTGGTCTCAAGTGATCCCCCCACCTCAGCCTCCCAAAGACCTAGGATTACAGGTGTGAGCCACCATACCCAGCTGGAGCTGAAAAATTGCTATCACCTGATGATACCATAGCTGTCATAATGTCATAGCACAATTATTTTTGTATAAGTTTAGTGTAGCCTAAGTGTACAGTGTTTATAAAGTTGACAGTAGTGTCCTAGGCTTTCACCTTCACACACCACTCACCCAGAGCAACTTCCAGTCCTGCAAGCTCCATTCCTGGTAAATGTCCTATACAGGTGTACCATTTATCTTTTATACAACATTCTTACTGTACCTTCTCTATGTTTAGATACATAAATACTTTGTGTTAACATTGCCTATAGTATTCAGTACAGTAACATGCTGTACAGGCTTGTAGCCTAGGTGTGTGGCAGGTTATACCAACTAGGTGTTCACATAACAATGAAATTATCTAACAAATGCATTTCTCAGAATGTATCCCTGCCCTTAAGCCACACATGATGATATTTGTTAAATGATATAAATGAATGCAGTAACTAAGTTTAAGCTGAAATGTTACTGCCCCCACAGTGAAAAAGTCCCTATTCGAGAATTACTGCTCACAGGATCTAGAGACAAACAGAAGACTTAGGAGGTTTCAGTTATAGAAAATAGCTATCATGAGCCTTAAACCAAGACAAGACAGACCCAACTGCAAAAGTGCCCTCTCATCAGTTCTATGCTTAGTTCTTTCCGAGTTTAGTGACATTCACCTACTCTTACATTTGAGAATGTGTTTGCCTGTCAAAGCATGTCCCTTTGTGTTTTTCAGACCCTGATCATATCCACTCTCAGCCTGTATCTTGCTGGGCTGAAGCTTCAGTTAAATTTTGTTCTCTTAAATAGGAGTTCTTTTTTGTTTTTGACACCTTAAATTACGCCTTTCCAAGACTTTACAAGTGTTTTTATTTTTTGAGGTTTTTTTGAGATAGGTTCTCACTCTGTCACCCAGGCTGGAGTACAGTGGTGCGATCTCGGCTCACTGCAGCTTCTGCCTCCTGGGTTCAAGTGATTCTCATGTCTTGGCCTCCCGAGTAGCTGGGATTATAGGTGTGTGCCACCACCCCCAGCTAATTTTTGAATTTTTTTTAAGAGGGTTTCACCATGTTGGCCAGGTTGGTCTTGAACCCCTGACCTCTAAGTGATCCACCTGTCTTGGTCTCCCAAAGTGCTTGGATTACAGGCATGAGCCACTGTGCCCAGCCAGGGTCTCTTTTTGTTGCCCAGGCTGGTCTTTAATGAAAAAGACCTCTTAGGAGTTAAAGTGTGGTGTGCAGAATGTCCAACAGTATGCCACATGTAAACATACCATGGTTTGATCAGGGCAGGCATCCTATCCTTGTTTCCAAAGCCCTTTTTGGGGATGTTCAACGTGTGATAATTTTGGCCTAAACAGCACATTTGCAACCCAAGCATGTATTCCCACTGATTATTAAATTGATTTTGTGCCTTAGAGTATTCAGACATCTCATATTGCTGGCTTTTACATAATTCTTCATTCATTTTTCACCCCCTCAGAGGATTCTCCTCATCTTTACATTAAAGGAGTCCTTTTTCCCTGGAGTAACCTTTCTACTTTTCTATTTACCATAAGGCAGTGTTTCCTCCCAGTACCTTACCTTTGGGGCCTGTGGAATGCATTTGCATTGATACCAAGTGAAATATTTTAAAGGCCCGCATTGTATCATTGTTCATTCTCAGAAATTTAGGAAGTGTGATGGATTTTTTGTTGTTTTGGTTTTCCTCTCTCCTGCCAGAATATTGATCTTAGTGGTAGGGTTACAGACACTCCAGTTCTATGCCCTCTTTAGATAATTGTTGGACACCTTCTCTTCCCCATGAATACACCATAGCCTTGGACACCTTGCTTCCTTCACAGGTTCAAATGAGTTTCTCCTATGTGACATTGGTCCAAACTTAATCTAATTCTTCCAAACATTTAAGGTCCTCGGGTTTTTCAGTTGGGCAATTACAGTATGCTTAGGAGTAGCTTCAGCTTTTTGGATTGCCCAAGTCAGCCCTGGGATTACTGGAGTACAATCCCCTGCATAACCCAGGATGCAGATGGATGACCCAATTTACATTCTGCCTTTCTATATCAGTTTTTTGCATTCTCAAGAAGCTTATATTGTATATTTCAGAGCACCCTTATCACCAACTCCAGGTAGATTCTTGTGGAATTTGTCGTTTTCAAGTATAGGAAATTCTTAATTGTTCTTTTTGGTGGGAGATTAACCAAGGCACTTTAGAAGGGGGATATGTGGATATCTGAATATTCTTTCTACTTTTTCCCCTCTAGGCATCTCCCCTCAGATGGAAGTCACATGTGTGCCCACGCCCACAAGCACAGTGTCCTCCATAGGTAACACAAATGGGGAAGAAGTGGGGCCATCTGTCTACTTGGAAAGGCTAAAGATCCTCCGACAGCGATGTGGTCTGGACAACACAAAGGTACTGCTCCTTTTCTTCTGTGCAGTTCAGGGAGGGTAGTCACAAGCAGGTCCGAGGCAGGCTGGCCCACAGAGAAGTGGCTTAGTCTTGCTGTAGTTCTGGAGCTGCATCTTGACCTGCTTGACCTGACCTTAGACAATCTCTCTCCTTCTCTCAATAGCAAGATGACCGACCTCCTTTGACCTCTTTGCTCTCCAAACCAGCAGTTCCTACTGTCGCCTCTTCCACAGACATGCTCCACAGCAAACTCTCTCAGCTCCGGGAGTCACGGGAGCAGCACCAGCATTCAGACCTGGATTCTAACCAGACTCACTCTTCAGGAACTGTGACCTCCTCCTCCTCCACAGCTAACATAGACGACTTGAAAAAAAGACTGGAGAGAATAAAGAGCAGTCGCAAATGAAGCTGCCCCACTCCCCCGGCACCCTGCAGCTTTAGTTTACTAAACTAGAAGTCCTCATAGTTTAAAATGGCCTCAGCAGGCCTAGTGTATACAAACTGGTTGTATGTATCATGCCGTGGAGCTAGGGGGAGGAGTCATTGTGGCACAAGTATTTGTACATACTCTGCTTCTCTCTGTCAGCGTCCTGCTGCTCTAGAAGACTGTCCGTGGATGAGTTTAGTGTACAGACTTGTAAACAGCTGCCCCCTCTCTGCTCAGTCTAGTTCCCAGATCCTTTTCTTTTCTTTTTAATTGCTCATTTGTAAAATTGTCCTAATCTTTCCTAGCTTTTTAATAGTTAATATTAGAAACTCTTTAATAGTTTTCCTTTCAGTTTGTGAGCTCTTCTCTGTCGCCCTGAAGGGTCACTGTATTCTGTATGAATGCATGGCATGATACAACTAATTTAAGAGTCTTTTATAAATAAAGTTTGCATTAACTATACCTGACTCCCAAGATGCTCCATATCATGGAGTGTTGGGCAGCAATTTTTTAACTTTTGGTACCAGCTGGGTATTCAGCCAGTTAGAGAAAGGTTAATTACTGCTTACAGAGCTTCCCTTTTTCTTGGCTCACAGACTTGGAGCTGTCTTTTATTCCTTTGGAATGGAAGGAACTCTCCTTCCCTGCTCTCCACAAACAGCTCCTAGGGAGCAGAAAAATCTCATCCTTCCTTGTTTTGAGATTTTGGTCATGATTTCCCTCCAATTATCACCAGTCGTTTCAAGAAGCTCTTGGGCATCCTACCACTTTGCTGACCAAAGGCACACAAGATTGCGCCCAGAGATTGGCTGGGCTTCAGTGGTTCTCACACTACAACTAGATTTGTGTTCATTTGACTAATGGAGTTTGGGAAATCTTAGTGGTTTGCTGCTTGGTTGTATGAGTCTCTTTTGGTCCAGGCTAACAGTTGCTTCACATTCAGTCAGAGTAAGGATGAGAAAGTGAGCTGAGTATTCACCTCTGGAATAAATTCCACAGGACCTCCCTCCACAGTCAGAAAAACTCTTCAGGATGAAAAGGTTCTGGATTCAGGAGGAGATTTTGGGCAGTTATAAAGTTCAAAGGAACTTTCCTATTGTAGCCCACCTTCAATTCAATTGATGTCCAAGAAATGAAAGATTGATGGAAGATTAATCCTGTAAAGGTTCCAGTCATCGTTTTCAGGTGGCCCCGGAGCCTCCTGAAATTAAACTTGTCTCTCCTTTATAGTGGGAACATGGGAGTGGGTATTTGTTCACTGAAGGGATGATGGAGGCGTTTGCTGCTATAGTGGAAAGACATATTTAGAAAGAATGGCTACAAAGGCTGGGCCTGGTGGCTCACTCATACAACCGTAGCATTTTGGGAGGCTAAGGTGGGTGAATCACTTGAGCCCAGGAGTTCAAGACCAACATGGGCAACATGGCTCTACCAAAAAAATACAAAAATTAGCTGGGTATAGTGGCTCAAGCCTGTAGTCCCAGCTACTTGGGAGGCTGAGGTGGGAGGATCACCTGAGCCCAGGAGGTCAAGGCTGCAGTGAGCCGTGATCACTCCACTACACTCCAGCCTGGGCAACAGAGCAAGACCTTGTCTCAAAAAAGAGGAGGGAAACAAAAGAAGAGGAAAAAAAAGAGTGGCTGTACTCCTGTCTGGAATTAGCACAGCTGACTGGAAAAACCCAAGTCCCTAGAGCTTACAACACTGACCGCTATGTCGGAAGAAAACAGACTTATGAGAATGTGTGTTCTTGTTTAAAAAGCAGGTCCTGCATGTCACAAGTAATTCTGAATCCCTTCCCCCTTGATCGAGTTGATGCCCTGGGCTGCCAAATCCTGCAAGCTCACTGCCTTTCAGTCAACCAGAACCAAAGAATGAGGCCAAGGAACTCTGTCCTGTTTGTTTTCTGATGTGTTGAAAAATGAGAAAAAAAAAAAAAAACGTTATGAGGAGGGTGCTAAAGATCCCTATCTCAGGTCCCTTCCCGTGGAAAACCACGTTAGAAGATCCTAGGCCAGGTACTGTAGCCACAGGGTTTCCCTGCTCCACTCCACTATCCTGTGCCTGAGGCAGACGTTGATCTTCATTCTTTCCCTGAGCTCATGGATGAGACTTCTCAAGACGGAGCCATGCTCCATCCCACACCTGTGACCTCTGCCAACAGTAACCGTGAAGAATGTGCTCTGAAAGGGTATCTTTGAAGTTCTATGATTCTTTTTTTTGCAAGGGACTCTTGCTGTGTCGCTCAGGCTGGATGGCATGCAGTGGCATGCCTCTCTCCTCACTACAACCTCTGCCTCCTGAGTTCAGCCAATTCTCCTGCCTCAGCCTCCCAAGCAGCTGAGAAGCTGGGATTACAGGTGCCCACCACCACACCCGGCTAGTTTTTGTATTTTTAGTAGAGACGGGATTTTACCATGTTGGCCAGGCTGGTCTCCAACTCCTGACCTCAGGTGATCCACCAGCCTCAGCCTCCCAAAGTGATGGGATTACAGGCGTGAGCCACCATGCCCAGCCCATGACTCTTATAACTTAGAGGTCCCATTTCTTGGAAAAATAAATTGTTCCAGCTGGGAACTGCTGTGTGAGGAAACATTCCAGGAAGCAACTACCCCACTGATGGGCTATTTCCAGGGCCCAAGAGAGGGACGAGGTAAGCGGCAGAGGAACTTTCAACAGGCCCAATGCCCGGTCCAGTTCCCAGGCAATAGTGAGAATACGAGTGGTAGTGATTCACAGCTTACTAGGCACTAGGCATTGTGCTAAGGCACCATGTAAGTTCTTTCATTTAATCCTCATAACCGTATGAGGTAAGTAATGTCGTTATATACACCTTTTAATATACAGGTGGCCTTCCAGATCTGTGGGTTTTGCATCTGCAGATTCAACCAACTGCAGATTGAAAATATTTGTGGGGAAAGAAAACAATAAAAATAATACAAATTTTAAAATAATACAGTATAACTATTTACATAGTATTTACGTTCTATTGGGTGTAAGTCATCTAGAGATGATTTGAAGTATATGGGAAGGCCGGGCAGGGTGGCTCATGTCTGTAATCCCAACACTTTGGGAGGCCCCGATGGGTGGATAACCTGAGGTCAGGAGTTTGAGACCAGCCTGACCAACACGGTGAAACCCCATCTCTACTAAAAATACAAAAACTAGCCAGGCGTGGTGGCGGGCACCTGTAATCCCAGCTACTCGGGAGGCTGAGGCAGGAGAATCACTTGAACCTAAGAGGCGGAGATTGCAGTGAGCCGAGATCGCACCATTGCACTCCAGCCTGGGCAATGAGCAAAATTCCAACTCAAAAAGATAAAAATAAATTTTAAAAATGAAGTATATGGGAGGATGTGCATAGGTTATATGTAAACTGTGCCATTTTATATAAGAGATTTGAGCATCTGTGGATTTTGGTATGCATGGTTGGTTCTTCTTCTTTTTGAGACAGAGTCGCTCTGTCGCCCAGGCTGGAGTGCAGTGGTGCAATCTTGTCTCACTGCAAGCTCCACCTCCCAGGTTCATGCCATTCTCCTGCCTCAGCCTCCCACGTAGCTGGGACTACAGGCGTCCACCACCACGCCTGGCTAATTTTTTGTATTTTTGGTAGAGACAGGGTTTCACCGTGTTCACCAGGATGGTCTCAATCTCCTGACCTTGTGATCCATCCACCTCAGCCTCCCAAAGTGCTGGGATTACAGGCTTGAGCCACCGTGCCCAGCCCTGATTTTTATAAACAGGGTTTCACTGTCACCCAGGCTGCAGTGCAGGTGTAGTGACATGATCATGGCTCACTGCAGCCTCAACCTCCTGGGCTCAAGTGATCCTCCCAAGTAACCTTGACTACAGGCACATGCCACCACGCCTAGCTAATTTTATTTTTTGGGGTCTCACCACATTGCCCAGACTGATCTCGCATTCCTAGCCTCAACCTTAGTCTCCTAAATTGCTGAGATTACAGGTGTGAGCCACCATGCCCTACCTGATCTGATATCATTTTAATGATACAAGGGAAGATGTAGGGAGTTAACTAAAAAAGCACCGTCCTCACTCAATATTTTCTATATTTGAAGTCCTACTTTGAGCTTTCTTAGCCATGTGACTTTGGACAAGGTACTTCTCCAAATCTCAGTTTACTCACCTACCTCTTGTGAGGATTAAATGAGATAATCCATTAAAACCCAGAGGGTGGAACATCTTTAATGCCTGTAAATTCAACCTGCCATCTTTCCTCTCACCTGGCCCTGCTCTGAAGATAGATAGTGGATTCTTTTGGGACAGGGTCTCACTCTGTCACCCAGGCTGGGGTGCAGTGGCTCACTGCAGCCTCCACCTCCTGGGCTCAAGCGATCCTCCCACCTCAGCCTCCCGAGTGCTCGGACTACCAGCGTGCACCAGGTGGTGGATTCTTAAGTCTTCTTTATCCAGTAGTATTACTGGCTCTTCCTGAGCCCAGAGAGCTGCCCATGAATAGCACTGGGAGCATTGAGGCTCGCTGAGAGTCACTTTTATTGGGAACCATAGTTTTAGAAACACAAAAATAATTCTTTCACGGGATTGGTTCCAGGAGCCCAGAATATGAGTGGCCCCCTACTCTCCAAACTGATCAATGACCTTCTGTATCCACTTCTTCAGGCGGAACACATGTGTGTAGAAGCCATATTTCCCATCCCGGTCACAGCCTTCACCCCATGAGACGATGCCCATTTGATACCAGCGGTTGTTAAAGGGGCTCTGAAGAAGAAAGATGAGGTTTCCAATAGAGTCAAGTTCAAGGTCACATCAGTATTCCCCTGCCAGGCAACTGTTTCTAGATACTAGAGTTTCTCCCCACCCCCAGAAGATGTGTTCACCAGGCCCTGGGCTTTAGAGAAGCTTACCTTCATGACAAAGGGTCCCCCACTGTCACCTTCACAGGCATCCCCTCGTTTCCCTTCATCAGGCTTGTAACCTTGAAAGAGAACAGCCGTCTGTGCTCAGGAGCATAGCTCATAGCCCAGCCACGCCCCTTCACGAGACACAGCTGGTGAGAGTCCACTTACCCCTCCAGTCATTCTTGCTGTCCCCACTTCCTCACCCTACCCATCCAATCCTAGCAAATCTTGTCGGCTCTACCTTCAGCATAGACCCCAAATCCAAACCCTTCTCACCACTTCTAGCTCGAGCTCCTGAACCCACTAGTTTCCTTCATTCTTTGCCCACCTACAGTCTATTCTCCACCCAACAGGCAGAATAATGCTTTTAAAAAGTTGGACCAGACCAGGGGAGGTGGCTCATGCCCAAGCCGGGTGGATCACTTGAGCTCAGCAGTTCAAGACCAGCCTGGGCAATATGGCAAAACCCTCTCTCTACAAAAAATTAGCTGGGCATGGTGGCACATGCCTGGAGTCCCAGCTACTCGGGAGGCTAAGAGAGGAGGATCACTTGCGCCTGGGAGGTTAAGGCTGCAGTGAGCCGTGATCATGTCACCACACTCCAGCCTGGGCAACAGAGTGAGACCCTGTCTCGAAAAAATTAATTAATGATAAAAGACCAAGAAAAAAATTTAAATTAAAAATTAAAAAATTAAAAAGTTAGACCTACAAGTCTGATGAGGATAATAATGATAGTTGCTTTTATCCAAATCTCCCCACGTATCCTCTACAAACAATACAGAACAACACTAACAACAGTAAAACCTACACAAAAAAACCACACCTTCACTAGGTGCTGTGGCTCACACCTGTAATCTCAGCACTTTGGGAGGCCAAGGCGGGCGGATCATGAAGTCAGGAGTTTAAGACCAGCCTGGCCAACGTGGTGAAACCCTGTCTCTACTAAAAATACAAAAATTAGCCAGACATGTTGGTGTGCGCCTATAATCCCAGCTACTCAGGAGACTGAGGTAGAATTGCTTGAACCTGGGAGGTGGAGGTGGAGGTTGCAGTGAGCCGGGATTGCACCACTGCACTACCGCCTGAGCGACAGAACAAGACTCTGTCTCGAAAAAAAAAAATTAGCCGGACATGGTGGCATGTACCTCTGATCCTAGCTACGTGGGAGGCTGAAGCAAGAAGAGGATTGCTTGAGCCCAGGAGTTCAAGGCTGCAGTGAGCTATGACTGTGCCACTGCACTCCAGCCTGGGCAACAGAGCAAGACCCTATCTGAAAAAAAAAAAAGCTAGCAAGAGAACAGCAAAGTAAACCAGACAAAAACGTAAGCAAACTTTTTAAGAGAAAAAAGCAGAAATTAATGAACCACAATAGAAAAATAATAGGCCTGGCCGGGCGCAGTGGCTCACGCCCGTAATACCAGCACTTTGGGAGGCTGAGGCAGGCGGATCACAAGGTCAGGAGATCGAGACCATCCTGGCGAACGCGGTGAAACCCTGTCTCTACTAAATACAAAAAATTAGCTGGGCGTGGCAGTGTACACCTGTAGTCCCAGCTACTCGGGAGGCTGAGGCAGGAGGATGGCGTGAACCCGGGAGGTGGAGCTTTCAGTGAGCCGAGATCGCACCACTGCACTCCAGCCTGGGTGACAGAGCAAGACTCTGTCTCAAAAAAAAAAAAAAAAAGGCCAGGCACGGTGGCTCACACCTGTAATCCCAGCACTTTGGGAGGCTGAGGCAGTCGGATCATGAGGTCAGGAGTTCGAGACCAGCCTGGCTAACATGGTGAAACCCCGTCTCTACTAAAAATATAAAAAAATTAGCCGGGCATGGTGGCGTGCACCTGTAACCCCAGCTACTGGGGAGGCTGAGGCAGGAGAATCACTTGAACCCAGGAGGTGGAGGTTGCAGTGAGCTGAGATCACGCCACTGCACTCCAGCCTGGGCGACAGAGTGAGACTCCATCTCAAAAAAAAGAAAAATAATAGGCCTAATAATTTCATAAATCAAATCCCTAGATATTTGTTTTGAGAAAACCGGCAAGCCATTAACTAATTTACTCAAGAAAAATAAGATATTACAAATACATAAAATAAGATACCAATAGAAAAAATTATAAGAGAATACATTGCAGCAGTCAAGAAAGATACAATAATAGACTTGAGCAAATAGGAAAACGTTTCTTATCCTTGGATAAAATGACTCAACATCAAAAATATGTCCATTCTCCCAGTTAATTTGTTGAAGTGTCATAATCCCAATAAAATTACCACCAAGCTTTTTTATAGACCTAGGCATGTTGACACTAAAGTTCATATGGAAAAACAAACATGCAAGAATTGCCAGGAAACCACTGGAAAGAAAAACTAAAAGAGAACATTAGCCTTCCCAGCTATGTACGCTAAAGCCTCTATCATTAAAACAATGTGACGCTGTACACAGACAGACAACAGACCAGGAAAGCCGAGTCGAACATCCAGAAACATACTCATCCTTAAGCATACTCTATCCATAGAAATCTAGAACGTGGGGCTGGGCACCGTGGCTCATGCTGGTAATCCCAACACTTTGGGAGGCCAAGGCAGGAGGATCACTTGAGCCCAGGAGTTCGAGACCAGCCTAGGTAACATAGCAAGACCCCGTCTCTACAAATCAAATCAAATTAGCTGGATGCAGGAAAAAATAAAACTAAAAAATAAAACCTAGGTCAGGTATGGTGGCTCACGTCTGTAATCCCAGCAGTTTGGGAGGCCAAGGCGGGAGACTTGCTCGAGCCCAGCCAGGAGTTTGAAATCAGCCTGGGCAGCACAGGGAGACTTGTCTATATTTCAAATAAATAAATGAAAATAAGATACAATCTAGAATGTGATAAAGGTGAAATCTCAAATCACTAGTTCAAAGATTGATTGATTGATTGATTGATTTTGAGATAGAGTCTCGCTCTGTTGCCAGGCTGGAGTGCAGTGGCACCATCTCGGCTCACTGCAACCTCCTCCTCCCAGGTTCAAGTGATTCCCCTGCCTCAGCCTCCCAAGTAGCTGGGATTACAGGCGCACACCACCATGCCAGGCTAATTTTTTGTATTTTAGTAGAGATGGGGTTTCACCATGTCGGCCAGGCTTGTCTCAAACTCCTGACCTTGTGATCCACCCACCTCGGCCTCCCAAAGTGCTGGGATTACAGGTGTGAGCCACCGCACCTGGCGAAACGGAGTTTTTACTCTTGTTGCCCAGGCTGGAGTGCAATGGAGGGATCTCAGCTCACTGCAACCTCCGTCTCCCAGGTTCAAGCGATTCTCCTGCCTCAGCCTCCCGAGTAGCTGGGATTACAGACATGTGCCTCCATGTCTGGCTAATTTTGTATTTTTAGCAGAGACAGGGTTTTTCCATGTTGGTCAGGCTGGTCTTGAACTCCTGACCTCAGGTGATCCGCTCGCCTCGGCCTCCCAAAGTGCTAGGATTACAGGCGTGAGCCACCGCGCCCAGCCGATTTTTTTTTTTTAATAGAAACAGGGTCTCACTCTGTTGCCCAGGCTGGAGTGCAATGGTGCGGTCATAGCTCACTGCAGTATTGAACTCCTAGGCTCAAGCAATCCTCCTAACTCAGCCTCTCAAGTAGCTGAGACTACAAGGCACATGCCACCATGCCCAGCTAATTTTTAAAATATTTTCTTTTTCCTTTTTTTTTTGAGATGGAGTCTTGCTCTGTCGCCAGGCTGGAGTTCAATGGCGTGATCTCAGCTCACTGCAACCTCCACCTCCTGGGTTCAAATGATTCCCCTGCCTCAGCCTCCTGAGTAGCTGGTACTACAGGCATGCGCCACCACACCCAGCTAATTTTTTGTATTTTAGTAGAGACGAGGGTTTCACCATGTTGGCCAGGATGGTCTCTATCTCCTGACCTCATGATCCACCTGCCTCAGCCTCCCAAAGTGCTGGGATTATAGGCGTGAGCCACCACACCTGACCAATATTTTCTTGTAGAGACAGGGTCTTGCTATGTTGTCTGGGCTGGTTTTGAATTCCTGGCCTCAAGCAATCCTGCCTCAGCCTTCCAAACTGCTGGGATTACAGGTGTGAGCTACCGCACTTGGCCAATAATTTTTAATAAAGGGTTTAGAGACAGCTAGTTAGCCATTTGGAAAATAATAAATTAGATCTATGCCTCACATCAGATACAAAAATAAACTCCATATGAGTCAGGAATCTAAGTGCAGAAAAATGAAATCAGGTACTAGAAGAAAACATGAGTGAATTCCTCAATGACCTAGCTATCAGGAAAGGCTTTTCTGTTGTTGTTTTTTGTCGTTTTGTTTTTGAGACAGAGTCTTGCTCTGTCACCCAGGCTGGAGTGCAGCGGCACGATCTCTGCTCACTGCAACCTCCGCCTCCCAGGTTCAAGCAATTCTCCAGCCTCAGTCTCCTGAGTAGCTGGGACTACAGGCATCAGCCACCACGCCCAGCTAATTTTTGTATTTTTAGTAGAGACAGGGTTTCACCATGTTGGCCAGGCTGGTCTTGAACTTCTGACCTCAGGTGATCCCCCACCTCAGCCTCTCAGAGTGCTGGGATTACAGGTGTAAGACACCACACCTGGCCAGGAAAAGTTTATCTCTGATTCAAAATCCAGATTTAATAAAATAAATGATTGATAAATTTGACTACCTAGTAATTTTTTAAACTGCATGGCCAGAAAAATTATACATGAGGTTAAAAAAACTGACAAACTAGGAGAAAACATTTGCAATGTATATCACAAATAAAGGCCTAATATAAATACGAAGAACTCACAAAAATTGATAAGAAAGGGACCAAAAAATGGGCAAAAAACCATGAAGAGACAATTCACAAAAAAATTATATAATACAAATACTAGCCAGGCACGCACCTGTGGAACCAGCTACTCGGGAGGCTGAGGCAGGAGAATCACTTGAACCAGGGAAGTGGAGGCTGCAGTGAGCCAAGATTGCACCATTGCACTCCAGCCTGGGTGACAAAGCAAGACTCTGTCTCAAAAAAAAAATTATATAAAAATGGTCCTTAGGCCAGGCGTGGTGGCTCATGCCTGTAATCTCAGCACTTTGGGAGGCCGAGGCGGGAGGATCACAAGGTAAGGAGTTCGAGACCAGCCTGGCCAATCTGGTAAAACCCTGTCTCTACTAAAAATACAAAAATTAGCGGGCATGGTGACTCGCGCCTGGAGTCCCAGCTGCTTGGGAGGCTGAAGCAGGAGAATCGCTTGAACCCAGAAGGCGGAAGTTGCAGTGAGCCAAAATCGTGCCATTGCACTCCAGCCTAGGTGACAGAGGGAGACTCCATCTCAAAAAAAAAAAAAAAAAAAAAAAAGGTCCTTAATCATATGATACGATGTTCAACCTCATTTTCAATTTGAAAGATGTCCGTTAAAACAATTTCAAGATACTATTTCTCACCTCTCAGATTGGTAAAAATTTAAAACTGTGACATTCTTTTGGCAAGGTTGTGGGGAAACAGGCATTCTCATACACTGTGATGGAAATGCAAACTGGTACAACCCTTATGGAAAGAAATTTAAAAATCTCTAAAAAATGACATACATGTTTGCCTTTTGACCTAACAACACCACTTCTAAAAATTTACTAGGAGAGGCCAGGCATGGTGGCTCACACCTGTAATCCTAGCACTTTGGGAGGCTGAGTTGGATGGATCACTTGAGCTCAGAGTTCAAGACCTGTCTGGGCAACACAGTGAGACCCAGTCTCTACAAAAAATACAAAAATTAGCTGGGCATGGTGGTGTGTGCCTGTAGCCCTGGCTACTCGGGAGGCTAAAGTGGGAGGCTGGCTTGAGTCCAGGAGGCAGAGGTTGCAGTGGGCTGAGCCCAGCCATAGGATTGGTTTTAATAGTGTTATGGATGGAGGATTTTGAAACTATATTCTAGTATTGTTCAAATAGGCAAATGCATTACAGATAATGAGGGTCAGGTTTCTCACTGTCAACAGAGAGAGTTACAAATATGGAAAAGGAAAAGCTAAAATTAATCCTGTGGTGTTAGAATGGAATTGGAGGTTTCAGTAGGAACTCATGGTTTTTTATATAGATGATAGAGATATTGGTATATGCATCATATAATTTTTTTCTGGTTCTGTCCACTAAGAGAGCCTAGAAGTAATGACATCCCACTAGCAATGTGCACACGCCAGCACCCAGATCTCAGTTCTAAATTCCACTCTTGACTACAAGGGTTCCCTGGAGAAATGGCTGGTTCCAACACTACAGTAAGGAAAGTAGGATTAACCTGAATCATTTTGCTGTGCCAGAAAGAAAGAAAGTACTCAAAGAATGACAGAACATCTCCCCAAGTCACAGAAGCCAGCTTGAAGGGACTTCCACAGGCCAAACTTGGGATCATCTGAGCATCAGAAAAAATAACAGTAGTAACAAAGTATGGCCTGGCACGGTAGAGCTCACGCCTATAATCCCAGAACCTTGGAAGGCTGAGGCGGGCGGATCACCTGAGGTCAGGAGTTCGAGACCAGCCTGGCCAACATGGTGAAACCCTGTCTCTACTAAAAATACAAAAAATTAGCCAGGCGTGGTGGCACATGCCTGTAATCCCAGCTACTCAGGAGGCTGAGGCAGGAGAATTGCTTGAACCTGGGAGGAGGACGTTGCAGTGAGCCGAGATCACGCCATTGCACTCCATCCAGCCTGGGCAACATGGGCGAAACTCCATCTCAAAAAAAAAGAAAAAAAAAGGTGAACCCTTAGAATAAAGTAAGGATCCTTAAGTCCACACTGATAGAATGAAAGGAAGGAAAGCAATAAAGTAACTAACAAATGTAGAAGGAATGACAGAATTAGATAAGTGCCATTTGGTAGTCACCCTAGTTGGGAGAAGGTTTTGATGCAAACAGAATACAAAATATCAAAGTAGGCCAGGCGTATTGGCTCACACCTGTAATCCCAGCACTTTGGGAGGCTGAGGCAGACGGATCACAAGGTCAGGAGTTCGAGACCATCCTGGCCAACATGGTGAAACCCCATCTCTACTAAAAATACAAAAATTAGCTGGGTGTGGTGGCACATGCCTGTAATCCCTGCTACTTGGGAGGCTGAGGCAGGAGAATCACTTGAACCTGGGGGATGGAGGTTGCAGTGAGCCGAGATCGCACCACACACTCCAGCCCGGGTGATAGAGGGAGACTCCATCACAAAAAAAAAAAAAAAAAAAAAACATCAAAGTGTCTCTTTACCAGATTCTTATTAATTACAAAGGGAAAAACAGAAGTTACAGCAAGAAACTTGGCAGACATTGCCTTCCTCAAGAGGTCAGAGTTAGACTCACCACATATGAGACAAATTGTTCTCATGTGCCAGTTAACAGGATGCACCAAGAAGGACATGGCACCACTGAGCCCGAACCTGACCGTGAGGAAACCTTAGACAAACCCGGATTCAGGGCCAGTGTACAAAATAACCAGACTGCACTCATCAGACATGTCAAGGTCATAGAAGACAAAGAAAGATCCTTCATTGAATCCTGGGTGAGAAACACG
Source organism: Homo sapiens (assembly GCF_000001405.40). Taxonomy (NCBI): domain Eukaryota; kingdom Metazoa; phylum Chordata; class Mammalia; order Primates; family Hominidae; genus Homo; species Homo sapiens. Next base: position 46,731,590 of record NC_000011.10, on the reverse strand, counting down.
CTTTTTTTTTTTTTTTTCCCTATAAAAGACATTAGCAAGACTAACAAAAATTTGAATAAGGTCTATAGATTAGACAATAATATTGTATCATCATTAATTTCCTGGTTTTGGGCCAGGTGCTGTGGCTCACGCCTGTAATCCCAGCACTTTGGGAAGCCGAGGTGGGTGGATTACCCGAGGTCAGGAGTTCAAGACCAGCCTGGCCAACATGGTGAAACCCCATCACTACTAAAAATACTAAAAATACAAAAAGTTAGCCGGGCGTGGTGGCAGGCACCTGTAATTCCAAGTAAGCCGAGACCATGCCACTGCACTCTAGCCTGGGCAACAGAGCAAGATTCCATCTCAAAAAAAAAAAAAAATTTCCTGGTTTTGGCCGAGTACAGTGGTTCACGCCTGTAATCCCAGCACTTTGGGAGGCCGAGGCAGGTGGATCACCTGAGGTCAGGAGTTCAAGACCAGCCTGGCCAACATGGTGAAACCCTGTCTCTACTACAAATACAAAAATTAGCTAGGCATGGTAGTACATGCCTGTGATTCCAGCTACTCAGGAGGCTGAGGCAGGAGAATCACTTGAACCTGGGAGCAGGAGGTTGCAGTGAGCCGAGATTGTGCCACTGCACTCAAGCCTGGGTGACAGCGAAGCTATGTCAAAAAAAAATTTCCGGGTTTTAATATTTGTATTGTGGTTGCATAAGAGAACATCCTTGGGTATTTTTTTTTTTTTTGGAAATACTCAAGTATTTATGGGTAAAAAGAAACCATATTCATGATTTGCTCTCAAACTATGCATATATATATATAAAAATTCCCACACATCCACAGAATGGAGGACAATCTGGATGACAGTATACAGGAAATCTTTGTATTATTTTTACAACTTTTCTGTGAGTCTGAAATTACACTAAATTTTTTTATTTTTTACTTTTAAAGTCAGTCACATCATTTCTTAACCTGCCTCAAGCCCCTCAATAACTTCCCATCTCACTCAATAAAGTCCTTCCAGGCCCTAAAGGAAGTGGCTGTCCTCTGCCTGCCCCCCTCTCTCCCCTCACCCACTGCTGCCCCTCCTCAGCCCCCCAGGCCTCCCTACTGCTCCCCAGACAAGCCAAGAGTGCTCCCACCTCAGGGCCTTAGTGCCTGCCATGCCCCCAGCCTGCGGTGCTCCTCCCCTAGATATGCCTGCTCACTCCTTCCTTCCCCTCTTCCAGTCCCTGCCCAGACATCACCTTCTCAGGGAGGCCTTCTCCAACCTTCTCTGGCCACCTGATTGATTGATTGATCGATCGATCAATGGAGTCTTGCTGTGTTGCCCAGCTGGAGTGCAATGATGCCCGATCTCAGCTCACTGCAACCTCCGCCTCCCTGGCTCAAGCAATTCTCCTGCCTCAGCCTCCTGAGTAGCTGCGACTACAGGCATGCGTCACCATGACCAGCTAATTTTTGTATTTTTAGTAGAGACGGGGTTTCACCATGTTGGCCAGGCTGGTCTTGAACTCCTGACCTCAAGTGATCTGCCCACCTTGTCTGGCCACCCTATTTAGAAGCCCACTTCATCAGCCGTTCTCTCTCCCTGTGCTTCATTTTTCTTCACAGCACTGGTCAGGGATTGCTGTTTTAGATCTGTTTATGGATGTGCCCTCCTAGGAAGGAAGCTCTCTGAGGGCACAGACATTGTCCGTCTGGGTCCCTGCTGTATACCCTAGAACGCTGCCTGGAACGTGATAGGCGCTCAATAAATATTTGCTGAGTGACTGAATGAATGGCATTTCCCTACCCGCAGCCTCTTGCTGCTATCTGAGCTCACTGGTGACTGATACTATGCCAAGTACATTAATATATACTACTTCATTTAACCCTCCCATAACCTTATGGGATAGAGACTTTTACCTCCATTTTACAGAGGAAGAAACTGAGCCACCAAGAGGTTAGGCAACTTGCTCAAAGTCACATGGCTTGAACCCAGGCACAACTCAGTTCTCCCAGCTTGGGCCCCACTGTTCCCTCAGCCCGCCCTGCACAGACTTGCCAGCACAGAACATGTTGTCAGTGATGCGGATCCGGGTGGAGTCCTTGCAGACCGGCCGCTCCACAATGGGCAGGTTCACCACCTGCAGGACACTGGGCTGCCCCTTACCAACGTTGGCTGTCCACGTCTCCTTCAGGTTGCCCCAGCCTGTCACCCGCCCCTTGTATCCAGCCTGGAGCAAGCTTTGGGGAAGGAAGAAGGGCCTAGTGAGAGCCAACCCCCACAGGAGCCGCCTGGCCCCAACGCCATTTCTTAGAGACCAGAATCTAAAACGCCAGAGCTGGCTGGGCACAGACGTTCACGCCTGTGGTCTCGGCACTTTGGGAGGCCGAGGCGGGTGAATCACTTGAGGTCAGGGGTTCGAGACCAACCTGGCCGACACGGTGAAACCCACCAGTCTCTACTAAAAATACAAAAATTAGCCTGTAATCCCAGCTACTCAGGAGACTGAGGCAGGAGAGTCGCTTGAACCCAGGAGGTGGGGTTGCAGTGAGCCAAGATCGCACAACTACACTCCAGCCTGGGAGACAAGAGTGGAACTCCGTCAGTAAATAAATAAATATAAATAAAAAATAAAACGCCAGTACTGAAAAGAACTTTTGGGTTCACTCCAAGAAACCGAGGCCTGGAAAAGGGAAAGGGGCTCTTGCAAGGCTACTTGGTATCAGAGCCAGGCCCAGAACTTGGCTTCTGCCCCTCAGCTAACAAGCATCTGGTGGCCCACCTGGCTGCCGTCTCCCTGTCGGGCAGACACACAGGGTGAATGTAGTCACTGAAGGCAACAGGCTTCTTCAGCTTCATCAGGGCAATGTCCCGGTCCAGGTTCTCCCGCCAGTTGTACCTGGGGTGGATGTAGATCTTTTCCAACATGGATATCTTTTCAATGTTTCGCTCGTACCTGCAGAGACCCCAAGAAAGAAATGGAGAAGCTGCAGGTTCACCCAGCAAGGAGCAGGAAACTGCCTGCCCTTGGGGTCTGGGAGACAGTGTGTCCTGCAGGCCACCAGGGAGGGGATAGGGCTGGTTCCTGCCATGGCAGCCCCCTGGGTGTTTCTTCCTGGGCCTAAAGCCGTGCAGGGCTTTGGAGTCAGACAGCCTGGAGGACGGGGACAGGGGCACAGGCTGCACGCCCTAGTCCAGACAGACTCTATTTTCAGAGACTCCCACATGGGCTATATCCTAGTGTTGGAGGGACCAGGAGACAGACGGATTTCTCCCCGCAGCTCCAAGCCTCAGTCAGGACGTGACCAAATGGGCTTTCCAGCAGAGACTGCTGGGATGTTATATTCTGGGGGGTATACAGAACATCCTATGTGTCCCGGAGCCACCAGGGCCCCTCATGATCGCTTTGGAGGACTCAGACCCCTGCCAGACACCCACGGGCCACCAGTTCTGTACCTGGTGCGGGAGTGCTTGCCAATGCGCACCAGAAGGTCATTCTCGGTGAAGTTCTTGTCCCAGGGCGGGTACAGGAGGCAGTGGGCGGCGGTGAGGACCCAGCGGTCACTGATGAGGCTGGCCCCACACAGCAGCTCCTGGGGACTCTTCCGGAAAAGCATCACCTGCCTGGGAGGGGCAGCAGGAAGCATTAGGAGCTGAGGATGAGGGGGCTGCCTCTACACCAGCCCTAGAAGTAACAATCCCAGGTCTAAGAACCCAGCTGGGCAGAGCTGCCTCCGGGGCCCAGATCCAAGCTTGGGCTGGCCGCCTTTGGGGCCTGGAGCCTCCGTGTGATGCTGAGGGGCTGCCTCACACTTTTTTATTTATTTATTTATTTATTTTTGAGACAGGGTCTCACTCTTGTCACCCAGGCTGGAGTGCAATGGTACAGTCACAGCTTACTGAAGCCTCAGCCTCCTGGGCTCAGGCGATCCTCCCGCCTCAGCCTCCTTAGTAGCTGGGACTACAGGGACATGCTGCTACACCTGGCTAATTTTTGCATTTTTAGTAGAGACGGGGTTTTACCATTTTGCCCAGGCTGGCCTCGAACTCCTGCCCTCAAGTGATCTTCCTGTCTTGGCCTCCCAAAGTGCTGGGATTACAGGGGTGAGCCACTGCACCTGACCTGCCTCCTGCTTTTTGCACCCCCTAACTAGGTCCTTCCAGTCCAGAGTTCACATAGCGTAGCACAGCTCTGGAATCAGAAGAACTGGATTCAAACCCATTAGCTGTGCGCGGAGGTGAGCCACCAGCTCCGTCAGTCTCAGCTTTACCATCTGCTTAGAAGTAAAGGACCCATGGGCCGGGTGTGGTGGCTCATGCCTGTAATCCCGGCACTTTGGGAGGCTGAGGCAGGTGGATCACTTGAGGTCAGGAGTTCAAGACCAGCCTGGCCAACATGGTGAAACCCTGTCTCTACTTAAAATACAAAAATTAGCCGGGTGTGGTGGCGCATGTCTGTAAATTCAGCTACTCAGGAGGCTGAGGCAAGAGAATCGTTTGAACCCGGAAGGCAGAAGTTGCAGTGAGCTGAGATCGAGGTAGTGAGCCGAGATTGCAGCACTGCACTCCAGCCTAGGTGACAGAGCAAGACTCCATCTAAGAAACAAAAAAAAAGAAGTAAACAACCCATCTCATGTGGCTGCTGTGTGGAGTTGGTGGGATCCTGGATGCTCAGCTGTTGTCATCTGTAAAGCCCAGGCCTGCAGGCAGGGCCTGAGGGTGGGGGTCCAGCAGCACACCTGCCCCCAGGAGTGAATGGTAGCGCAGGGCTCCAGGACACACCAAGGTGACATGCCGATCTCTGCATCCGAGCCCTCCACAATGCGCCCGTCGATGTAGGATTCCAGGAGCTCTCTTTCGGTTTTGTCCTCCAGCGACTTCTTCTCGAACAGAGGTCGCAGCCCACAGTCTGCAGAGCAAGCCAAGCAGTGAGGGGCAAGTCCTGGCCACCAG